>NC_000010.11:34574235-34878518 GCF_000001405.40 Homo sapiens | reverse complement strand
CATGTCTTTTTCAGAGCAGAAAATTTTAATTTTAATGAAGTCCAGCTTATCAATTCTTATTTTCATGGATCATGTCTTTGGTGTTGTATCTAAAAAGTCATCATAAAACCCTCAGTCATCCAGATTTTCTCCTATGTTACTGTCTAGGAGTTGCATAGTTTTGCATTTTACATTCAGGTCTATGATCCTTTTTGAGTTAATTTTTGTGAAGGGTGTAAAGTCTGTCTAGAATCATTTTTTTTTGGATGTGGATGTCTAGTTATTCCAGTAGCATTTGTTGAAACGACTATCTTTCTTCTATTGTATTGCCTTTGCTCCTTTGCCAAAGATCAATTGACTGTATTTATGTGGGTCTATTTCTGGGCTTTCTACTTTGTTCCAGTGATCTATTTGTCTATCATTTTGTCAATACCACACAATCTTTACTTTTTCATTTTATTTAATATTTGTTTAAATTTAATTTAAAATTTTTTTTTAAGAGACAAGGGCTCACTCTGTTGCTCAGGCTGGAGTGCAGTGGCATGATCACTGTAGCGCTGACCTCCTGTTCTCAGGTGATCCTCCCACCTCAGTCTCCTGAGTAGCAAGCAGGACTACAGACATGCACCATCATGCCTGGCTAATTTAACACTACATTCTTGATTACTGTAGTTTTGTAGTAAGTCTTGAAGTTGGAGAGAGTCAGTCCTCCTAACTTTGTTCTCTCCTTCAATATTGTGTTGGCTATTGTAGGTCTTTTGCTTTGCTATATAAATATTAGAATCAGTTTGTTGATATTCACAAAATAACTTGCTGATATTTTGATGGGGGATTGCGTTAACTCTTTAAGTCAAGTTGTAAAGAACTGACAACATGACAATATTGAGTCTTCCTGTTGGTAAATATGGAATATCTCTCCATTTATTTAGTTTCTCTTTGGTATCTTTCATGAGAGTTTTGTAGTTTTCCTCACATAAGACTGGTACATGTTTTCTTAGATTTGTACCTAAGTATTTTACTTTTGGGGGTGCTAATGTAAAAGGTACTACATAATATGTTTTAATTTCAAATTTCCAAAAAAAAAAAAGGCTGGGCACGGTGGCTCACGCCTGTAATCCCCACACTTTGGGAGGCTGAGGTGAGTGGGTCACCTGAGGTCAGGAGTTTGAGACCAGCCTGGCCAATATGATGAAACCCTGTCTCTACTGAAAATACAAAAATTAGCTGGCCATAGTGGTGGGTGCCTGTAATGCCAGCTACTCGGCAGGCTGAGGCAGGAGAATCGCTTGAACCCAGGAGGTGGTGGTTGCAGTGAGCTGAGATTGCGCCACTGCACTCCAGCCCGGGAGACAACAGCAAAACTCAGTATCAAACAACAACAACAACAGCAACAACAACATCAAAACAAATTTCACTTGTTTATTGCTAGTAATAGAAGAACAATGGACTTTTGTATATTAACATTGTATCCTGCAACCTTTGTAGAATTACTTATTATTTCCAGTTATTTGGTCATTGCTATTGGATTTTCTACATGGATAATTGTGTCATCTGTGAACAAAAACAGCTTTATTTCTTTCTTCTCAATCAGTATATTTTTTTATTACCTAAGTCTTGTCTTTTTGCATTAGCTAGGACTTCCACTAGAGTGTTGAAAAAGGAGTAGTCAGAGGAGACTTCCATTCCTTGTTCCTGATCTTAGCAGGAAAGCTTCTAGTTTCATACCTCTAAGTATGAAGTTAGCTGTAGGATTTTTGTAGATGTTCTTTATCAAGTTGATAAAGAACTTCATTAATTTCTGTTAAATTTTGTCAAGTGCTTTTTCTGCATCTATTGATCTGATTTTTCTTTCCTTTTCTTTTCTTTTTTTTGAGACTGAGTCTTGCTCTGTTGCCTAGGCTGGAGTATAGTGGCGTGATCTCGGCTCACTGCAACCTCCATCTCCTGGGTTCAAATGATTTTCCTGCCTCAGCCTCCTGAGTAGCTGGGACTACAGGTGCGCACCACCATGCCCAGCTAATTTTTGTATTTTTAGTAGAGACGGGGTTTTGCCATGTTAGCCAGGCTGGTCTTGAACTCCTGATCTTGTGATCTGCCTGCCTCAGCCTCCCAAGGTGCTGGGATTACAGGAGTGAGCCACCATGCCCAGCCGTGATTTTTCTTCTTTTGCCTGTTGATGTGATGGATTACATTGATTTTCAAATATTGAACCAGTTTTGCATACCTGGGATAAATTCCATTTGCTTGCAGTGTATAATTTTTTTAATACATTTTGCATTCAAGTTGCTAATATTTTGTTGAGGATTTTTTTTTCTTTTGTAGAAAACTAAGCTTTATTTCAAAGCAATCTGAAAACAGCAGTCGGGGGACCACATTTACAACTGTTAGGAAGGAGCACGCAGATAAATGTCCATTTAGCAAGGTCTCAAGTCAAGGAGTCTCACCAATTCCTGCCCAACACCTACTCAGCTTCCTCTTCAGGTTGAAACTAAAAAGTAGGCTTGAACATCCTAGTAATGTCTTAGTTATCCAAATATGCTCCAAGTTCAGGAAAGAGGACATCTGGTCTCAACTTATTGAGGGATTTGCTTAATTATTTTAAAAATATTTACATTGAGAATACAGTTAAGTTGGTAGCTTTCTTCACATTTTCACTTTTATTTATTTATTTATTTTTTCGAGACAGCGTCTCGCTCTGTTGCCCGGGCTGGAGTGCAGTGGCGCGATCTCAACTCACTGCAAGCTCCGCCTCCCGGGTTCACGCCATTCTCCTGCCTCAGCCCCCCGAGTGATTGGGACTACAGGCGCCCGCCACCACGCCCGGCTAATTTTTTGTATTTTTAGTAGAGACAGGGTTTCACGGTGTTGGCCAGGATGGTCTCGATCTGCTGATCTCATGATCCGCCCACCTCGGCCTCCCAAAGTGCTGGGATTACAGGCGTGAGCCACCGCGCCCTTTCCACATTTTCACATTTTTAAATAGAGCCACAGAAGTGTCATTCACGTTTTAAGCAGTTAAGTTGGTAAAGATCCTGTCTCCATTTTGTAAGAGATGGATTACATTCAATTACTACTCACAACAGCCAACTGGAAGGTTATTCCATTGCTTTTGAAAGATTATTCCATTGCTTTTGAAGTACTGGTTGGGCTGGCATCTGCGATGGTAGCCAAATAAATGAGATTTCTGTGTAACACAAGCTGGCACTGGACGCACTCGTTCGCTCCGCCCTTGTTCTGATACTCCACGATACAGCGGATCAGTTGGTCATTCTCCTCAAGGAGCCGCTGGATAGTCTCTTGATTGACTTCCACCTTGCCCCTCAGCCAGTCCACTGACATCCCGAGGAAGCTCCGGAACCACAGACCACCAAGCATCTCGTTGTTGAGGATTTTTGCATCTATGTTCATGAGAGATATTTATCTGTTGTTTTCTCATAAATAAATGTCTTTGTCTAGTTTTGGCATTAAGGTATACTGGCCTCAGGATGAATTGGGAAGTATTCCCTTTGCTTCTATCTTCTAAAAGAGATTATAGAAAATCAGTGTAATTTCCACTTTAAATGTTTTGTTGAATTCACCTCTAAACCCATCTGAGCTTGGTGCTTTGTGTTTGGAAAGTTACCAATTATTGATTCAATTTTAAAAATAAATATAGGCCTATTTGGATTATCTATTTCTTCTTGTATGAGTTTTGGCAGATTGTGTCTTTTAAGGAATTGGTCCGTTGCATGAAGGTTATCAAATTTATGGGCATAGAGTTGTTCATAGCATTTCATTATTATCCTTTAATGTCCATGAAATATGAAATATGTCATTTTTGACATTAATAATGTGTGTTCTCTTTTTTTCTTAACTTGGCTAGAAGCTTATCAATTTTATTGAACTTTTTTTTTTTTTTTTTTTTGAGACGGAGTCTCACTCTGTCACCCAGGCTGGAGTGCAATGATATGATCTTGGCTCACTGCAACCTCTGCCTCCTGGGTTCAAGTGATTCTCCTGCCTCAGCCTCCTGAGTAGCTGATATTACAGGCATCTGCCACTATGCCCAGCTAATTTTTGTATTTTTAGTACAGACGAGGTTTCACTATGTTGGCCAGGCGAGTCTCAAACTCCTGACCTCAAGTGATCTGTCCACCTCAGCCTCCCAAAGTGCTAGGATTATAGGTGTGAGCCAGTACACCTAGCCTTATTGAACTTTTCAAAGCATTCGCTTTTGGTTTCATTGATTTTCTCTATTGATTTCTTGTTTTTCATTTCCTTGATTTCTGCTGTAATTATTTTTGTCTTCTGCTTACTTTGGATTTAATTTTATTCTTTAATTAATGCTCTTTCTACTTTCCTAAGGTACAAGCTTAATGATTATAGAGTTTTCTCCTTTTCTAATATATGCATTCAATGCTATTTCTCTTTAAGCACTACTTTTACTGCATCTCACACATTTTGATAAATTGTGTTTTCATTTTCATTTAGTTCAAAATATTTTAAAATTGTGTCTTGAAGAATTATCTGACCCCTGTGTTACTTAGAAATGTGTTAATTTCCAAGTATTTTGGGATTTTTCCAGCTATCTTTGTTATTAATTTTTTGTTTAATTTCATTGTGGTCGGGAAGCAGGCATTGTATGACTTCTGTTTTTAAAATTTTGTTAAGATACTGTTTTATGGCCCAGAATCTGTCTATTTTGGTGAGTGTTTTATGTGAACTTGAGAAAAATGTGTACTCTGGTGCTGGACGAAGTAGTCAGTAGTTGCCCTTGTGTCCAGTGAATTGATGGTGTTGTTGAATTCAACCATGTCCTTACTGATTTTCTGCTTGCTGAACCTATTTCTGATAGATTGGTGTTAAAGTCTCCAACTATAATAATAGATTAATCACTTCTCCTTGCAGGTCTGTTAGTTTTACTTCATGTAGTTTGACTCTTGCTATGTGCAAGTATGTTAAAGATGGTTATGTCTTCTTGGAGAATTGTCCCCTTTATCATTAGGTAGTGCCCTTCTTTATCCCTGAAAACTTTCCTTGCTGTGATGTCTGCTTTGTCTGAAACTAATATAGCGACTCCTGTTTTCTTTTGATTGGTGTTAGCACGGTACATCTTTTTCCATCCATTTACTTTTTTTTCCTCTTTTTTTTAGATGGAGTCTTGCTCTGTTGTTTAGGTTGGAGTGCAGTGGGATGATTTCGGCTCACTGCAACCTCTGCTTCCCGGGTTCAAGTTATTCTCGTACCTCAGCCTCCCGAATAGCTGGGATTACAAGCGTGAGCCACCACGCCTGGCTAATTTTTGTATTTTTAGTAGAGATGGGGTTTCACCATGTTGGCCAGGCTGGTTTCAAACTCCTGACCTCAGGTGATCCACCCACCTCGGCGTCCCCAAAGTGCTGGGATTACAGGCATGAGCCACCATGCCTGGCCCATCTTTGAATTTTCTGTAATTTAAATATGGTATGTCAAGGTATTTTTCATTTTGTTTTGTTTTGGTATTCATCCTGCTTGCTGTTCTTTGTGCTTCCTGGATCTGTGGTTTGGTATCTGACATTAATTTGGGGGAAATTCTCAGTCATTATTGTTTTAAATATTTCTTCTGTTCCTAGCTTTATTTCTTCTCCTTCTGGTATTACCATTATGTATGTATTACACCTTTTGTGGTTTTCTCACAGTTCTTGAATATTCCGTGTTTTGTTTTGTTTTTTTCAGTATCTTTTTGTTTTCAGTTTCAGATTTCTACTGGGATGTTTTCAAGCTCAGAGATTCTTTTGTCAGGTGTGTCCAGCCTTGCTAGTAAGCCCATCAAATTTATTCCTAATTTCTGTTACAGTGCTTTTGATCTCTAGATTTTCTTTTTGTTTCTGTTTTCTTATACTTTCCATGTCTCTGCTTACATTGTTCATCTGTTCTTGTATGCTGTCTACTTTACCCATTAGATCCCTTAGCATATGAATCCTAGTTGTTTGAAATTCCTAATCTGATAATTCCAACATCTCTGCCTAGTCTAGTTCTGATGCTTGTTCTGTCTCTTCAAACTGTGTTTTCTTTTAGTATGGCTTGTAATTTTTTCTTGATAGCCAGGCGTGTTGTACTGAGTAAAAGGACTGATGGTAAATAGGCGTTTGGTTTTGTGGTGGTAAGGTGTGGAGACAGGAGAAGCATTCTATAGACCTATGATTAGGTTTCAGTCCTTTGGTGAGCCTGTGCCCCTGGACTGTGAACTTCACAAATACTTCAGCACCTTCCCTCCTTAGGTAGGACAGGATGATTGGAGTGGGCTGGAGTTGGGTGTTTCTCTTCCCAAGGTTAGTTAGGCTCTCATAGAACCCAAGAAGGTTAGGCTCTGGTAAAATGGTTTCCCCTGAGGACAGGTGATGTTAAGAAAAACAGAATGGCGGCTGGGCGTGATGGTTCTTGCCTGCAGTCCCAGCGTTTTGGGAGGCCGAGGTGGGCGGGTTACTTGTGGTCAGGAGTTCGAGACCAGTGTGGCCAACATGGTGAAACCCTGTCTCTAAAAAATCAGACGTGGTGGTGTGTGCCTGTAATCCCAGCTACTTGGGAGGCTGAGGCAGGAGAATCACTTGAACCCAGGAGGCAGAGGTTGCAGTGAGCTGAGATCATGCCACTGCACTCAAGCCTAGGTGACAGAACAGGACTCTGTCTTAAATAAATAAATAAATGTATAGGAACAGAATGGCTCTTGTGTATTTCAGAATAGTTTCTTTCCTTCTCCCCTTGCCAGAAGCACAAGGAGATTTTTCTCTAGTGTTGAGTATGAGAGCCTGGTAGAACTGAACTCACGAAAGTGTGCCCCCCATCCCCAGTGACTGGGTGTCCCTGGAGTTTTAACTCAGACTTGTCCACACTGAGCCTCCAGCAATTTGTCAATTATAGTTTAGGTTTTCTTACCCCAGCACTGGTTCCCATGCAGGTTTTTACTCCAGCAAATTGTGATTCTCTGTGTCCATCTGTCTCTCCAAACAGGGTCACCTGTTTGCCCTGTGACCTCTCTTACGAATCTAAGAATTGTTGATTTTTCCACTTGGTCAGCTTTTTACTTAAGATGGAGTGGTCACTTTTAATCTCCTTACATGCGAAAGGAGACTAGAAGTTCAATGGTATTTTTTATTTTCCATAGGGATATCCAGTTGTTCCAGCACCACTTGCTGAAAAGACTATCAATTTATTAGGTTGGTGCAAAGGTAATTGCGGATTTTGCCATTACTTTTCATTACTTTTAAGTAATCACAAAAACCAGAATTACCTTTAGACCAACCGGATACATTGAATTAGCTTGGTATATTTATCAAAATCAATTAACCATATATATGTGTGTATGTGTGTGTGTGTGTGTGTTTGTGTATATGTATGTATGTATGTATCTGGACTCTATTATGTTCTATTAATTTATATGTCTATCTTCACATCGATGCCACATTGCCTTGATTGCCTAACAGTAGATTTGAAATGAGGTAGCATAAGTTTTCCAAATTATTGTTTAAAACATATTCTGATTATTCTAGCTCCTTTGCATTTCTATAAAATTTCAGAATCAGCCTGCCAATTTCTAAAAATAAAGACTACTGAGATTTTTATTGGGATTGCATTACATCTATAGATCAATTTGAGGAGAGTGAACATCTCAACACTATGGAACTCATGATTTATCTCCCCATTTATGGGGGTCTTCTCTCTCAGCAATGATTTGCTGTTTTCTTTTTTTTCTTTTTTTGAGATGGAGTTTCGCTCTTGTTCCCCAGGCTGGAGTACAATGGCGCCATCTCAGCTCACTGCAATCTCTGCCTCCCAGGTTCAAGCGATTCTCATGGCTCAGCCTCCCAAGTAGCTGGGATTACAGGCATGTGCCACCACACCCGGCTAATTTTGTATTTTCAGTAGAGACGGGGTTTCACCATGTTGGCCAGGCTTGTCTTGTACTCCTGACCTCAGGTGATCCACAGCGTGAGCCACCATGCCCAGCCTTGCTGTTTTCAATGTACACATTTTGTACATCTTTCATCAGATTTATTTTCAAGTATTAAATATTTTTCTAAGTCATTTTTTTTTTTTTCGAGATGGAGTCTCACTCTGTAGCCCAAGCTAGAGTGCAGTGATGGGATCTCTGCTCACTGCAACCTCTGCCTCCCGGGCACAAGCTATTCTCATGCCTCAGCTTCCTGAGTAGCTGGGACTACAGGTGCATACCACCACGCCTGGCTAATTTTTTTGTATTTTAGTAGAGACAGGGTTTCACCATGTTGCCCAGGGTGGTCTTGAACTCCTGAGCTCAGGCGATCTGCCCAACTCAGCCTCCCAAATGCTGGGATTACAGGCATGAGCCACCGTGCCTGGCCCATTATAAATGTTTTAATTTCAATTTAAATAGAAATACAATTGTACTGCTTCACTATACATACTTTATTATATGCACTGTCTCTACTCCTTCCCATAATGTTTTTTAAGCCATGAACTGCATAGCCAATATCTTGAGCACAATGTGCTATGGTTTGGATATGATTTGTCCCCACAGAAACTCATGTTAAAATTTAACTGCCGTAGCCCCAGCTCCTAAGGATGCTGAGGTAGGAGGATTGCTTGAGCCCAGGAGTTTGAGTCCAGCCTGGACAACATAGTGAGACCTTGTCTGAAAAAACAAAAACAAAAGCTTAATTGCTAATGTAACAACATTGGGAGGTGGAACCTTTAAGGGGTGGAACCTAATGGGAGGCATTTGGTTCATGGGGGATCTGTTTTTGCGAGTGGCTTGGTGCTGTTCTCACGGTAGTGAGTTCTCACTCTCATGAAACTTGATCAGTTCTCGCAGAAATGGGTTTGTTCCCACGATGGCATGTTGTTATAAAGTACAGGCGCCCTTTGTGTTCAGCCCGTTGCACGTGTCTGTTCCTCTTTGACCTTCCACCATGTTATGATGCAGCCCAAAAGCCCTTGTCTGAAGCCACGGCCATGCCCTTGAACTTCTCAGCCTGTAGGACCATGAGCTAAATAAGCCTCTTTTCTTTATAAATCACCCAGTCTCTGGTATTCTGTTACAGCAACACAAACTAATACAGGATGTATTTGGTTCAAAGTTCAGAAAGTTTTGCTATAGTGACATTAACTATAAAGAGCATTTCCCCCCTCACATAATAAGACATCAAAGGCTAGGTGATCGCTGCTAAGTAGCAACGGTTTCAAGGAGAATCTTTTGACTGTTTCCTTACAGTTGCAGAATGGTTATTGCAGCTGCAATCCTCACATCCTGTTCAAGGCAGGAAGAAGGGGAGAGAAGGAGGTACCAGGTACATTAGTTCCCTTTAATCAGCAAGACAAGATCTTTCCTCTAAAACAGTAGTTCTCAACTGGGGACAATTTTACTTTCCAGGCAACGTTTTACAATGTTTGGAGACATTTGTGGTTGTCATAACTAAGGGGGTGCTATTGTCATCTAGTGGGTAGGGTCCAGGGATGATATAAACATTCAACAATCCCCAGAAAAACCCCTCACAACAGAGAATTATCTGCCCCAAAATGTCAATGGTGCCAAGGCTGAGAGACCTCGCTCTAAACCACACCTGTAGACTTTCATTTAGGTGTCATTGGCTAAATATGGGCATATGGCCATCCCTAGCTTTAGGGAGATTACAGTAGTAGAAAACATTGATTTGTAATGATTAGACTAGGTATAGGATGGTCTATAGCCTAGGGCTGAAATATTGGTGTACCAACAAATTTCAGTTGTGTTAGCAAGGAAGAAAAAGTAGTAATGGGTGCTGAGTAAGCAAATCACGGCGTCTGCCTGTGGCAGACACCAAAGCAGATCTTTTTTTTTTTTTTTTTTTGAGATGGAGTCTTGCTCTGTCGCCTAGGCTGGAGTGCAGTGATACGATCCCGGCTAACTCCGCCTCCCAGGTTCAAGTGATTCTCCTGCCTCAGCCTCCTGAGTAGCTGGGATTATGGACACCCACCACCATGCCCAGCTAATTTTTATATTTTAGTAGAGATGAGGTTTTACCATGTTGGCCAGGCTGGTCTCGAACTCCTGACCTCAAGTGATCCACCTGCCTTAGCCTCCCAAAGTGCTGGGATTACAGACGTGAGCGCCACCGTGCCCCACCAGTGATGAAGTGCATTTTCTATGTTTTCCTTACAAGTCCTCTGTTCCTAGGATTCTGAATTATCAGTACAAGGAAGCATACATGAAACTTCTATGTAATGTTCTGAATCTCTTAAAGGAATACCATCCATATTCCTTCCAATAATATTCTTTATTTCTTTTATTATTTTTTTTAATCTGCCCATTTGGATTGAACCAATAATGTTCTTTTCAACCTTGAACTGCATTGCCAATATCCTTAGCACAAAAGCAAGACTTTCTATTGTGATTTGAATATTTGAATATCTTTTTTTTTTTGAGACGGAGTCTCGCTCTGTTGCCCAGGCTGGAGTGCAGTGGCGTGATCTCGGCTCACTACAAGCTCTGCCTCCCCAGTTCACACCATTCTCCTGCGTCAGCCTCCCGAGTAGCTGGGACTACAGGTGCCCGCCACCAAGCCTGGCTAAATTTTTTTGTATTTTTAGTAGAGACAGGGTTTCACCGTGTTGGCCAAGCTAGTCTCAATCTCCTGACTTCAGGTGATCTGCCCGTCTTGGCCTCCCAAAGTGCTGGGATTACAGGCATGAGCCACTGCGCCTGGCCCCCAATTTTTTTTTTTTTTTTTTAGACTGAGTCTTGCTCTGTCATCCAAGCTGGAGTGCAATGGCGTGATCTTGGCTCACTGCAAACTCCGTCTCCTGGGTTCAAGCGATTCTCCTGCCCCAATCCCCTGAGTAGCTGGGATTACAGGCGCCTGCCACCACACCTGGCTAATTTTTGTATTTTTAGTAGAGACAGGGTTTCACCGTGTTGGCCAGGCTGGTCTTGAACTCCTGACCTCATGATCCACCCACCTCGGCCTCTCAAAGTGCTAGGATTACAGGCATGAGCCACCGCGCCCGGCAAAATTATTTTTTTAAGTTAGCCAAGCATAGTGGTGCACGCTTCTAGTCCCAGCTACTCAGGAGGCTAGGAGGATCACTTGAGCCCAGGGGTTTGAGGCTGCAGTGATATGATGGCACCATTGCACTCCAGCCTAGGTAACAGAGACCCTGTCTCAAAAAAAAAAAAAAAGTAATAAAAGAATAATATAATAAAGGGATTATTTACAATGTTGAGTACAAATTTTAAGGAAATCCATAAGACCTAGCAGAGTACACACTACCTGGCATTGTATACTCTGGTTGTGCACAAGTCTGGTTGTACAGTAAACCACAGGGAGCTGTTATTCCTAGGCCTATAAAGACAGGGGAAATGAATAGTTATTGGGTACCAGATGGGGGTTTGCCTGGAGAGGGCTTTCTGAAGGGGACTGTGGCATTTGGTAGAGGCCACAGGGAACCCATGCAGCCGGTCCCTAGCCACTCCTACCACTGATCCCCTGGCAGCACTCCCATTGGTTCAGCCCAACAGGAAACTGAAAGACAAGGGAGCCCTCCCAGGGCACAGAGCAGGGTGAACACGGGCAAGAGGATCTACAGAGGCAGACAGAAGTTAATGAGCACATGGAGCTTTTTTGTTTTTTGTTTTCCTTCTAGGATATATCATTATTATTACATTTCTTTTTCTTTCTTTCTTTCTTTTTTTTCTGATGGAGTCTCGCTTTGTTGCCCAGTGGTGTGATCTCGGCTTAATGCAACCTCTGCCTCCTGGGTTCGAGTGATTCTCCTTTCTCAGCCTCTCGAGTAGCTGGGATTACAGTCACGTGCCACCACGCCCGGCTAATTGTTGTATTTTTAGTAAAGATGGGGTTTCACCATGTTGGCCAGGCTGGTCTCGAACTCCTGTCCTCAAATGATTCGCCTCCTCAGTCTCTCAAAGTGCTGATTACAGGCGTGAGCCACCACACCCAGCCCTTCTTTCATAATAGAATACCATTCTTCCATTTCTCATAGGACTCAGTGAAGCCTGCATGAGCCAGCACCCCCAGAGATAGAGACAATGCATGCCCTGGTCACTGGAGCCCCTCTCCCAAAGGCCAGGGCCTCTCCTGATGGCCGTGCCTCTGCCTGCGCCGTACCCTCTGCTAGAGCATCCTGCTATCTTGCTTTCAGTTGCCAAATCCCTATTCATCCTTCAAGAAATATCTCCTTTTAAGGGCTCTGTGCAAACTGCAAAAATAAATCATTGTCAGGATCAATTAACACTGTATTGGGTTTTTAAGTCTTTCCTGAATTGCATTAATTTTTCAACATGATCAGTTTCAGATTTCCAAAATTTACAGAAGTCTTCAGTATTATTGGTAAAGCACTATAATTTGCTGTTATAATTACTATTAAAATATTTTTCTATCAAATACAAAACTAGTATGACTTTTTGCTACTATGATTATATTGCAAATCAAATTTAACAACCTGTAGAATAACCAAATTTATAAATAAAATAGCATCTGTACATTGTCAAATGGTTTGGCAAGTTTAAAAAAAAGGGATTGGATCCTAGTAGGTGGTGATAAACAACTTGAGAACTGTCTCGCCTTAACTGCACTTTAGTTACTGTAATCCTGGGGAATTTTCTTGATAAATGTCTCCTAGGTTTTCAAATTCTTCAATCCATGTCTTATTACTAACTGTTTTATAAATCTCATTGTAAATAAAGAATATGGACCAGGCATGGTGGCTCACACCTGTAATCCCAGCACTTTGGGAGCCCGAGGCAGGTGGAAGCTTGAGCTCAGAAGTCCAAGGCCACCTTGGGTGACATAGCAAGACCCTGGCTCTACAAAAGAAAATTAAAAATTAGCTGGGCTTGGTGGCACACATCTGTACTCTCTGCTACTCAGGAGGCTGAGGTGAGAGGATTGCTTGAGTCCAGGAGGTCGAGGCTGCAGTGAGCTGTGATTGTGCCACTGCACTATAGCCTGGGTGCCAGAGTGAGACCTTGTCTCTAAAAATACACATACACACACGGTAAAGGAAAGCATTTAGGGTAAGATAATTGCTTGTATAGAAAAACAACCAAGTCTAAGCACTTAACTTGAAATAAGGATTAAACACACTTAGATAGCTCTCTTAAATGGGAATAAAGATTGTTTTCTTGGCCCGGCACGATGGCTCACGCCTGTAATCCCAGCACTTTGGGAGGTCAAGGCGGATGGATCACTTGAGGTCAGGAGTTCGAGACCAACCTGACCAACATGGTGAAACCCTGTCTCTACTAAACATACAAAAAATTAGAGGCAGGAGGATCAACTGAGGTTAGGAGTTCGAGACCAGCCTGGCCAACATGGTGAAACCCTGTCTCTACTAAAAATACAAAAAATTAGCTGCGTGTGGTGGTGGGCCTCTGTAGTCCCAGCTACTCTGGAGGCTGAAGCAGGAGAATTGCTTGAACCCAGGAGGTGGAGCTTGCAGTGAGCCGAGATCATGCCATTGCACTCCAGCCTGGGCAAAAGCACGAGACTCCATCTCAAAAAATAAAAATAAAAAAATTGTTTTCTCTTAATGTCATCCTATCTTATTGGAGACTCAGTATTCTCCCGTGGAGAACTTTTATTCAGCATAAACACAAAGCGAGACCTGAATGGGCACTGTACCCTTTCTCTATTCTGATCTCCTAAAAGCTCAAGACACTTCTGAAACAGAACATTTTGTTATTTGGAAAGTTTCCAAAATCAGTGAATTATTTGCTGTCTGGAGTTCAGCCTTTGGAAAGCAAGTGCTTCTACTAGATTTTCTATAACTATGGCTTTAACTCATGGGTCTTTTCCTGCTATATTTTGTTCTCTTAACTTTTACCAAGCACCACTTTTTTCGTGTGTGAGATTTTTCACTCTGCAGCACTTCACGTAGGGCTAGATTTTGACTCTATGGCTTGTTGGCAGCTAACTGCCACTGTTTTATTGATAGTTTCTGACCGGGATTAGATTTACTTCCAGATGCTGTGAACAGATAGGCAAGGATACACCACTCATTACATTTACAAGTACTTTTTTTCGAAGAAGTTATTCATCACAATAACAATACGCGAGCCATCTCCTTATTAATGCCCAAACTACCCAGTTAAAGCAAGTGTTAAGACAACAGAAAACGCTAAAGAACTATTTACTACAGTACCTTGTCACTCACGTGGAGTAAGCTCTTTCTTCCACCTACAGACTGTCCTAGGTTATTTTTATGACTTCTGAAACCATCTGTTCTAACCTGCTCTCTGCTGCTCTTTGGAATACAGATGTTAATTACCTTTTCAACATTTTGCTGCTCCTTGCTTAGAGCCTCAAATTGAATTTGTTTTTTTTTCCCTAGTTTTTTGTTGCAGCAAAACTCAAGACTCTTCTCTCTCAACCATTTTATTTAGAGGGACACGGATCTGCTCTGTTGGGAGGACAACGGAAATGACACTTCCTCTGTCTGCACTTAGTACCCAACTAACATTAAGCCTTCTCCCTCTAAGCTGAATACGATAACCTGAATTATAAACATCTGAAACGTGTTTTTTTTTTTTTTTTTTTTGGAGATAGAGTCTCCCTCTGCACCCAGGCTTGAGCGAAATGAGGCAATCTTGGCTCACTGCAACCTCAACCCCCTGGGCTCAAGTGATCCTCCTACCTCAGCCTCCCAAGTAGCTGGGACCATAGGCATGCACTCATGCCTGGCTAATTTTTGTATTTTTTTGAAGAGACAGGGTTTTGCCATGTTGCGCAGGCTGGTCTCAAAATCCTGGGCTCAAGTGATCCTCCTGCCTTAGCCTCCCAAAGGCAGGGATTGTAGGCATGAGCCACCTCACCTGGCCTGAAACGTCTCTCTTCTATTTTTTATTTTTGAGACGGAGTCTTGTGTTCTGTCCCCCAGGCTGGAGTGCAGTGGTGCAATCTCGGCTCACTGCAAGCTCCACCTCCTGGGTTCACGCCATTCTCCTGCCTCAGCCTCCAGAGTAGCTGAGACTACAGGCGCCTGCAACCACGCCTGGCTAATTTTTTGTATTTTTATTAGAGACGGGGTTTCACCGCGTTAGCCAGGATGGTCTTGATCTCCTGACCTTGTGATCCGCCCGCCTCGGCCTCCCAAAGTGCTGGGATTACAGGTGTGAGCCGCCGCGCCCGGCCTGAAACATCTCTTAAACAGGATGCCTGTAAATAGGCCAGGTATGGTGGCAAGACTCCGTCTCAAAAAAAAAAAAAGAAAAGAAATTAAGTATTTGTTATTTGATAACGTCTTATAAAACTTTTTGCTAATTAAAATTCTTCATATTACAAAAAACTGCAGAGGGAAGAATGTCTTACAGTTGAAAAGAGTGGACTTTTGTGCAGTTGAGGGAGCTCTTGAATTTTATGATTCTGCTGCCTTGGTAGTTGATAATTGAGCTAAACAGAAAGAAAACAGTGGGAAAAGAAAAGGTCATGGTGCTAGACAAGAATCAATTCTCAACAAAGTGTTTGCTGAACAAATAAATTAAATGGGCTGGGTGTGGTGGCTCACAGCTGTAATTCCGGCACCTTGGAAGGCCAAGGCAGACAGTTTGCTTGAGCCCAGAAGTTTGAGACCAGCCTGGGTAACCTGGCAAAACCCTATCTCAACAAAAAATAAAAAATTAGCCGGGCATGGCGGCTTGCACCTGTAGTCCCAGCTTCTCGGGAGGCTGAAGTGGGAGGATCTCTTGAGCCTGGGAGGTTGAGGCTACAGTGAGCCATGATCATGCCACTGAATGGCAGCCTGGGCAACAGAGCAAGACTCTGGGGGTGGGGGGGAAAAAAGAAGAAAAAGGAGGAGGAGAAGAAGAAATTAAATGGAGAAAAGAAAGGGACCCTGAAAACTTAAAAACAGGGTTACAATGGACAGGATCACAGAGCTTCTGGGATAAAATTCTACTAAAAATGGCCAGGCGTGGTGGCTCATGCCTGTAATCCCAGCACTTTGGGAGGCCGAGGCAGGCAGATCGCTTGTGGTCAGAAGTTTGTGACAAGCCTGGCCAACATGATGAAATCCCCTCTCTACTAAAAATACAAAAATTAGTGGGGCATAGTGGTGTATGCCTGTAATCCCAGCTACTCAGGAGACTGAGACAGGAGAATCTCTTGAACCCAGGAAGTAGAGGTTGCAGTGGGCTGAGATTGTACCACTGCACTCCGGCCTGGGTGACAGAGCAAGACTCGGTCTCAAAAAAAAAAAAAAAAATCTATTTAAAACACTCAGAGTACCCCATTTTGAACTCGAGTATGGTTTTGTAATGGGAAGAAACGTGTTTCTTCTTTGATTAAATTCTGAAGGATAAAAATAAAGATGAACAAGAGGAAACAAATGAGATGACGAACAGAAGATGAAGGCAAAGAGAAGAAAAAAGACTACTTTTTTAACACTGTTAAAGACAGTGTTTGCAAATTATGTAAATTTTTTCACTTTTCTTTTCTGTTTTTCTCTCTTGCTTTGTTTCCTTCGTTCTAGCATTTAAACTCTGAGTTCCAAAGGGAAGTTTAAGTGCAATTTGGAAGTACGTTAAGTAAGACAACACCAGGTGGCAAATAGCAATTTAATTCTCCTTGCCAGCAGAGCTAAAGACTTAGTGTGCTCTTTATTAGGAGAGCTGGGGGTGGGCAAGATGCCTGGAGAGAGAGAGGGCGGTAGGAAAAGGCCATTTAGTGTGTGTTGTGATGAAGGATGCACAGCAATTGTTTGGGTTTTCAAAAGAAATTATTTTAATGCATGCATTAATTCTCCTTTTCATCTCACTGCCTGCCAGAAAATTGGTTGTACAAGCGTTCAAGGCATTTTCCCTGGACCAGATATTTACACAGGAGTACTGTGTTGACATTATGTGGCTTCGGATTTCAGCGGGCAGGCTGATGCCTCTTGGGACATGTAAGTGCAGAAGGCAAGGCCTGCCACGCCCGTGAGAAGGGAGCCAGCTTCAGAGAGGGCTCCAAGGTTCATATTTGTTCTCCAAACCAAGTCAAGGGTGGTACTTTTTGTTTTGAAAATATAAGGGTCTGCTTCTGAACTCTTCCATGCATTTATATCCTATTTGGGTTTTATCCAACGGGAAAATTGGGTTTGGGGGACCCCTAAAAACTGTCTTTTAATTTTTATGTATTTATTTATTATTTTTTGAGACAACGACTTGCTCTGTCTCCCAGGCTGGAGTGCAATGGCACAATCTCAGCTCACTGCAGCTTTGACCTCCTGGGCTCAAGGGATCCTCCCAGCTCAGTTTTCTGAGTAGCTGGGACCACAGGTGTGCGCCACCAGGCCCAGCTAATTATTGTATTTTTTTGTAGAGATAGGGTCTCGCTGTGTTTCCCAGGCTGGTCTCAATGTCCTGGGCTCAAGTGATCCGCCCACCTCAGCCTCTCAAAGTGCTGGGATTACAGGCGTGAACCATGGTGCCCAGCCTCCAAAAACTATATAGATGATGATAAATAAATATCATTTAAGATAAAGTATTGCAGTTATACTTTTGGGAAATAGAAAAAAAAAGATAGTCCGGAAGATATAGCTGTTGATACTGTTGTTATTTTGGCTCCTATGACCATTAGAATCGTCAGCCCCTCTCCCTCTGCAGAAGTCCCTGGAGCTCTGTCTTCATCCTTGGCAGGGAGACCCTTTAACTTTTTTCTTTATTTTTCTTACTCTTTTGTGAAGGCCATTGAGTATGAATTGAAGAAGCAGGTAGAAAGTTTTTCTGTTGGCTGGCTGCAGTGGCTCAGGATAGTAATCCCAGCACTTTGGGAGGCTAAGGCGAGAGGATCACTTGAGCCCGGGAGTTTGAGATCAGCCTGGGCATTGCAACAAGACCCCATCTCAGTTTTTTTTTTTTTAAAGGACATTTTTCTCAAAGGAACTGAATATAAAAAGAGAAACATGCAGATGCGGGGGATAATTTGGTAAGATTTGGAGAGTGGGCACTCTGTCCGACAGCCCCACTGCCATGAAACAGGTTATCCAGAGACCTGCATCTGCGGTGGTCATCCAGAGTGGCCCTCAGACAAACCCAGGAGTGCTGGTGCCTTCACCTCTCCCACCCTACCCTGTCCACAAAGCGGGTTGCATTGCCTCAGTTACAGGAGGAGACCACTGAGGTCTGGGCACAATTTTTTTTCTGTCACCCAGGCTGGAGTGCAGTGGTGCAATCTCGGCTCACTGCAACCTCTGCCTCCCAGGTTCAAGCGATTCTCCTGCCTCAGCGTCCTGAGTAGCTGGGATTACAGGTGCACGCCACCACACCCGGCTAATTTTTTGTGTTTTTAGTAGAGATGGGGTTTCACCATGTTGGCCAGGCTGGTCTCAAACAAACCTCAGGTGATCCACCCGTCTCAGCCTCCCAAAGTGCTGGGATTGTAGGTGTGAGCCACCGCGCCCGGCCAGTGCAGAATTTTTGCCCATACTCATGGCTGCTCATGTGTTTCTGTGAGGAGTCAGCCAGAATTTGGGCTGCAGAGATTCTAGGTCTGAAGACCACACACTATTTGGAATGTTCCTTTTAGAAAAGAATGCTGTAGGAGGCAATATGAAGACATTTTAAATATAGTTCTCAAAAACACGTTCTTTTTTTGTTTTTGTTTTGTTTTGTTTTTGGCATAAAGTTATGAGCGGGGGCTCGAGATCTGACTGGGGTCAAATCCTGTGCCGGTGCCTCAGTTTGCCCATCTGTAAGTGGGGTTAATCGTAGAACCCATGTCATATGTCATGATTGGTATGAGAGTTAAATGAGTTCTTGCATATAAAACACTTTGCACAATGCTTGTCTCATAGTAACCATTAAATGTGTTTTGTTGTTGTTTTTGGAGATAGGGCCTTGGTCTCTCACCCAGTTTGGAGTGCAGTGATGCAATCATAGCTCACTGCAGCCTTGAACTCCTGGCCTCAAGTGATCCTCCCACCTTGGCCTCCCAAAATGCTGGGATTACAGGTGTGAGTCACCATGACTAGCCAGCATTAAATATATTTACTACTAATATATTGTGAATAATGTTCATGCACAATGAGGTTAAGAACCTCTTACATTGCACAATTTTACTACACTCTGTTGAGGAAGGGCCATAGCTAGAAATTATTCCACATTTACCCAGAGATTCATTTTCAAGGCCTCAGTTTGTCCACTAAAGCTATATAATAGCAGGAATGTTTGCATGTTGGTGTGTCAGCCCAGAGGTTTAGATTCACATTGGATGGCAACCTTCCAAGGCCCTGTGTATCTGGTCCTTCCTGTTAGCTGCTCAAGGACTTGATCTCCACACACAAAGCAAAATAGAGAATTAAGGACATTTTCTGAGAGTTGAGGTTATCAGTGTTAGATTTATTTGGGAAATTGTTTCAAATCTCTGGGAATTTGCCCTTTGGAAAACTACTATTCTCTACTTTCTCAGACTACTGGGTCTTGGAATTGTGACTTATCTGCAAGAAAAAGAAAAAAAAAAACACAGCTTGCATTCATACATCCATTCATCAAATATTTATTTGATGAACTTACATAGCAGCATACTATGTTGTCTGCTGGGAGTTGGATATAAAAAGATGAACAAGGGCCGGGCACGGTGGCTCACGCCTGTAATCCCAGCACCTTGGGAGGCTGAGGTGGGCGGATCACTTGAGGTCAGGAGTTCAAGACCAGCCTGGCCAACGTGGTGAAACCCCATCTCTACTAAAAATACAAAAATTAGCCGGACACAGTGGCACATGACTGTAATCCCAACTACTGGGGAGGCTGAGGCAGGAGAATCACTTGAACCTGGGAGGCAGAGGTTGCAGTGAGCCAAGGTCGCGCCACTGCACTCCAGCCTGGGTGACAAAGCAAGACTGCCTAAAAAAATAAATAAATAAAATAAAATAATAAATAAACAGCCAACAAAGACCCTGGATGATTTTCTTTTTGTCTGGGTCTCTTGCTACATTGTCAAGGCTGATCTCCAACTCCTGGGCTCAAGCCATCCTCCGACCTCAGCCTCCTGAGTACCACCTGGGATTATAGGCACACACCATCACACCCAGCTCAGAGACACTGGATTATTGAGCAGATGGATGAGAAGTTTTGGGTGACCAGGTTGTGCTATCCTCTCTCTGATGGTAGAGATGCCCCAGAAGCCATGCCCCTCAGAGCTGAGTAGAAGGCAAGGGCAGTGATTACTCAGGTGTCCAGACTCAGAGAGGGGTCACGAGCTCATTTCCAAGACAAAGAGCCAAAGGTCAGCTCCAGAAACTTACAGAATGACTTGTCTGAGTAAGGGGCCACGGTATAAAGCCCGCACAGTCAGTGGAGGGTGGTGAGATTCACTGCACAGACCTAGAACAGTGCGGATGCCTGACAGCAAGAGGCCCTCAGGGCAGAGCGGTGCACCGTGAGTCTGAGGGTGCAGGTGTGGGGATTGTGAAGTGCCTTTCATGTCTATCCAGTGTGTTGAGTTTTTGCCTTTTCCTGCCAGTGAGGGTGAATGGGTCAGCTATCTTTACATCTCTGCAATGTGCAGAATGTTTGGGAAGGAAATGGGACAAGATAGGAGTTCGTGTTTATTTAGGACGCTATTGCAATGCTTCCAGGGTCTCTGTTAAGGTCTGAAGGAAGACAATGGTAACCAGTATGGAGAGGAGGGTAGGTAGACTCCAAAGGTGTTTCTGGGCTAGAAATGGCAGGATCTTGCTGTGGTAGATAAAGGCGAGGAGGGAAGAGCAACAGTTTTGCAGAGGATGGTGTTGGCCAGAAGTCTGCCTGGAATTGTACTCTTGGCGATAGGGATCTGGGAATAATAAAAGCAGCAATGGTGAGAGCTGACTTTGCCCCTGATGCCATGCTCACCACTTTACCTGAGTTGTTTCATTTAATCCTTACTGTGAAACCTGTCAGGGATATGGTTATCCCCACTTAAAAGAGAAGGAGCTGAGGTACAGAAAGGGGCAGTAGCTGTCCAAATTGACACAACCGTCAGTGCCACGCTGGATCTGGGACCCATGAACACCCTGCTCGGGAGGCTGAGATGGGAGGATGACTGGAAGCCAGGAGTTTGAGACCAGCCTGAGCAATATAGTGAGACCCTGTCTCTACAAAAAACAAAACAATTGCCTGGCATGGTGGCACATGGCTGTAATCCTAGCTACCTGGGTGGCTGAGACAGGAGGATCGCTTGAGCCCAAGAGTTCAAGGTTGCAGTGAGCTACGATTGCACCACTGCACTCTGGCCTCGTGGACAGAGCAAGACCCTGTCTTGAGAAAGAAGGAAGGGAGGGAGGGAAGGAGGGAAGGAGGGAGGGAAGAAGGGAGGGAGGGAGGGAGGGAGGGAGGGAGGGAGGGAAAGTCTGAATCATTCTGGGATTTTGGAGAACAGGTTGGGCAGATCCTCTAGGGCCACCCCAGGCAAATAACTCAGCAGAAGGAAGACATCCGGCGAGAGAAAAGGGCCCGGATAGGAGGGGATGGAATATGTGCTGGAACCCTGAGCAGAGCAGGTGGTAACCGTGAAAGTCCTGCTCCATGCATGTCTCCTTAAGGCATCCTAACAGGAAAGTGAAGGGTAGAAGGCTTTGGTAGCCTCAGGAGGACCTGACTGGCTATGTCCAGGGCAGACAAGTAGGGCTGCATGTGGCCATTGTCAGAGTGTTTGGACGCTTAGGAAAAACGACATCAACGTTGGAGCAACTAAGAGGGCTCACTTCTCAAAACAGATTCATGACGCTCCTGCAGGGTTCTCTGAAACAGTGGGAAATAATTTACAAGAAGACTGGGGTTCTTTTTTTTTTTTTTTTTAAGATGGAGACTTCCTCTGTTGCCCAGGCTGGAGTGCAGTGGTGAGATCTTGGCTCACTGCAGCCTCCGCCTCCTGGGTTCAAGCGATTCTCCTGCCTCAGCCTCCCGAGCACCTGGGATTACAGGTGGTTGCCACCACACCAGGCTAATTTTTGTGTTTTTGCTTGAGACGGGATTTTGCCATGTTGGCCAGGCTGGTCTTGAACTCCTGACCTCAAGTGATCTGCCTCCCTTGGCCTCCCAAAGTGCTGGGATTACAGGCATGAGCTATCACACCCTGCCAGAAGACAGGGGTTCTTATGATGCTGCAGGTGGACAGGTCATAGACATAACACCAGGCTTTTGTCCCCCTGTTTCTTCTCAGGCAGGTGCACATTGCCTCAGCTACACAGAAAATAACAATAACAGCCAACATTTGTTGAACAATTGCTCTGCTCAGGCATGGTACTGTTGACATATATTTTTGTTTGTTTGTTTTTGAGACAAGGTCCCGCTCTGTCACCCAGGCTGGAGTGCAGCAGTGCCATCATAGCTCACTGCAGCCTCTACCTCCTGGGCACAAGCAATCCTGCCACCTCAGTCTCTCAAGCAGCTGGGACTACAGGTGTGAACCACCATGCCCAGCTAATTTTTAAATTATTTTTGTAGGAGTAGGGTCTTGCTATGTTTTCCAGGCTGGTCTCAAACTCCTGAACTCAAGCAGTCCTCCCACCTTAGCCTCTCAAAGTGCTGGGATTATAGGCATGAGCCACTACATCCAGCCAACATACATTACCTTATTGAATTCCCTAAATAACACCAAGAGGCCAATGTTAATCACTTTCCCTCCTTCACATGACAGATGGGGAGGAGAAGTGATAACCATAAGCTCTGTCTAGAGTTAAAAATTTATAAACCGGCCGGGTGTGGTGGCTCATGCCTATAATCCCAACACTTTGGGAGGCTGAGGCCGGCGAATCACAAGGTCAGGAGATTGAGACTATCCTGGCCAACATGGTGAAACCCTGTCTCTACTAAAGATACAAAAATTAGCCGGGCATGTTGGTGTGTGCCTGTAGTCTCAGTTACTCTGGAGGCTGAGGCAGAAGAATCACTTGAACCTGGGAGGCAGAGCTTGCAGTGAGCCGAGATCGCGCCACTGCACTCTAGCCTGGGTGACAAAGAAAGACCCCATCTCAAAAAAAAAAAAAAAAAAATTATAAACCAATGATCCTATAAGCCTATCATGATCACCACCTTTTCTTATTAAATGAAAATGTCCAGGCAGGGCACAGTGGCTCATGCCCGTAATCCCAGCACTTTGGGAGACCGAGGCGGACAGATCATCTGAGGTCAGGAGTTTGAGACCAGCTTGGCCAACATAGTGAAACTCTGTCTCTACTAAAAATACGAAAATGTAGGGTTAGGCACAGTGGTTCACGCCTGTAATCCCAGCACGTTGGGAGGCCGAGGTGGACAGATCTCAAGGGCAGGAGATTGAGACCATCCTGGCTAACACGGTGAAACCCCATCCCTACTAAAAATACAAAAAAATAGCCAGGCATGGTGGCACATGCCTGTAATCCCAGCTACTCGGGAGACTGAGGCAGGAGAATCTCCTGAACCCGGGAGGCAGAGGTTGCAGTGAGCCGAGATCGCACCACTGCACTCCAGCCTGGGTGACAGAGCGAGACTCCATCTCAAAAAAAAAAAAAAAAAAAAAATTAGCCAGGCATAGTGGCAGGCACCTGTAATCCCAGCTACTCGGGAGACTGAGGCAGGAGAATCTCCTGAACCCGGGAGGCAGAGGTTGCAGTGAGCCGAGATCGCACCACTGCACTCCAGCCTGGGTGACAGAGCGAGACTCCATCTCAAAAAAAAAAAAAAAAAAAAAAAATTAGCCAGGCATAGTGGCAGGCACCTGTAATCCCAGCTATTTGGGAGGCTGAGGCAAGAGAATCACTTGAACCCAGGAGGCAGAGGCTGCAGTGAGCCGAGATTATGCCACTGCCCTCTAGCCTGGGTGACAGAGAGAGACTCCATCTCAAAAATAAATAAATAAATAATAAATCAAAACGTCCAATTTGAATATATCTTAGACAAATTCTAAGCCTACTTTGAAGATGGTCAACATGTTCTTGTCTTCCTTTTCAAGCTCTAATTTTAAAGTTTGTTTTCTCAGCTGACTGGATTTGTCTTTGGGCACCCTGGAGGTGCAAAGTGACATCACCATCTGATCAGCATCTAAAAACATTTTGGCTCATTTAAAAAATAGAGATTTTGAATGTGCCCTCTTAGTTATATTTGCCCATCTGAGCATGCTGCGTGAAAACCCTGGGTAGACAGCCTGTTCTGCAATTTGTTTTTAAAACAAGCTTTTCGTCTTGCAGGCTGAGAGGATTCTGTTTAAAGGGTGTACACTGTGAATCACAGTTTCAAAGGAAGACGGCAAATATGAACCTCAGCCAAGCAATTTGTGAAGCTGGATTGCTGACAGAAATCCAGGAAGCAGCAGAAAAACAACAAACAAAAGAAGAGCTCAGGGGCTGCGTGTAACCTGGAGGAACACAGTAGGATGAGCCCCAGGATGAAACGGGTGATGTGAGGGAGCAGAGGTCTGATGAGGCAGCCTTGTCTTGAAAAGCTGAGAAGCCCAGCCTCGGGGACAGAGTGAGACTCTGTCTCCACAAAAAATTTCTTTTTTTTTTTTTTTTTTTTTTTTAAGACAGAGTCTTGCTCTGTCGCCCAGGCTGGAGTGCAGTAACGCAGTCTCAGCTCACTGCAACCTCTGCCTCCCAGGTTTAAGGGATTCTCGTGCCTCAGCCTCCCAAGTAACTGGGATTACAGGTGCCCACCACCACGCCCAGCTAATATATGTTATTTTAGTAGAGATAGGGTTTCACTATGTTGGCCAGGCTGGTCTCAAACTCCTGGCCTCAAGCACTCTGCCCGCCTTGGCTTCCCAAAGTGCTGGGATTACAGACGTTAGCCGCCACACCCAGCCTCTACAAAAATTTCTAAATGTTAGCCGGCCATGATGACACATGCCTGTAATCCCAGTTACTCGGAGGCTGAGGCAGGAGGATTCCTTGAGCTCAGGAGTTCAAGGCTGCAGTGAGCTATGATAGCACCACTGCACGCCAAAAAAAAAAAAAAAAAAAAAAAAAGAAAGAAAAAAAGAAAAAAAAAAGGAAAGAAAAGAAGCTGAGAAAGCATAGCCATTCAGAGGCTCGAGAACATTGGTGGGGGTGGTGCAGGGGGCGGGTGTGACACTTCTGCATTTGAACAAGCTGTCTTCACAGGCTCCTAATGTGTATTCAGTTACCATAAGAACAGGGAACTGAATATTTCTTCAATTAGATGCATAGGCTTTATTAAATAATATATATTTATTTAATTATTCATTTATTAAATACAAATTTTCATTAACTCAACCAATCAATACAAATCTGTCTACATGATTGTCATGTATATTATGTTCTTTTTCTCCGTAATAATAATGACTGGGTGCTGTGGCTCACGCCTGTAATCCTAACACTTTGGGAGTTGAGGAGGGAGGATCACTTGAGCACAGGAGTTTGGGACCAGCCTGGAAAACATAAGAAGACCCTGTCTCTAACAAAAAATTAGCTGGGCTTGGTGGTGCATGCCTTTAGTCCCAGCTACCTGGAGTGCTGAGGTGGTGGATCGCTTGAGCCCAGGAGGTGGAGATTGCAGTGAGCTGAGATCACATCACTGCACTCCCTGTCTCAAGTAATAATAATAGTAATAATAATAGTAATAATAATAATTGACCCTTATTGAGCTCTCTACCTTCAAAACGTATCCGGAGTGTCTCTGCTCCTCACATGAATGTAAGCTCCATGAGGGCAGGAATTTTGATCTTTTCTGTTCACTGATGTATTTACAGTACCTAAAATAGTGCCCTGCACATAGAAAATGCTCATGAAATGTTTCATGAATTAATGAATGTATGAACAAATGCATGCTGACACTTTGCCAATGAATATGTATTTTATTGATTAATCTTCATCACAATTTCATGAGGTAGGTGTTTATTATTATTTCTGTTTTACAGATGAGCAAACTGAGTCCCAGCAAAGTTCACTGGTGTGGCCAAGGTCACATGGTTGTAAGTGGCAAAGACAGAATCAAACCCAGGTGGTCTGGCTCCAGGATCCACCTCTTGGTACTGCAGCTCTTCCTGATAATACAACTGACCTTCCAGCCTCCTGTATTCACATTTAGTTTTTCCTCGATTTCCCTGTGTTTAGTTTCCTGTAATACTCTTCTAACAGGTCAAACTATTTTATACTAAAGCCTTCTTTATACGCAAAAGAAAACTTTTATTTTAAAGCATACATTATTCAATATTAATGCTCATGCCAAAGAACCTTAAATTAGTTTAGATTTTTTTTTTTAAAGGCAGGAGAGTAAAAAGATTACCTTCAGGAGAACTTTAAATTTACATTTTCTTTTAAGAGAGAATATAAGCTATTATGATATTTTTAATGAAAGTGTATTTATGCTTAAGTTTTCTCTATGCTATGATATTTTAAAAAATATTTTTATGAGACATGCTGCCTACTGCACTGACGCAACTTAACAATCATTTTTAAAAAGAAGGAAAGAAGGTAGTATGGGCTGGATGTGTTGGCTCACACCTGTAATTTGGGAGGCCGAGGTGGGTGGATCACCCAAGGTCAGGAGTTGGAGACCAGCCTGGCCAACATGATGAAACCCCATCTCTACTGAAATACAACAATTAGCCAGGTGTGGTGGCAGGTGCCTATAATCCCAGCTACTCTGGAGGCTGAGGCAGGAGAATCGCTTGAACCAGGGAGGCGGAGCTTGCAGTGAGCTGAGATCGTGCCACCGCACTCCAGCCCGGGTGACAGAGCCAGCCTCTGTCTCAAAAAAAAAAAAAAAAAAAAAAAAGGTTAGAAGATAGTATGAGGCAAAATTACCCAGGCCATAACATTACAAATATAAATTTTTAATTCTTAATTTTTATACAGCCTTAATTTTTCAGGGCAATTTTATGTATTTAAAACAATCAGAGGTCAGGCGCGGTGGCTTACGCCTGTAATCCCAGCACTTTGGGAGGCCAAGGTTGGGTGGATCACGAGGTCAGGAGTTTGAGACCAGCCTGGCCAATATGATGAAAACCCGTCTCTACTAAAAATACAAAATTAGCTGGGTGTGGTGGTGAGCACCTGTAGTCCCCGCTTCTCAGGGGGCTCAGGCAAGAGAATCGCTAGAACCCGGGAGGTGGAGGTTGCCGTGAGCCGAGATTGCACCACTGCACTCCAGCCTGGGTGACAGAGCAAGACTCCATCTGAAAAAAAAAAAAAAAAGATTAGATATATGTAAATGATAATGCGTTTAGAGATCTACAGGCTTAATAGTAAAGAGATAGATAAAAGCATATTATCTTGCCACAAATTGCAGCCTGTGATGTGCTATCCTTTTTTTTAAAAGACTTGTGGCGGGGTAAGGTGTCTCACGCCTTGTAATCCCAGCACTTTGGGAGGCCGAGGCAGGCGGACCACGAGTTCAGGAGATCGAAACCATCCTGGTTAACATGGTGAAACCCCATCTCTACTAAAAATACAAGAAAATTAGCCAGGCCTGGTGGCGGGCGCCTGTAGTCCCAGCTACTCGGGAGGCTGAGGCAGGAGAATGGCGTGAACCCGGGAGGCGGAGGTTGCAGCGGGCTGAGATTGTGCCACCGCACTCCAGCCTGGGCAGCAGAGCGAGACTCCGTCTCAAAAAAAAAGAAAAAAAAAAAAAAATTCCTCAAAACAGCTCATAATTTTAGAGCCATAGACTCTTAATAATCATCTCAGACAACCTCCCGGGTGATTCAGAAATTGTATATTTGCTAGCTCATGGCTGAATTATATTAGTAGAAAACCAAAGTTACAATGGCATTCTTAGGTTCTTTATAAAAATGTTATTTTTCCTATTGGAAAATGTTTTATGATTAACATGGAAAAATGTGGCTGTATAATTTGCGTCTATCTCAAATTTAGCTGAGTTAGTGAAAATAATCCTTAGGGAATGAGATGAAGCCTCTTTTCATTTGGACATCACTCTATTTTATGAGAACTCTCACACAATGCAAATGTGAAATCTGAATCTGATTTGAACGTGTAGGGAAATACACCATGAAATTGTCATATCCCAAAGGCCTATTCCTGTGCCACATGTGAGTTTAGAAGGATCTCTCACAGGAGAAAGCAGGTCATCTTGTACTTCAGTTTTTCAGATGATCATTTTATCATGACTCAGGCTGAATATTTTTGTGTACCTTTAGGAGGAGCCTCTTCAGCAGTTGCAGAAGGAAGGTTCTCCTTTTGTAAAAGTAGATACTTCTGGAAAAAACAAAAACAAAAACAAATTTTCTTACCAATTTTCATAAGTTTTAATTCCATCAAGTTTTCTTAAGACATTAGATTGCTATCTTTTATTTATTTTATGTCCCCTTGATTGGTCTAAGGATATAGAAGTTCTTGCAGACCTCAATTTTATTTTTTTCTTTCTTTTCTTTTCTTTTCCTTTCTTTTGTTCTTTCTTTCTTTCATTCTTTCTGTCTCTCTCTCTCTCTTTCTCCCTCTCTTTCTTTCTTTCTTTTTTTGAAGACACAGTCTTGCTCTGTTGCCCAGGCTGGAGTGCAGTGGCATGATCTTGACTCACTGCAGCCTCTGGCTCCCTGGTTCAAGCGATTCTCATACCTCAGCTTCCCAAGTAGCTGGGATTACAGGTGCTCACTACCATGGCTGGCTAATTTTTTGCACTTTTAATAGATACAGGCTTTTGCCATGTTGCCCAGGCTGATCTCAAACTCCTAAGGTCAGGCAATCTGCCCATCTTGGCCTCCCAAAGTCCCGAAGTGCTGGAATTATAGGCGTGAGCCACCACACCTGGCCCCCAGACCTCAATTTTATAATCCAGATCTCTACATCTTTAATTTTAGGGGAAAGATCATATTCCTCTTTTATATCGCCAATTATAGCATCAAATCTTCCCCTGCTTTAAGGAACATTTCCGAATATCTGCTAAGATCTCTTCCCCTCCATGTGTTGGTCCACACAGCCTTCCCAAAGATGTCTTCCTGCAAACAGCAAGTTTTCTCTGATCTAACATTGGTTCTCTCCCAATAGTATATTCCCAAATCTTTCAGGTTTTATTTCAAAAGGAGTAATTATTATTATTATTATTATTATTATTTGTGAAATGTGGTCTCACTCTTGTTGCCTAGCCTGGAGTCTGATGGTGCTATCTCGGCTTACTGCAACCTCTGCCTCCTGGGTTCAAGCTATTCTCCTGCCTCAGTCTCCAGAATAGCTGGGATTACAGGCGACTGCCACCACTCCCAGCTAATTTTTGTATTTTTAGTAGAGACAGGGTTTTACCATGTTGGGCAGGTTGGTCTCGAACTCCTGACCTCAGGTGATTCACCTGCCTTGGCATCCCAGAGTGCTGAGATTACAGGCATGAACCACTGCACCCAGCCAAGAGGAGTAATTTTTGAATGACTAAAAATTAAATGAAGGCTGGGCTCAGTGGCTCATGCCTCTAATCCTAGCATTTTGGGAGGTTGAGATGGGAGAATTGCTTGAGCCCAACAGTTCGAGACCAGCGTGAGCAACATAGGCAGACCCTATCTTTAAAAAAAAAAATTAAAAAATTAGCTGGGCGTAGTGGTGTGTGCCTATAATCTCAGCTACTTGGTAGGCTGAGGTGGGAGGATCACTTGAGCCCAGGAGATGGAGGCTGGCTGTAGTGAGCCAAGATTGTGCCACTGCACTCTAGCCTGGGTGACAGAGCAAGACCCTGTCTCAAAAAAACCACCACCATAACCACAAAAGAAATACATTTTGTAAGGCTATAGCTACCATAGATAGTGATTCCTCTGATGGGTCTGGGCAAAGTAAATTGAAAACCTTCTGGGAAGGATTCACTATTCTAAATGCCATTAAGAACATTCGTTGGCTGGGTGTGGTGGTGGCTCATATCTGTAATCCCAGCATGTTGGGAGGCCGAGGCAGGAGGATCGCTTGAGTCCAGGCATTCTAGACCAGCCTGGGCAACATAATGAAACCCTGTCTCTAAAAAAATAAAAACAAAAAAAAAACCATTCATGAGTCATGGGAGGGGGTCAAACTATCAACATGAAAAGGAGTTTGGAAGAAGTTGATTTCAACCCTCATTGATGACTTAGGATCAAGGCTTCAGGGGAGGAAGTAACTGCTGATGTGGTAGAAATAGCAAGATAACCAGAATGAGAATTAGAGCCTGAAGATGTAACTGAATTGCTGCAATCTCATGAGAAAACATGAATGGATGAGGAATTGCTTCTTGTGGATGAGCAAAGTGGTTTCTTGAGATGTAATCTCCTGAAGATGCTATGAACATTGTTGAAATGATAACAAAGGATTTAGAATATTCCATAAATTTAGTTGATAAAGGAGTGGTAGGGTCTGAGAGGATTGAATACAATTTTTTTTTTTTTTTTTGGCAGGATCTCGCTCTGTGGCCCAGGCTGGAGTGCAGTGATGTGATCGTAGCTCACTGAAGCATCAAACTTCTGGGCTCAAGTGATCCTCCTGCCTCAGCCTCCCCAAGTGCTGGGATTATAGGTGTGAGCCGCACTGCCCAGTCCAGACTCCAACTTTGAAAGAAGTCCTACTGTGGGTAAAATGGTATCCAACAGCATCACATGCTGCAGAGAAATCTTTTGTGAAAGGAAGAGTTGATCAATGTGCAAACTTAACTGCTGTCTTATTTTAAGAAATTGCCATGGCTAATGCTGTAAACAGATGTGCGATCATCCAGGCTTTGTTGTTGTTATTTCTAGAGCATGAACAGAGTAGACTTAGCATAATTCTTAAGGGCCCTAGGATTTTCAGAATGATCAATGAACACTGGCTTGAACTTAAAGTCACCAGCTGCATTAGCCCCTAACTAGAGGGTCTGCTTATTTTTTGAAGCTTTGAAGCCAGGGATTCACTTCTCTCTAGCTATGAAAGTATTAGATGGCATCATCTTCCTATGTAAGGCTGTTTCATCTACATTGGAAATCTCTTGTTTAGAGTGGCCACCTTCCTCAGTAATCTTAGCTAGATTTTCTTTTTTTTCTTTTTTTTTTTTTCTGAGATGGTGTCTCACTCTGTCACCCAGGCTGGAGTGCAGTGGCACAATCTTGGCTCACTGCAATCTCCTCCTTCTGGGTTCAAGCGATTCTCGTGCTTCAGCCTCCCAAGTATCTGGGACTCCATGTGCACACCACCATGCCTTTTTGTAGTTTGAGTAGAGACAGGGTTCCACCGTGTTGGCCAGGCTGGTCTCGAACTCCTGACCTCAGGTGATCCACCCACCTTGGCCTCCCATAGTGCTGGGATTACAGGCACAAGCCACCATGCCCGGCCTTAGCCAGACTTTCTGGACAACTTGCTGTGGCTTCTAAATCAGCATTTGCTGCTTCACTTTGCATTTTTATGTTGTGGAAATATCTTATTCCTTAAACCTCATGAATCAACCATTGCTAGTTTCTTTTTTTCTTTTTTTTCTGCAGCATCTTCACCTTCCTCAGTCTTTACAGAAATGAAGAGAGTTAAGGTCTTGCTTTGATTAAGTTTTGGATTAAGAGAATGTTGTGGCTGGTTTGATCTTCTACCCAGTCCACTCAAACTTTCTCCATATCAGCAATAAGGCTGTTTAGCCTTCTTATCATTTGTGTGTTCACTGGAGTAGCATTTTCATTTAAAGTGAGAGATAGGCAACGCTTCCTTTCACTTGAACACTTAGAAGCCATTGTAGGGTTAATTGGCCTAATTTCAATATTGTTGTGTCTTAGAGAATAGGAAGGCCCGAGGAGAAGGAGAGAGACAGGGAACACACACATTTGGCTGGCCGTGGTGGCTCATGCCTGTAATCCCAGCGCTTTGGGAGGCCAAGGTGGGTGGATCACTTGAGGCCAGGAGTTCAAGACAAGTCTGGCCAACATGGTGAAACCCTGTCTCTACTAAAAATACAAAAATTAGCCAGACGTGGTGGCTCACACCCGTAATCCCAACTACTTCGGAGGCTGAGGCAAGAGAATAGCTTGAACCCGGGAGACAAAGATTGCAGTGAGCTGAGATCCCGCCACTGTACTCCAGCCTGGGCAACAGAGCGAGACTCTGTCTCAAATAACAATAATAATAAAGTTTGAGATATTGCAAGAATTACCAAAATGTGACACAGAGACACAATGTTAGCAAAAATGGTGCCAATAAACTTGCAGTGTTGCCACCAACTTTCAATTTGTATTTTAAAATGTGACACACGTGCAGAGCAATAAAACTAGACATGCCAGACCAGGCCGGTGGCTCACACCTGTAATCCCAGCACGTTCAGAGGACGAAGTGGATGGATCACCTGAAGTCAGGAGTTCGAGACCAGTCTGGCCAACATGGTGCAACCTGGTCTCTACTAAAAATACAAAATTTAGCCGGGCATGGTGGTGTGTGCCTGTAGTTCAAGCTACTCGGGAGGTTGAGGCAGGAGAATCGCTTGAACCTAGGAGTCAGAGGTTGCAGTGAGCCAAGATGGTGCTGCTGCACTTCAGCCTGGGTGACAAGACAAGAGTGAGACTCTGTCTCAAAAAAAAAAAAAAAAAAGAAAGAAAGAAAAGAAAAGAAAACCACATGGCTACTATTTGTAGTCTCAGGATGGGGGTGGGGGAGAGGGGAGGCACTCTCAGACAGTACTGGTTGATTCAGAGAGGACTTCAGAAATCACTGGCTTGATTCCTTCAGACATCAAGAGCAAAAATGAAGCTGAGGCTGGGCGCGGTGGCTCACGCCTGTAATCCCAGCACTTTGGGAGGCCAAGGCAGGCGGATCATGAGGTCAGGAGATCGAGACCATCCTGGCTAACACGGTGAAACCCCGTCTCTACTAAAAATACAAAAAAATTAGCCGGGTGTGGTGGCATGTGCCTGTAGTCCCAGCTACTTGGGAGGCTGAGGCAGGAGAATGGCATGAACCCAGGAGGCGAAACTTGCAGTGAGCCGAGATCGCGCCACTGCACTCCAGCCTGGGTGACAGAGTGAGACTCTGTCTCAAAACAAAACAAAACAAACAAACAAAAAAAACAAAAATGAAGCTGAGAAAAGTGCTGTGGTCTGAACAACAAACCAAACAACAAACAACAAACAAAAGCTAGACATGCCTTCACCTCCAAATACACAAGTATAACCTCAATAGTGAATATTTTACAACATAATTCACAAGTTTTAAGTTGACTGAAGTAATTTAGTAAAATTCTAAAAGAAGACTGGTGGTATTGATGATGATGGATAATGATGGTGCTAATACTGCTCATTTACTTTTATTTTTATTTTATTTTATTTTATTTTATTTTATTTTAGTTTAGTTTAGTTTAGTTTACTGTTTTGAGACAGAGTCTCACTCTGTCTTCCAGGCTGGAGTGCAGTAGCGCAATCTTGGCTCACTGCAACCTCCGTGTGAGCCACTGCATCTGGCCTGCTCATTAATTTTTCAAGACTCCTGGCAAAATAAATCTATGTGGTTACATTGAATAGATATTGTACTTTGCAAACATGTAATATAAAAGGTTGACATCATCAGTATCCTTCATAAAAGCTGGTGATGGTAAAAGTTACAGACATGATCCCATTCTATATAGGTTAACAAATCTATACCAGTTAAGACAAATTGACCAGTCTGTGTATGTTATTTGTTTTTATTTAATTAGTTTTTCCTTTTATAGTCTTTCGGGTGGGGACACTGTCTGCCAGCATATATAGAATATGACTGGGGAAATATCCTTGACTCTTCCTTTTCTCTCAGTAAAAGAAAACACTGTTTCTATGCTCTCGACATTTCTGAGAAATGTGTGGGTTTTTTTTTTTCCTCCACAGTAACAACTAATTCTCCAACTCTGCAGACACCAACTGGATGTTGCACAGTTTATTTCAATTCAATTCTGATGCTATTTACCTGGAGTTAGCATTGTACCCCACAAGTTAAGGGCCTAGTCCCACAAGACTGTCCCCACTTCAGATGCCAATCTCAAGTCCAGGGCCTCCAGGACTTCTGATTGATGGCTACAAATTGGGGGTTCCCATGACGACCTCTGCATGCTTGATAATTTGCTGTAACAGCTGTCAGAACTCAGAGAAACACTTTACTTGCTATGACGGGTTTATTATAAAGGATGTCATAAAGGAGACATATGCACAGCCCAATGGAGAGGTGCGCAGAGTGAGGTTTGGAAGTGTTCCGGGTGCAGGAGCTTCTGTCCCTGTGGAGGGAGGTACCACCCTCTTGGCACATGGATGCATTCACCAGCCCAGAAGCTCTCCAAATCCTGTTTTTTAGGGTTTTTTTAATGGAGGTTCCATTGCACTGACATAATTGATTAAATCATTAGCCATTGGGGATTGATCTCAATCTCCAGATGCCCTCTCCTCCCTGGAGATTAGGGAGTGGGGCTGAAAGCTCCAACCCTCTAACCATATGGTGGCTCTAGCAGCTAGACTCATCCTGAAGCTCTGGGTACCCCAGTCACCTCATGAGCATAGAAAAGGAAGCTCATCACTCTGGAGATTCCATATGGGTCTTAGAAGTTCTTGTGTCAGGAAACACGGACCAAGACCAAATATTATAACGAAAGCTGCTCCTGTCACCCCATCCTTCAGGAAGCTACAAGGGTCTTGGGGGCTCTGTGTCAGGAACTGGGGATAGACACCAAATACATATTTCTTATTATGTCACATTCACCCTTTTAACCCAGTACATCTCAAAACTTTCTGATTATAACTCCAAAATATTTTTCATCTATGTCCCCCAACACATTGGTCCTATAATCCCGGGTGATCAGGCTTTCACTAACTCTTTCCTGGAATACTCAACAACTTCTGAGCTGGTGTTCATCCTTCCACTTTCATCTTCATTGGGTCAGCCTTCCACAGGGCCACCAAAGTAACTGGTATACTTAACATCGCAATCTGACCCATTATGCCACTGCTGAAAGGCTTTCTCTTGTTCCACGTCACTCGTAAGATAAAGTCCTGGCTCTTTCATACAGCGCACGGGGCTGGAGTGAGATAAAGCCCAGCTCTTTCACACAGCACACAGGGCTGGGGTGACATAAAGCCCAGCTCTTTCACACAGCACACAGGGCTGGGGTGACATAAAGCCCAGCTCTTTCACACAGCACACAGGGCTGGGGTGCAGTCACTGCTATTTCATCTCATTTCTCATCACACTTACAGAAGTAGATGTTTCTGGGCTGGGAGCAGTCCTGCAATCCTAGCACTTTGGGAGGCCAAGGCGGGCAGATCACTTGAGATCAGCAGTTTGAGACCAGCCTGGTTAACATAGTGAAACCCCATCTCTACTAAAAATACAAAAATTAGCCGGGTGTGGTGGCAGGCGCCTGTCATCCCAGCTACTTGGGAGGCTGAGGCAGGAGAATCACTTGAACCCGGGAGGTGGAGGTTGCAGTGAGCCGGGATTGAGCCACTGCACTCCAGCCTGGGCAACAGAATGAGACTCCATCACACACATACACACACACACAGAGGAATTAATTTTGCTCTACAAGCAACTTCCTTTCTACTTTCTATTCGGGTTTACTAAGAATCATCATGAATGGATGTTGAATTTTACAAATGAATTTTCTGCATCTATGCAGATGACCCTATGCTTTTTGCTCTTTAATTTGTTAATGTGGTGAATCACATTAATCAAAATAAATTTGTCTCACTCTGTCACTCTCAGACTCAAGTGATCCTCCTGCCTCAGAGACTACAGGCATGTGTCAGCACATCCAGCTTACTTTATTTCATTTTATTTATTTATTTTTAGACTGGGGCTCCCTATGTTGCCCAGGCTGGTCTTGAACTCTGGGGCTCAAGTGATCTTCCCACCTTGGCCTCAAATCAGTTTTCTAATGTTAAGTGAACTTTCAGGTAAACTCAACTTGGTCATGATGTACTTGCTTATTTATTGTTTAAGACTCTTTTCTTTCTTCCTTTTTCTTTCTTTCTTCTTTTTTTTTTTTTTTTTTTGAGATGGGGTCTTGCTCTGTTGCCCAGGCTGGAGTGCAGTGGCGCAATCTCGGCTCACCGCAACCTCCGTCTCCCAGGTTCAAGCCATTCTCCTGTCTGAGCCTCCCGAATAGCTGGGATTACAGGCGCTTGTCACCACGCCCAGCTAATTTTTGTATTTTTAGCAGAGACAGGGTTTCACCATATTGATCAGGCTGGTCTGGAACTCCTGACCTCAGGCAATCCACCTGCCTCGGCCTCCTAAAGTGCTGGGATTACAGGTGTGAGCCATTGCGCCCCACCTCTTCCTTTTTCTTTTAGAGACAGAGTCTCGCTCTGTCACCCAGCCTGGTGTGCAGTGGGGTGATCATGGCTCACTGCACCTTCAACCTCCTGGGCTCAAGGGATCTTCCCACCTCAGCCTCCCAAGTAGCTGGGACCACAGACATGAGCTGTCGCACTCAGCAATGTTTAGGGCTCTTGCATCCATGTTCACGGGTAAGACTGACAGGCAATTTTCCTGTTTCATACTATCCTTTCTGGTTTTGATATCAATATTTTGCTAACCTCAATACATGAGTAAGATGACTTCCAGCTTTTTTTCACCAGTAGAGTTTGTACAAGACTGGAATTATATATCCCTAAATGCCTGAGGGAACAGTGTCTCCCCGTCTCTGTATTCCTCTTTCTTTGCAAACAGCTCCCACTACAGCAATGACACCCACAGCTCCAACTTCCTCCAGGAGCAGCCCCTAGCAGAAGCAGGCTCACTTTCTCGTGGTCTAATAGCACAATCCTGAGTGAGAGAATATGATTAGAGGTGTATGCCTGTGTCACACAGATAGGAAGGGGTGGGCTGAGCTGCATAATACAAATGAAGATCCTGGCCAGAACTATCTACTTTTTTTTTTTTTTTTTGAGATGGAGTCTCACTCTGTCACCCAGGCTGGAGTGCAGTGGCGTAATCCCAGCTCATTGCAACTTCCGCCTCCTGGGTTCAAGTGATTCTCCCGCCTCAGCCTCCCAAGTAGCTGGGACTACAGGCACCTGCCACCATGCCTGGCTACTTTTTGTATTTTTAGCAGAGACAGGGTTTCACCATGTTGGCCAGGCTGGTCTTGAACTCCTGACCTTAAGTGATCCACCCGCCTCAGCCTCTCAAAGTGCTGGGATTATAGGCATGAGCCACCGCGCCTGGCCGCAAAATTAATTCCTAATGGTGGAAGGTTTAAAACATTTCCTCCAAGACCAGGATCAAAACAAACATTTGCATTATCCTTCCTTCTATTCAACATCCTGCTAAAGGTCCTAGCCAGTGAGGAAAAGAAATAAAAAGGCACGGAGATTAGAAAGAAAATAAAAAACATATTATTTATTGATGATATGATTATACACATAGAAAACCCAAAAGAATCTATAGAAACATTATGAAAATCAATAAGAGAGTTTGGCTACATTGCTGAATACAAAATCAATGCATAAATGCCAATTGCATTTTTATACATTAGCAAAAGTAGTGAGAAAATGTAATTTTGAAAAAGACACCGTTTGCAGTAGCAGCAAAACTATAGAATAACAAAAGAGAAATCTTTCAAAATGAGCAAGTTCTTTATGAAATTTAAAATTTTTATGGGTTGCATTAAGGAAGAGCAAAACAAATGGAAAGCTGTATCATATTCATAAATGGAAAGACTTAATATCAATTGTTCCTAAATTGATCAATTCATTTTATTTTCTCTTTAGAGATGGGGTTTTGCTATGTTGCCCAGGTTGGAGTGCAGTGGGGTGATCATGGCCCACTACAACCTTGAACCCCTGGGCTCAAGTGATCCTCCTGCCTCAGCTTCCGGAGTAGCTGGGACTACCGGCGTGCACCACCACACCTGGCTCTAATCAATTCATTTTAAATCAAGGTCTCAAGAGGTCTCCCCTGCCTCTCCCTGTCTGGAACTTCATAAACCCATCCTAAAATGTGTGAAGAGCAAAGGGTGAAAAGTGGTCTAGAGACTACTGAAGCAGTGGATTGGTTTAGTGTATGAAAACTTATCATCATAAAGTTATTGTAATAAAGGCAGTTGGTGCTGGGCGCAGTAGCAATTTGGAGGCCGAGGTGGGTGGATCATTTGAGGCCAGGAGTTCGAGACCAGCCTGGCCAACATGGTGAAACCCCTGCCTCTACTAAAAATACAAAAATTAACTGGGCTTGGTGGCACATGCCTGTGATCTCAGCTACTTGGGAGGCTGAGGCAGGAGAATCACTTGAACCTGGGAGGTGGAGGTTGCAGTGAGCAGAGATTGCACCACTGCACTCCAGCCTGGGACAGAGTGAGGCTTCGTCTCAAGAGAGAAAAAAAAACAGCAACAGACTAATGAAAATATGGAACATCTATTTACACCTAAGCAGGCATTACACATCAATGCAAAAAGGGTGGAGAATTCAATAAATGCTATTGAATCAATCGGCTATCCAACAGGAAATGGTAAATTGGATTGCTCCCTTACACATCACAAATCTATTCTAGATTAATTAAAGACAACATTAAAAAGCAAAACTATGAAAAAATTCTGAAGACCATTAGGAGAATACATTTATGACCTCAAGGTAGGTACCGATTTTTTAAACAAGACACAACAAGCACTAAGTATAAAGGAAAATAATTAGTCAGGCCCAGTGGCTCGTGCCTGTAATCCCAGCTTTTTGGGAGGCCGAGGCAGGTGGATCAGCTGAGGTCAGGAGTTCAAGATCAGCCTGGCCAACATGGTGAAGACCCGTCTCTATGAAAAATACAAAAATTAGCTGGGCGCAGTGGCACGTGCCTGTAATACCAGCTACCTGAGGCTGAGGCAGGAGAATTGCTTGAACCCGGGAGGTGGAGGTTGCAATGAGCCAAGATCGTGCCACTGCACTTCAGCCTGGGCAACAGAGCGAGGCTCCATCTAAAAAAAAAAAAAAAAAAAAGAAAGCATATACTACCATACAATTTCACTTTTTATAAAATTGACAGAACTGAAGGAACATGTTGCTTAGGGATGTGTACTTATCACATAAAACAAAGGAAAAAGGGGAGACAGTTAACATGAAACTCAGGAAAGAGGATGAATGGAAGGGGCTTAGAATCACAGTGTTTCTGTGGCTTACTTAGAAACAATGTCTCTAAGGCCGGGTGTGGTGGCTCACACCTGTAATCCCAGCACTTTGGGAGGTTAAGGCAGGAGGATCACTTGAGCCTAGGAATTGGAGACCAGCTTGCCCTGGGCAACATAGACCCCATCTCCACAAAAAATTAACTAGGCATGGTGGTGTGTGCCTGTGGTCCCAGCTACTTAGGAGGCTGAGGTGGGAGGATCACTTAAGCCAGGGAGCTAGAGGCTGCAGTGAGCCGTGTAGCACCACTACACTCCAACCTGGGTGGCAGAGAAGACCCTGTCTGAAAAAAAAAAAGAAAGAAAGAAAAAAACAAGATATGTAACTCTGTTAGTATTCTAACAGGTACTAGACTTATCTGTTTCTTACAGAAGAGTTATATAGATGGTTATTATCATTTTTTAACTGAATATCTATACAATTATATGAAAGAGAGAGAAGGAGAGATGTAAGAATGAGGGGGCCAGAGAGAGAGGAAAAAAGAGAGACAGAGAAAGGAAGAGAGACTTTTCACATGCTGAGCTGCTTTTTTTTGTGTGACAGGGTCTGGCTTTGTCACCCGGGCCGGAGTGCAGCGGCATGATCTTGGCTCACTGCAACCTCTGTCTCCCAGATTCAAAAGATCCTCCTGCCTCAGCCTCCCAGTAGCTGAGACTACAAGTGTGTGCCACCACGCCCGGCTAATTTTTGTATTTTTTGTAGAGATGGGGGTCTCACCATGTTGCCCAGTCTAGTCTCAAACTCCTGGGCTCAAGTGATCTTCCCGCCTTGGCCTCCCAAAGTGCTGGGATTCCAGGCGTGAGCCCCCTGTGCCTGGCCTCAGCGACATTCTTGTCATGTGATGTCTTGGCGTCTTTATGATAAAATGTCCTTCTTTGTTTACTAATTTTGTGTGCTGAGTTGTGCCCCAGCATCTCCCTGCCTCCACCCAATTCATCTGTTTAAATCTTAACCCCCTGTATCTCAGAATGTGACTATATTTGGAGATACAGTCTTTAAAGAGGTAATTAAGTTAAAATGAGGTCATTCAGGCAGACCCTAATCTAATATGACTGGTGTCCTTATAAGAAGAGATTAGGACACAGACACACAGAGGGACGACCATGTGAAGACACAGGGAGAAGACAGTCATTAATTTCTGTGTCACTGTTTCTGTGGCCACAGCCACCCAGTCTGTGGCACTTTGCAACAGCAGCCCTAGCAATCTAACACAAGTAGACTGAGCTCTTTTCTGTGATTTTTCTTTCTTTTCTGCAGTTCTTTCTGTTTGCCTGCTGTGCACTTTAATCTCCAGTGTTAGCCGTTGCTCCTGCTGTCCCCCTGTCTGGTTGGCCATCCCCAGCTCATGCCTTCAGAGTCAGCCTTGTGGTTCCACCTCCAGGAAAACTTTTTAAAACTGGGTATCCTGGCCCAGGACTTCCAAGCAATCCTGCCCTGTCTGGCATTACAAGGACCACTGCAGATTGCAACCATCTGTGTGTGTCTCTGTTCCCTAGAGTATGAGCTCCTTGGGGGCAGAGTGACATTCATCTTTGCAGTCTCAGCAGTTGAGTTCCTGGTGCACAGTAGGGGCTCTGTGGCTGCTTGCTGGGTGCAGGCAACCGTACAATGCAGACCTCAGCCAGGGAAGGCAGTTCCAGGTCAGGCAGGGTAGCTCACGCCTGTAATCCTAGCACTTTGGGGGGCCAAGGTGGGTGGATCACCTGAGGTCAGGAGTTCAAGGCCAGCCTGGCCAATGTACTGAAACCCTGTCTCCATTAAAAATACAAAAATTAGCTGGGTGTGGTGGCGGGCACCATGTTTCACCATGTTGGTCAGGCTGGTCTTGAACTCCCGACCTCAGGTGATCTGCCCACCTGGGCCTCCCAAAGTGCTGGGATTACAGGCGTGAGCCATCGCGCCCAGCTACAAAAAATTTTAAAATTAGCTGGGTGTGGTGGTGTGCGCCTGTGGTCCCAGATACTCAGGAGGCTGAGGTGGGAGGATGGCTTGAGGCTACAATGAGGTATGACTGTGCTACTGCACTCCAGCTTGGGCAAAAGAGCATGACCTTTCTCAAAAAAAAAAAAAAAAACTCTCTATATGTGTACATATATGTATATCAGACAGTAGTATGTGTGTGCAATGCAAATGATTAACAAGGTTGTGGGATAGGCAGTAACATGGGTTCCTTTAGAGTGAGTGGTCAGGGAAGCCTTGTCTGAGGAGCTAACAACTGTGCTGAGACCTAATGACAAGAAGCAGACATGTTGGGAAAATCCTTGGGAAGAACATTCCCAATAGAGGGAATAGAAAGTACAGAGGCTGGCCAGGTGTGGTGGCTCACACCTGTAATCCCAACACTTCGGGAGGCCAGGCAGGTGGATCACTTGAGGTCAAGAGTTCGGGATCAGCTTGGCCAACATGGTGAAACCCCATCTCTACTAAAAATGCAAAAAATTAGCCGGGCATGGTGACATGCGCCTGTAAGTCCCAGCTACTCGGGAGGCTGAGGCAGGAGAATCACTTGAACCTGAGAGATGGAGGTTGCAGTGAGCTGCAGTGAACCAAGATCCTGCCACTGCACTCCAGTCTGGGCAACAGAGCAAGACTCCATCTCAAAGAAAAAAAAAAAAAAAAAGAAGGCCAAGCATGGTGGCTCACACCTGTAATCCCAGCACTTTGGGAGGTCAAGGCCAGCGGATCACAAGGTCTGGAGTTTGAGACCAGCCTGGCCAATATGATGAAACGCTGTATCTACTAAAAATACAAAAATTAGCTGGGCATGGTGGCAAGTGCCTGTAGTCCCAGATACTCGGGAGGCTGAGGCAGGAGAATCATTTGAACCCAGGAGGCAGAGGTTGCAGTGAGCCTAGATCACGCCACTGCACTCCAGCCTGGGCGACAGAGTGAGACTCTGTCTCAAAAAAAAAAAAAAGAAAAAAAAAAAGAAAGCAAAGAAAGAATGTACGGAGGCCCAAGGGTGAACAGAGGAACAGAAGGCCGGCCAGTGTGTCAGGGTGTAGGAGTTGGGAGAAGTAGGTGGGGAATAAATGTGGACAAGGCAGGGACCAAAACACCCAGGGTTTCCTTGGATCCTGCAAAGCTTTTATTCTGAGTGTGGTGGAAGGCCACCTACAGGTGTCAGAAGAGGAATGATCAAGATTAAGAGCGGGGTGCTTGCAAAGAACTTGGAGACAACTGGGCAGATTCAGGGGAAGGTTTGCAGATGGAGTCAATGAACCATGAGGTCAGGGGGAAGGGAAGACTTGGTGACTTTCAGGTTTATGACTTAAGCAGCTGGGTGAACAGTGGGGCCATTTACTGAGTTTCAGAAGTCTGGGGGAAGTGAAGGGATGGGGTATCAGGGAGTCTCTTTCGGCGTGTTCAATTTCAAACGCCTTTTCTGCATCCAGGAGTCGATGTCATGAGCAGACAGAAAGAGGAGCCTGGGATTCAGAGAGAAAGTGGGGGCTAGATAACTGTGCCCTTCCCTCTGCCCACGGACCTGTCTCTCTAGCAGAGACGAAGGCGTGGGTGCTGTTTAAGCCCATGTGACTTGGTGGGTTATCTAGGCAGCCAGGAGATATGGAGAAGACAATGGGGCTGATGATGCCCTTCACAAAGTTTTGCTCTAAATGAGATAATGATAAAGATAATGGGGCTGATCCTTGTGGTACTCCAAAGTTTAGTGACTGTTTAGATTCCAGACATCCAGCCATGGTGAAGGAAAATGAGTAGGTAAGAAAGTAGAAGAAAGATAGAAGAGTATGATATATGGAAGCCAAGAGATGAAGAGATGCTTCAAGATGGGGGATATAGGCTGGGCATGGTGGCTCACGCCTGTAATCCCAGCACTTTGGGAGCCCAAGGTAGGCGGTCACTTGAGTTTAGGAGTTTGAGATCAGCCTGGCCAACATGGCAAAACCCCATCTCTACTAAAAATACAAAAATTAAAAAGAAAAAAATACCAAAATTAGCCAGGTGTGGTGGCACATGCCTGTAATCCCAGCTACTCAGGAGGCTGAGGCAGGAGAATCACTTGAACCTGGGTGGTGCAGGTTACAGTGAGCTGAGGTTGTGCTACTGCACTCCAACCTGGGCAAAAGAGTGAGACCCTTCTCAAAAAATAAAATAAAATAAAATAGGAAAAATAAAGAGTAACAGAAAAATGGCAGCATTTTTCTGGAGGAGGTGAAGGGAAGGTGTTTGCTCTTTTTGTTGTTGTTGTCGTTCAATCCATGAGATTTTAGAACTTGTTAGTATACTAATGGGAAAATTCAATAGAGTGAAATGTTGGCCGGGAGCGGTGACTCACACCTGAAATCCCAACGCTTTGGGAGGCCAAGGTGGGCAGATCGCTTGAGACCAGGAGTTTGAGACCAGCCTGATCAACATGGTGAAACCCCATTTCTACTAAAAATACAAAAATTAGCCAGGCGTTGTGGTGGGGCCTTGTAATCCCAGCTTCTCGGGAGGCTGAGGCAGGAGAATCGCTTGGACCTGGGAGGTGGAGGTTGTGGTGAGCCGAGATCGCGCCATTGCACTCCAGCCTGGACAACAAGAGCGAAACTCTGTCTCAAAAAACAAAAACAAAAACAAAAACAAAAAAAGCCAGGCATGGTGGCACCCACCTGTAGTCCTAGCTACTCAGGAGGCTGAGGTGGGAGGATCACTTGAGCCCAGGAGGTCAAGGCTTCAGTGAGCTATGATCATATCACTGCATTCCAGCCTGGGTAACAACAAGACTTTGTCCCCCAATGCACCACCCCCAACAAAAAGTGATAAGAAACATAAAATTTGAGTTACTGTCAACAGAGTGTTGCCACAATTTTATTTTGAAAAAAATCAAAGTTCTTCTGTAACTCTGGAATGCAGAATAAATATTATTTTAAAAAGTGACAATGACCATGGTGCAATAATAGACACTGCTTAATAAAAATGGTTATAAGTCAGGTACTCTGCTGCTTTATTTACTTTATCACTCAGACAACACCCAGACTAAAAGAAATTACTATTTTTACAGATTCTTATGAATGAGGACGTTGAGATCTAGGATCTCAATTCGGACTGGTGGGTGCCAAGGTGCTTCGATTGCCCAATGATGCGCAGACTCAGGTTTCGCAAGCCCCCATTCCAATGCCTCTCCACCCTGTTTCCCACAACCCCACAGGCCCTGGGCTCCTACCAGAGAACCTCTTGGCTATGTTGCATCTGATGGTTGCCAAGACACTAGTCACCTGTCACACTGTTCTGTTTAGAAGCTGCTTCATTTTTTTCCCCATTTGAAATTATTAAATTTTTTCTCCCATGACTAAAATAGTCACCATTGTTAATGCAAGCACTATTTTCTTGTACCAACCATTGCCTGAAAACAGAAAGTCTCATGGGAATAGATGTGATCTGTTCAGGACAAGTTCTAGCAAGCTGTGTTTAAGGTTTTTATATTTTCTGAAGACTCTTTATTTGGAGTTCATAAATAACTGTGTGTGTTTGTATTGCAATCTGCTTGAGAACAAGAAATGTGTGGGGTTTTTTAAAATTACATTTTATTTCCTTTGTAATTCTCTAAGAGCTTGATATGCAGAAAAGATGCTCAATAGTGGAATTATTGCCTGGGTGATGGGAAGTGTTTATGGAAAGCTAAGACTGCTACTGGGTTTCCTCCTATCTAGGTCATGAAGAGCTCCAGGGAATGAGAACTTTATTGGCTTGGACCCTTGATTGAAAAAGCCTTCCTTCCATTTTTAACATCAACCTGGAGAATGATCCATTGCTAAGCTTTAAAAAATATGCTATTCTTTGTGCATGTATGCCACGTAAGAGGCCTTTATTATCTGAGGATAAAAAGCCACTTTCAGCTGGGCACAGTGGCTCACGCCTGTAATCCCAGCACTTTGGGAGGCCAAAGTGGGCGGATCACCTGAGGTCAGGAGTTCGAGACCAGACTGACCAATATGGTGAAACCCCATCTATACTAAAAATACAAAAAATTAGCCAGGCATGGTGGCTTGCGCCTGTAGTCCCAGCTACTCGGGAGGCTGAGATAGGAGAATTGCTTGAACCCAAGTGGAGGTTGCAGTGAGCTGAGATTGTGCCACTGTACTCCAGCCTGGGCGACAGAGTGAAACTCCATCTCAAAAAAAAAAAAAAAAAAAAAAAAAGACACTTTCCTGGAATCCACTTCCAATGGGGAATAAAATTTCATATGAATTTTTTTTAAATATTTGATTCAAATTTATCTAGAAAAATGAAACAAAAAATGTGAGAAACTTTAAAATTTATGTTGAGGAAGAGTGAGGTTATATCATATTATAATGATTAACTAAGTCTTTTTCTTTTCTTCCTGTCACCCAGACTAGAGTGCACTGGCATGATCTTGGCTCACTGCAGCCTCAAATTCCCAGGTTCCTAGGCTCAGGGGATCCTACCACCTCAGCCTCCTGAGTAGCTGGGACTACAAGCATGTGCCACCATGGCTAGCCAATTTTTGTTTTTGTTTTTATTTTTGTTTGGTAGGGATAGGGTTTCACAGTGTTGCCCAGGCTGGTCTTGAACTCCTGGCCTCAAGCAATCCACTTGCCTCGGCCTCCCAAAGTGCTGGGATTATAGGCATGAACCATGGCACCTGGCCTGAACTATGCCTTTTTTTCCCCATGGATAATGCTTGATTTATTAGTATTAAAAAACAGTTCTTATGTACAAAACAAGCTGATTTTTTAGGGTTAAAAGCACTCTTTAAAAATTTAAATAAAAGTTAAAGCATGGATTACATGGGGTTGTTTTTCCTGGAAGCACTTAAGTGATTGAATATGCTACAATGAAGATATCAAACACACAACAAGAGGGCAATGGACAGGAACTTGGACTACACAGCCCCTTGTCACAGCTGCTGCTTCTTCTTCTTCTTCTTCTTCTTCTTCTTCTTCTTCTTCTTCTTCTTCTTCTTCTTCTTCTTCTTCCTTCTTCTTCCTCTTCCTCTTCCTCTTCCTCTCCTCCTCCTCCTTCTCCTTCTCCTTCTTTTTCCACTTCTTCCTCTTCCTCCTCTTCTTCTTCTTCTTTTTTTTTTTTTTTTTTGAGACAGAGTCTCACTCTGTCATCCAGGCAGGAGTGCAGAGGTGCAATCTCGGCTCACTGCAACCTCCACCTCCTGGATTTAAGCGATTCTCCTGTCTCAGCCTCCCAAGTAGCTGGGATTACAGACACGTGCCACCACGCCCACCTAATTTTTTATATTTTTAGTAGAGACAGGATTTCACCATGTTGGTCAGGCTGGTCTTGATCTCCTCACCTCAAATGATCTGCCTGCCTCGGCCTGCAAAGTGCTGGGATTACAGGCGTGAGCCACCACACCCAGCCACCTTGTCACAGCTTCTGACCCAGCAGATGTTAACTGTGGATGGTACATGCCCATATTTGAAAGCAGAAGTGAATTACTGCTAAAGCCAGTGGTGCACAATGTGTAGACAATTCACTTGCATGTTGGAATATCAACAAAACCATAACATGGAGTTGTGAATCTCAGGTGATGGATGAAAGTTTGCTGGACAGTTACAATGTAAACGTCATGACCCATCAGTGCCCAACACTGATTCAGTCTCTACATTAGCCACAGGCACTGCAGTGGCCTCAGAGCAGAAGGCACAGGATACCAAGGCAGCATCCCGTGGCCTCAGCATGGAGGACCTGAAGCCACTACCTTTAACCAGTCTGCAGTGCAGAAGAGGCAGGCCCACAGAAAGCCATCCAAAGCACTGGTGGTGGTGTTCAGGCGCACCTCTAATTGGGCTCCAGTTCCTGGAGGGTAGGTATGGGGAAGTCTTGTCCCCAGAACTAGGCTTTGAATGTCATCTGTGCCCAAGGTGTTTGGGGATCAAAAGTCTAAGCAGCGCTTATTGGTGTGCACAAATCAAGAAAAGAAAATGTAAAATGCAAACGTTGTGTTATCTTTTAGGACCATGATTAAAAATGAAGAAAAGGCTGGGCATGGTGGCTCACGCCTGTAATCCCAGCACTTTGAGGTGGGCGAATTACTTGAGGTGAGGAGTTCGAGACCAGCCTGGTCAACATGGTGAAACCTTGTCTCTAAAAAATACAACAATTGGCCGGGTGCGGTGGCTCATGCCTGTAATCCCAGCATCTTGGGAGGCCAAGGCAGGTGGATCACCTGAGGTCGGGAGTTCAAGACCAGCCTGACCAACGTGGAGAAACCCCATCTCTACCAAAAATACAAAGTTAGCTGGGCGTGGTGGTGCATGCCTCTAATCCCAGCTACTCGGGAGACTGAGGAGGGGAATCACTTGAACCTGGGAGGAAGAGGTTTTGGTGAGCTGAGATTGCTCCATTGCACTCCAGCTTGGGCAATAAGAGTGAAACTCCATCTCAAAAAAAAAAATTAGCCAGGCGTGCTGGCGAGCACCTGTAATCCCAGCTACTCGGGAGGTTGAGGCAGGAGGATTGCTTGAACCTGGGAGGTGGAGGTTGCAGTGAGCCAAAATTGTGCCACTGCACTCCAGCCTGGGCAATAGAGGAGACTCCATCTCAAAAAAATAAAAAATAAAATACAAAATAAAAATGAACAGTAGTCTCACATAAAAAGAGGTTTATTTACATGTAAAGACTAAGTGTTGAAATAAACCAAGAATGCATGATTGGAGAGGGAAGAAACTTTTCTGACACAACTGTACATTTGGTTTTTGCTTCCTGGTTGATTTTACAATCTTATAAAAAGAATTGTTTTTACAAAAATATCCCCTAGCTTGATTCGTTTTCCCAAGGGCCTTTTTTAATCCTTTGATGTTTAAACCATTCTTTGAAGCACCTACCTTGCATTGTGCTTGCAAATGTTCTCTTCAATTTTAACAGTCTAAAACTGATAGATCCTCCCTGCACAACGGCTCTGCCTGTGATGACAGCAGCTCTCCAACGTCGTTTCCATGAAAACCCCCCTATTTCAGGAGATTGCAATTTTACTCCGTGCATATTTGCACCAGATGTTTACAACCTCTGACAATCAGATGGTTAATGAATTATTATCACATTGATGAGCCGCGTCGGATAGAGCAAGAAATGGTCACGAACAGCGCTTTGTTAGTTTTTTTTCTTCCCTAAGGTATGCAATTTTGGAGCTAAGATAACTTTGCTCACGTCTCTTTGTAGTGGAGCGGAAGTAGGGGAAGAAAGACAGGAAAGAATGGGGATGATTTAGAGAGAAAGTGTTTGATCTTGCTTCCTTTCTCGCTGCATCTCATTCAGGCTTCTTGCTGCTTCGTATTTCTCTTGAATAGCACCCACCTTCCCCCTTCAATGGTAACTGCAATTATTAACATTTCCTACTCATCTTCTCTTCCCCTCAACCCCAAGCACTGAGGGGGAAAGAAAGGAAAGTGGAAGAGCCTGAATAATAGAAGTGCTTTTCCAAGATGCATTCGGACCATGCAACAAGGATGAGCTGGACCCAGGGCCTGGAAAAGGCAGGAGGGTTGCACTTTTACTCCCTACCCCATTATTATTATTTTAATTTAATTAATTTTTTTTTTTTTGAGATGGAGTCTTGCTCTGTCACCCAGGCTGGAGTTCAGTGGCATGATCTCGGCTCACCACAACCTCTGCCTCCTGGGTTCAAGCAATTCTGCCTCAGCCTCCTGAGTAGCTGGGATTACAGGCACCCGCCACCACAGCCGGCTAATTTTTGTATATTTGGTAGAGACGGGATTTCACCATATTGGCCAGGCTGCTCTCAGACTCCTGACCTTGTGATCCGCCCACCTCAGCGTCCCAAAGTACTGGGATTACAGGCATGAGCCACCGTGCCTATTTTGTTTTTTTGAGACAGAGTCTCGCTCTGTCACCGAGGCTGGAGTGCAGTGGCACAATCTTGGCTCACTACAACCTTCACCTCCTGGGTTCAAGCGATTCTCCTGCCTCAGCCTCCCGAGTAGCTGGGATTACAGGCGCCTGCCCCCACACCCAGCTTATTTTTGTATTTTTAGTAGAGACTGGGGTTTCACCATGTTGCCCAGGCTGGTCTCGAACTCCTGGCCTCAGTTGGTCCACCCACCTCGGCCTCCAAAAGTGCTGGGATTACAGGCATGAGCCACCGTGCTTGGGCCCCACCCCATTATTTAAATACTGAGCGCACCCAGGGACCAGGATGTCACTCTGTGGAGCAGCTACTCTAATCACAGCCCTTCAGTGAATGCTGTCATACTACCCCAGCTTCCCGCCCCACCACCCACCATCTACCCATCACTGCTGCCCAGCCCAGGCCTATAGCCACCATCTTCCTTGCTGCTGTCAAGGCCAAAAGCTAGGTTAAATAACCATTTTCTTCCAGAAGCAGTTTTAAATCACAACAGAATTTCTTTACATTTACAGGGTCTGTGCTCTCCACGGTAATTATAATATTCTACATTCATTAGGTGGATCTCTTTGTACTGACATGAAAAGATGTCCAAGATATAAGTGGAAAACATTAAATTGCAAAACTTTCTTCATAATATAACATTTTATTTAAAAATATATTTACATATATAGTAATGCATGGAACTGTCTGTTAAAATGTAACTTTCTACTGCACGATTAAGGTCTGATATCAGATATTAAATGACACAGTCCACCTTGGAGGCATCTTCAAAGTAAATACTGAAAACTGGGGTTCTGCGACTGTTTATCTTACCCCCCCACACTTTTTTTCTTTTGAGACAGTCTTGCTCTGTCACCCAGGCTGGAGTGCAGTGGCGTGATCTCAGCTCACCGCAACCTCTGCCTCCCGGGTTGAAGCGATTCTTCTGCCTCAGCCTCCCAAGTTGCTGGGACTAAAGGCACGGGCCACCACGCCCAGCTAATTTTTTTGTATTTTTAGTAGAGATGGGATTTCACCATGTTGGCCCCGGCTGGTCTCAAACTCCTGACCTCAGGTGATCTGCCCGCCTCACCCTCCCAAAGTGCTGAGATTACAGGTGTGAGCCACCAAGCCTGGCCTCCCTTCTCTTCTCCAACCCCCTTGACTTTGCCAATAAGCAAGAGGGAAAGAGGATAAAAGAGAAAGAAGAGCAGACCACACCACCTTCAGGAAAGGAAACGTCTTTGAATCAAAGCTGAATTGATGAATGAAATCTCAAACTTCATTTCTGATTTGACACTGTATTTTGTGATTGCACGACAGTCTTCTGAGCAAGAAAATTGAGGGGACTGCCAAGTTTCCAGCTAGCAGGAGAGGAAAAGTTCACCACTAAATAATTTTTTTTTTCTTTTTTTTTTGAGATGAGAGCCTCATTCTGTCGCCCAGGCTGGAGTGCAGTGGTGAGATCTCGGCTCACTGCAACCTCCACCTCCTGGGTTCAAGCGATTCTCCTGCCTCAGCCTCCCGAGTAGCTCAGACTCCAGGCACGCACCACCATGCCTGGCTAATTTTTGTATTTTTAGTAGAGATGGGGTTTCACCATGTTGGCCACGTTGGTCTCGAACTCCTGACCTCAGGTGATCCACCCACCTCGGCCTCCTAAAGTGCTGGGATTACAAGCATGAGCCACTGGGCCCAGCCTCCACTGAATAAACTTTAAAAAGGCAGAGGGAAACAAAAATGAAGTCGAATTTCTATGACATTTCCCTGTTGGGCTTAATGGAGAGACTAGGTTCATAAACAGAGGAAGATGTCTGGAAACAGGATGTAGCAAACTCCAGATATCTCTTGTGGGGGCGGGGGAGTGGTGGTTGCGGATGGGTGTTACTCACTTTTTCTCCTATTTACATTATGTCTGAATTGTGTTAACAGAGCATGATTATTTTTGTAATCAGAAAAACCATAATGATAAACATGCACCCCTAAAATATTAGTGGAAAAAATCACTGCCCTTGATGTTTCAAAGACATTTGTAAAATATTAGAAAGAGGGCAAGCTGAAAATGAAATAGGAACCATAATCACTGACATCTATAGAATGTATTACGTTTAACAAAACATTTTCTTTTAAGAATCTTATTTGACGCCGGGCCTAGCGGCTCATGTCTGTAGCCCCAGCACTTTGGGAGGCTGAGGTGGGAGGATCACTTGAGCCCAGGAGCTTAAGAGCAGCCTGGGCAACATAGTGAGACCCTCTCTCTACAAAAAGTTAAAAAATTATCTGGGTGTGGTGGCGTGCACTTGCAGTCCCAGCTACTTGGGAGACTGAGGTAGGAACGATTGCATGAGCCCAGGAGGTGAAGGCTGCAGTGAGCCATGATCATGCCACTGCACTCCAGCCTGGGTGACAGAGCAAAACTCTGTTTCAAAAAAGCAAAAAGAAAACACCTCATTTGATTGTTACAGCAACCCCAGAATTATGCACTTGAGTTTTTTACATTGTACAGAGGTAGAAATAGTGTCATAATTATTGGTTACTTAATGTGGCCAACGACACTGCCAGTGGAGAGAAGGCTCAAATTCAGGTCTTCTGGGTTTAAATCTCGTATTCTCTCCATTTCACAATACAGAGTGCTGTTCTACAATGATATTTACTTGCCAGAAAATATTCTCCCAGCCCACTCTCAATGGATGCACAAGATTCCCTAGTGCACATGATGTAATAAAGCCATACAATTACAGTCTGCAATAACAGTGTTCTTCTGAACTATATTCCACATTCCCCTATAAACTGTGGAATCTTTACATATTTAACACCGTTTTCCTCATCTTAAAACTGATACTCCTAAGCCAAGTGTGGTGACTCACACCTGTAATCCCAGCAGTTAGGGAGGTCGAGGCGGGTGGATCACCTGAGGTCAGGAGTTCGAGACCAGCCTGGCCAACACGGTGAAACCCCATCTGTACTAAAAATACAAAAATTAGCTGGGCGTGGTGGCGTGCATCTGTAATCCCAACAACTCTGGAGGCTGAGGCATGAGAATCACTTGAACCCAGGAGGTGAAGGTTGCAGTGAGCTGAGATCATGCCACTGCACTCCAGCCTGGGCAATAGAGCAAGATTTCATCTAAAAAAAACAAAAACAAACAAACAAAAAACCTGATAATCCTACTGAGTTCCATACCTGTCAATGACCCTATAATTTTCCTGTTATCACAGTATTGAACTTTAGTTATCTTTGTTCTCTTCATCCATTTTATTCTATATCTGCTCATTTTACAGTTGTGTGTGTGTGTGTGTGTGTGTTGTTTTTGAGACAGAGTTTCACTCTGCCGCCCAGGCTAGCATGCAGTGGCTTGATCTCGGCTGTAGTGGTGAAGGAGGCGCTGCAGTCCGGGGACCTGAACTTCTCCCACCCGAGCCTGCCTACTGCACACTATGCCCTGCCTCCAGGTGTACTCACCTTGCTTCTGGTCACCTGTGAAGCTGGACACTCACCCCAGAAATGCGACAAGTCACAACAGCCCAGTCACACCACCATTAACATCTCATGCTACTGAACCTGAATAGGTGGAGTCCAGTTTGTATCTAGACCCTTATCTGCAGAAGAGCCTGGGAAACAGAGCATTAGCCTTCCAGCCTCTGCAGCACAGGAAGACATGTTAGGAGAGCGCTGAGACGCTCATTGCCAATTAACCGCATCCACCTCATTGACGCAGTTTCATTTTAAAATTTTTATTTATTTATTTTTTGAGACAGGTTCTTGCTCTGTCACCTAGGCTGGAGTGTAGTGGAGCTATCTCAAATCACTGCAGCCTCAACCTCCTGAGCTCAAGTGACCCGCCCATCTCAGCCTCCTGAGTACTGGGACTATAGGCACATGCCACCACACCCAGTTAATTTTTGTATTTTTTGTAGAGATGGGTTTTTGCCATGTTGCCCAGGCTGGTTTCCAACTTCTGATCTCATGCAATCCTCCTGCCTTGGCCTCCTGAAGTGCTGGGATTACAGGTGTGAGCAACCATGCCCAGCCTGCAGTCTTTTTGATTCTTTCTTAGAGGAACTCCTCAATCTGTTTGTAATCCATTTCCATCCTGCCCCACAGAGGTTTCTAGACTTTGTTCCCGTAGTAAACTACATATTGTATTACAGTGGCCTATTTATATCAATCTCCAGCCCCCTCCTAGCGGGAAGAGAACATCCTTGAGGGCAGATACTATATCTTATCTTTTTATCACCATTAGTTAACATAGTGCTTGACAAAATACTAATTGCCCAGTAAAAGTTGAATGAAGGAATGAATTTTCTGCAGAAGACTGGAAGATCTACAAGGATGCCTTGGAGGCATGTGAAATCAGGGGTTGTGCTGCAGTGGAAAACAGGCTTGAAGGTGGCTGAGGCACCAGGATCCAGGGTTAGGACCCAGGTATTCAGAGAGAGGACACTGGGGAGGATGTGTGGCCTTAGGGCCGCAGCTTACAGACCGCAACTTATTTCTGACTCTGGGCAGCTTTAGGCCCCTGGGAAAGTTTCTGAGGGACTTAGGAGGAAGCATGGTGCCTTGGTCTCTAGCTGTGGCCAGTGAGGTGGGTGAACAAGCTTGGTGTTCACCCTGGAGCTTGGGGAGCGGAAAGGTGTCCCAGCCTGGGGCAGGAGGGATAGGCTGCAGCAGTGCAGTGGAGAGTGTGGCAGTGGCCATGCCAAGGAGGGCAGCAGAGGGAGCTGGAGGCCCCAGCACCTCGGGGAGGGGAGCAGCTGTCCATTCAGGGGGAGCCCTGATTATCTCCAGCTTTAGCTGCAGGGGGCAGGGCACTCCCCACCCCAGAATGTCTGCTTGTTACCATTCTGCCAGGATGGTGAATTGGGTGCCACTTTAGCTGATATGACTCTTTTCCAAGGCACTTTCCCAGTCCCAGTCTTGTACTCCAAATCCTTCAAAGACCCCTGTCTGAATAAACAGAGTAATTTGTGCACAAAAGGCCCACCACTTATCAGTTCCCCAGATATACTTTTTTTTTTTTTTTAAGACAGTCTCACTCTTTTGCCCAGATTGGGGCTCACTGCAATCTCTGCCTCCAGGGTTCAAGTAATTCTCATGCCTCAGCCTCCCGAGTAGCTGGATTACAGGTATGCACCAGCACACCTGTCTAATTTTTGTATTTTTTAAGTAGAGACTGAGTTTCATCATGTTGGCCAGGCTGGTCTCAAACTCCTGGGCTCAAGTCATCTGCCCACCTCAGCCTCCCAAGGTGCTAGGATGACAGGCATAAGCCACCGTGCCTTGCCCCGTAATATACTTTTCACCCTTTTCCTCCGGCCACTCACTTCCAAGAATCCTCCAATTCCACAAAGCTTCCTGGTCACCAGTGCTCCCGTTCCTGCTTCCTGCACTTGCTCCGTGGGACACCCTGCCTGAATTACCCTCAGCGCCAGCCTTAGGATGCAGGGAAGAAAGGCTATTGTTCTCAGCTCCACACCATTGCTGGGCTCATGAGGATCCAGAGCAGGAAAGGGAGGTTGTGCTGGCAGGCACACATGCGCACACACACACACACACACACACACACACACGTGTGCACTCACATATACACAGACACGTGCAGACACTAGTGTGTCCAAAGCAAAGAGGGCCACACTCTCCACTTTCATGGCCACCTCACACATTGCATTCCGTGTTCACTTTAAAGCTTTTGAGATACTTTCCTCTGCACTAAATGTTCTCTTGACATTAATTTTAACCCGATTTCAATTACATAAAACTAGAGGGGACCATGTAATTCATTTTCCAGTATTCTAGGCCCCACGTCACACTAGGAATGACCGTAAGTTCAAACATCCGTAACATAATTTATTCAACCATTACATAATATATTCATCCATTACATAATTTATTCAACCCATGAATTAAGAACTTTTTATGAGCCGGGCGAGGTGGCTCATGCCTGTAATCTCAGCACTTTGGGAGGCCGAGGTAAAAGGATCACCTGAGGTCAGGAGTTCGAGACCAGCCTGACCAACATGGAGAAACCCTGTCTCTACTAAAAATACAAAATTAGCAGGGCGTGGTGGCACATGCCTGTAATCTCAGCTACTTGGGAGGCTGAGGCAGGAGAATCATTTGAATCCAAGAGGTGGAGGTTGTGGTGAGCCAAGATCGCACCATTGCACTCCAGCCTGGGCAATAAGAGTGAAACTCCATCTCAAAAAAAAAAAAAAAAATTATGTACTGATTTCTAGGGTCTCACATTGAATATATTACAATACCTTGGCTCTAATTGGTAGACAAATTTGAGACAAGTAGTGGCTCTCAAACTTCACTGTGCATTAGAGTCACCAGGAGGTCATCCCAAAATATAGATGACCAGGCCAGGCATGATGGCTCATGCTTGTAATCACAGCATTTTGGGAAGCCATGGTGGGATGATGGCTTGAGGCCAAGAGTTCAAGACCAGAAAGGTAACATAGTGAGATCCTCGTCTTTATTTTTTTTTTAAATTAATTTATTTTTTTTGAGATGGAGTCTCCCTCTGTCACCAGGCTGGAGTGCAGTGGCGCGATGTCGGCTCACTGCAACCTCCACCTCCCAGGTTCAAGTGATTCTCCTGCCTCAGCCTCCTGAGTAGCTGGAACTACAGGTGCGCCACCACAACCAGCTCATATTTTTGTATTTTTAGTAGGGACGGGGTTTCACCATGTTGGCCAGGATGGTCTCGATCTCTTGACTTCATGATCTGCCTGCCTCAGCCTCCCAAAGTGCTGGGATTATAGGTGTGAGCCACCTCACCTGGCCTAGATCCCCATCTTGATAGATAGATAGATAGATAGATAGATAGATAGATAGATAGATAGATAGATAGATGAAAGAAAGGCTGGACGCAGTGGCTCACACCTGTAATTCCAGCACTTTGGGAGGCTGAGGCAGGAGGACCACTTTACAACCAGCCAGGACAACATAGGAAGACCCTATCTCTACAAAAAAATTAAAAAAAAAAAAATCCATGCATGGTGGAACACACCTGAAGTCCTAGCTATTTTGGAGGCTGAGGCAGGAGGATTGCTTGAAGCTAGGAGTTCGAGGCTGCAGTGAGCTATGATTGTGACACTGCACTCTAGCTTGGGGTACAGAGCAAGATACTGCCTCCAAAAACAACAATAACAACAACAACAACGAAAGATTTCTGTGGGTTCTGGATCTACCACTGCAGATCTACTGCCTGGTGTTCCATCCAAGTAAACCTCCCCAGCTGGAACAAGCATGGTGCCTCTGCCACGACACTGAGCGAATGAAATTCCAAAGCACCATAGAGAGTTTTTGAAATTGAACTCCCGGCTTAATAGGGTAACTTGACAGAGTGGGGAGGGATGAGTCAGCCATTTAAAATCAGGTACAGGGGATTACTGGGGCTGGATGTGCACTGGTACAGCATACCAGAATTATTACACAGAATGTCAGGGGCCCGGGGCCCTGGGCCTCATCTGAAGCAGCCTCAAAGCCACTCGCCTCCTCTGACACCCGTAGGTCTGGTTCTGGAGAACCTATTGGGAAGAGGACTTTCCTGCTCCAGGTAGGTTGGAGGCAGTGCTGGAGAGGCTTGAGGCTGGAAACCCAGATAGGGCCATCCTTCCTGCCTGCCTTCCTTCCTTCCTCCCTCCCTCACTTCTTTTTCTTTTCTTTCTTTTCTTTCCTCCCTCCCTCCCTTCCTCCCTCCCTTCTTTTTCTTTCCTTCCTTCCTTTTCCCTCCTTCCTTCCTCCCTCCCTCTCCCTCCCTCCCTTCCTCCCTCCCCTTTTCTTTCCTTATTTTTCTTTCTCTTTATTTTCCTCCCCTTCTTTCCTTTGCTTTCTTTTCCTTTCCTTTCTTCTCCTCCCTCCCCTCCCTCCCTCCTTCCTTCCTTTCTTTTCTTTTTCCTTCCTTCCTTTTCTCTCTCCTTCTTCCTTCCTCTTTATCTCTTCTTTCTTTCTCTTTTTCTTTCTTTCTTTTTCTTTCTTTCTTTCTCCTTCCTTCCCTTTTCTCTCTCTCTCCTTCCTTCCTCTTTCTCTCTTCTTTCTTTCTTTCTCTTTCTTTCCTTCTCTCTCCTTTCCTCTCTTTCTTTCTTTCTTTTCTCTCTTTCTTCCTTTCTTTCAGATGGGTCTCACTCTGTTGCCCAGGCTACACTGCAGTGTGCCATCATAACTCACTGCAGCCTTGAACTCCTGGGCTCAAATGATCCTCCTGCCTCAGCTTCTTCAGTAGCTGGGATTATAGGCTCCAGCTGTTTCTCCTACCCATCCAGATTCTTTCAGGATTTGAGAATTTGAGCCATTTAATTTTTTTTTTTTTTGAGACAGAGTCTCGCTCTGTCGCCCAGGCTGGAGTGCAATGGTGCAATCTCGGCTCACTGCAACCTCCGCCTCCTGGGTTCAAGGGATTCTCCCTGCCTTAGCCTCCCAAGTAGCTGGGATTACAGGCGCCTGTCACCACGCCTGGCTACTTTTTGTGTTTTTAGTAGAGACAGGGTTTTGCCATGTTGGCCAGGCTGGTCTCGAACTCCTGACCTCAGGTGATCCGCCTGCCTCGGCCTCCCAAAGTGTTGGGATTATAGGCATGAATCACCACGCCCAGGCATTCTCAAAGTTTTTTAAAGGAGAGAGAGAGAGAGGGAGAGAGAGAAAGAGAAAAAAAAAACTTTTGGTACTTTTTTTTTTTTTTTTTGTCTTTTTATAGAGATAGGGTCTCACTCTCTCTCCCAGGCTGGAGTCCAACAGTGCAATCATAGCTCACTGCAGCCTCCAACTCCTGGGCTCAAGCAATTCTCCCACCTTGGCCTTCCAGGTAGCTGGTACTACAGGCATGCACCACCATGCTTGGCCAAATTTTTAACTTTCTGTAGGTCTTGAACTTCTGGGCTCAAGTGATCCTCCCACCTCTGCCTCCCATGTAGCTGCAATTACAGGTGTAAGCCACCACATCCAATTAACTTTCAGTACCTTATGTTCCTGATAAAGCCATGCCTGCCTCAGAGGGAAGGCAGGATGGACTTTTACCCACCAGAGAATCCTGGTTCAAATGCTGAAATTCCCCCAAATAGCAGCAATCTTACTACCTGCACCTTTGGCTTCCCCCAGCAACCTAGAAGGCCAGCACTCTAAGCCTCACCGAAGAACTTGACTCTGAACTTCCCTCTCAAAGATTAGGCTGAAATAACTGGCATTTATATTTTATTTTATTTATTTATCTTGAGACGGAGTTTCACTCTTATTGCCCAGGCTGGAGTGCAATGGTGCCATCTCAGCTCACTGCAACCTCCGCCTCCTGGGTTCAACTAATTCTCCTGCCTCAGCCTCACCAGTAGCTGGGATTACAGGTGTCTGCCACAACACCCAGCTAATTTTTTATATTTTTAGTAGAGACGAGGTTTCACCATGTTGGCCAGGCTAGTCTTGAACTCCCGACCTCAGGTGATCCACCTGCCTTGGCCTCCCAAAGTGCTGGGATTATAGGCGTGAGCCACTGTGCCCGGCCCTATTTTATTTTTTGAGATAGTGTGTCACTCTGTCGTCCAGATTGGAGTGAAGGGACATGATCATGGCTCACTGCAGCCTCAAACTCCTGGGTTCAAGTGATCCTTCAGCCTCATAGCTGGAACCACAGGTGTTTGCCACTACACCCAGCTAATTTTTAACTTTCGTATAGATAGAGTCTCACTATGTTACCCAGGCTGGTCTCAAACTCCTGGGCTCAAGTGATCCTCCTACCTCAGCCTCCCAAAGTCTGCAATTACAGGCATGAGCCACCATGCTCAGCTAGAACTGGCATTTATAAAGCATCACCACGAAGCACCTCTTCATATCACTGGACTTTCCAAATCCTGCCTCCAGTCAAGGTGGCCCGCCAGAAAGTGAGTGGCTGAGGTGGCTTTATTCCACTCTGCTGCACATTTGTCTTTAACAGAGTTGAGTGTTAATATCACCTGCTCTGCCAGCCTCCACCTTGTTCTGCCAACTTTCATGGACTTCACCAACAAGCTACCTCATTCTTCAGCTCTGGGACCTGGGAAGGAGGGAGATATTTGACTGGGGACTTGGGCTCTGAGTGGTGGGTCATGGCAAACATGGGTGCTTACTTTCTGCAGGGATGGGCCTTTTCTGGCATTCTGAGGCTGGGTGACACCGGGGCTTCTAGAAGTGGTGATCTCAGCCTGGACTCAAGTTTTTGCAAAGTGGGCTCTCTCAGCAGGGCAGTGCTGACATACCTTCCAGCAGTGTCTGGGAACCAGAACAGGAGAACGAAAATGCAGAGAAGGGCCAGGCATGGTGGCTCACACCTGTAATCCCAGCACTTTGGGAGGCTGAGGTGGGTGGATCATTTGAGGTCAGGAGTTTGAGACCAGCTTGGCCAACATGGTGAGACCCTGTCTCTACTATAAAGTATAAAAATTAGCCGGGCGTGGTGGTGCACGCCTGTAATCCCAGCTACTTGGGAGGCTGAGGTGGGAGAATCCCTTGAACCCGGAAGGCAGAGGTTGCAGTGAGCCAAGATCGTGCTACTGCACTCCAGCCTAGGCAACAGCAAGACTGCATCTCAAAAAAAAAAAAAAAAAAAAAAAAGGCAGTGGATACTTTGGTGATGGTTGCTGATGGACTGGTTGAGGGCAACCCTGGAATATTTTGAAGGGGGCTCTATTTGGGCAGGTGAGGACTTGGATATGTATTCCCAATGTGTCATGAAATTTTATGAATTACAAAAAAATTTTCATGAATTTTGACTCAAGACACCAAAGGCTCTGGCATCTAGAATTATGCAGTACTAGTTTTTCATCCATTATTAATATAAACGGAATCACTGCATCTAGATAAACTAGGTAGATTTAAATACAGCTGTAAGGCTTTATCTGGTTGGTGGAATCAGTGTTATTAATCCTCTGGATCATATTTTTTAAAAACATCCATATCCTTATTAGGTATTGAATAGTTAAAGGAATTGATGTACATAAAATGGTATCCACATATCCTGATGTCATCTCTGTTATGAAAGCTTCCCCCTTCTCTAGTACCGCCATAAACACTTTGCTGGCACTGAATATTTAATGTGTTGAATTATAGTTATTGGAATAGCTATCTTATTCTGACCTCTAGATTGTCCTTCTTTTACTCACCTTTATAATTCTGTAATATTTAGCCAGTGCTTCCTGCAAGGAAGGTCTTTACTAACTGCATGTGGAATCAAATTTAAGTGAATTGAGTGCAGGCCTGAGAGTCAGAGCTGGAGTTTTTGGTTGTAGTCCTAGCCCAGTCACTGGAAAGTTGTATCACCTGGCTAGTCATTTCTTTGAGCCTTGGTCTTCTCCTGTCCTCCTCATCTCTCCTGCCTCCTCCACTGTCATCATTTGCTATCCTGTGCTGGACTTTGTTACCCTCTGCCTTCATTACGGTAACTGGACTGTACTACGCTATACATTCCCATGTGGCAGCGTGGCAGCATGTACTGTTTTTTTTTTTTTCTTTTGAGACAGAGTTTCATTCTTGTTGCCCTCGGCTCACCGCAACCTCGGCCTCCTGGGTTCAAGCGATTCTCCTGCTTCAGCCTCCCGAGTAGCTGGGATTACAGGCATGTGCCACCATGCCCGGCTAATTTTGTATTTTTAGTAGAGACGGGGTTTCTCCATGTTGGTCAGGCTGGTCTCGAACTCCCGAGCTCAGGTATCTGCCCACTTCGGCCTCCCAAAATGCTGGGATTACAGGCGTGAGCCACCATACCCAGCCGTACTGTTTTCTGATACATTATTTTATTTAACATTCATAACTTATGACCAGGTGCCGTGGCTCACACCTGTAATCCCAGCACTATGGGAGGCTGAAGCGGGAGAATCGCTTGAGGACAGGAGTTCAAGACCAGCCTGGGCCACATAGTGAGACCTTATCTCTACAAACAATTTAAAAATTAGCTGGGCATAGTGGTATTTGTCTGTAGTCTTAGCTGCTCTAGAGGCTGAGGAAGGATTGCTTGAGCCTGGGAGTCTGAGGCAGCAGTGAGCTAAGATTGTGCCATTGCCCTTTAGCCTGAACAACAGAGCAAGACTCTATCTCAAAAAAAAAGAAAGACTGACTCATAACCTATGAGATCTATGAGATGGATATGGATATGATAAGCTCTACTTCTCTACTTTTCAGCTGATAAAACGGGCTGGAGAAAGAGTGACTGTTGTGTCTAAGGCACTAGTAAGTGGCCAAATATGGATCTGAACCTAGATCAGTGTGATGTCCTATGTACTCTGGTTATTACTGAAAAATGACTTTCGATTAGAATTATTTTGAGAAAGCCCCACTCTAATTTATTATACTCAAGCTAGTATACCCCTCTGAACTAGTGTAGCATCAAAACTAGTATACATTCTCTGCCGCGCGGTGGCTCACGCTGCAATCCCAGCACTTTGGGAGGCTGAGGCGGGCGGATTGACCAGCCTGGCCAGCATGGTGAGACCCTGTCTCTAACTGAAAATACAATAATTAGCTGGGCGTGGTGGCGGGCACCTATAATCCCAGCTACTCGGGAGGCGGAGGCAGGAGAATCATTTGAATCCAGAAGGCGGAGGTTGCACTGAGCCGAAATCACGCCACTGCGCTCCAGCCTGCGCAACAGAGCGAGACTTGGTCTCAAAATAAATAAATAAATAAATAAATAAAAATAAATACATAAATAAATGTAAAAAACACAAAATAAAATAAAGTAGTATACATTCTAAACTAGTAGTATACTCTCCCAATGCATGAAAACAGAAACAACACCTATAATTATCAGTAATTGTTGTTGTGGATCCAAGTATCTATGTAAGAAGCAAAAAACCCACATCAACAGTTGTTGTCATCGTTGTCACAAACTTAATTACTGGCTAGAAATGTCTAGTGCTGCAGCCAAACAGCAGTAGGAGGAGCCTTTCCCATGGCTGAGTGGAAGGAGGGAAACCTAGACTATTTCTGGGTCTGCCTTGAGCTTTCTCTGCCGCCTTGGGCAAGTGACTTTGGCCCTGGGTCAATGTCCTGGAGTAAGATGGGGCTAACACCACTGCACTGATTTGCTGGGACAGGTGGTGGAAAGTGGTGGTCCAGGGCTGGGAGAGGAGAGGAAGGGCAATGTTTCCTAGGAGAAACTGCACTATGCTGGGGCAGCTGCGGTGCTGCAAAGCGCAGGGAGTGTGGCAAGCGGACGAACCTCGTGTCTTGTTTCCTTGTTTTAAGATTGGAGGTGGAGTGGGATGGATGGTCGATCGCCAGCTCTTCCAGCTCTTAAGTGCTCAAGTTCTGCGCCAACCCAGGGGAGCTTGATTGCTTTCACGTGTCTTGGAAACAACTGGCAAAAAAGAATTTCACATAGTCTGGAAAGGGCTTGGGACAGGGACCACTCTTTGCAGACATTTGTCATTCTTTAAACATAATGACATACATTTATTAAGGACTCATAGTCCATAACTAAGACAAAATGAGCTTCAGTTACGTTCCCTAACTCGGTCCACGTTCCTTTAGAACGTCTCAAGCCCGCATGTCACTCATCGCGGAGTCGCAGCCTTCCCCTGGGTTCGGGCGTCTGCGTTAAGCGCCGGCACATCGTGGGGATCCCCGCGTGAGATTTCTCTGCGCCGTCGGAATAGACTGTTCACGGATTCGCGTTAGGATTCCTTATGCTGCAGAACTTCAAAGAAATAAATGTATCAGAATTGCGATGTTTAAGTTCTAATCTATTTAAGCGGGTGGGTCAGCAGAGGGTCAACAGGAAACTTCAAGGTAAATAGTGGCCTCTGGAAAAGGCCCGGTCGCTCACGGCTTCCCCACTGTCTCCCCAGAGCAGACTATTAATTCTTGCGTTTCAGGCAGAACTGCCGCTGCCGGCCCTGCAGCAGAGCTAGGGAGCGGGCAGGGCAGAAACCCAGCCGAGCAAGCTGCAGGCTCGAGTCCCCGCGGGCGGAGAGGCTCGGGCTGGAGCCTCCGGGGCGGTGAGGAGGGGACTCACCGCACTGAGCACAAACTGCTTTCCCCGGGAGCGCCTGCACCCAAAACCCTCCAGTTCGAGGAATGGGATTAAAAGTGACAAAGAAAGGGGAAGGGGGGCTCCGTGGAGACTTCTGGAGGCGTGGAAGGGGCGTCCCCGAGGAGGGGCGACGCAGCCCTGCAGGGTGCTGGGCGGGCGGGGTGAAGGGGGCTGGGGGGCGCCTGGGCCAGGGCTGGTGGGGGCAGACGGCCGCCTGCCCGTGCTGGCACTGGGGCGAGGGGTCCCGCGCCCCCGGAGGGAGGGAGGGAGGGAGGGAAGGAGGGAAGGAGGTCGGCCCCCGAGGGCGGTGGCGGGGGCGCGAGCTGCGGTCCTGCGCTCCGCCCCGCGCGGGTAGCCGGCCGCGCCTCCCCCTGCCGCATGTGCGCGGTGTTGTGTGCCCTGCCCTGCTCCTCCCCCTCCCCTCCCCTCCCCTCCCCTCCCCTCCCGCCGTCCCCTCCCCCAGCGGCCCCGAGCGAGCGCCAGCGCCACACAGCCCCGGGCAGCCGCCGGCGAGCGCGCCGCGACGCCGAACAGGTGGCCGGAGGCTGCGGGCGCCGCGGCGGGGAGAGGCGAGGCAAGCCCCGGGCGAAGCGAGGCGAGGCGAGGGCGGCCGGGCCGGGCATGCGAGCTGAGCGGCCCCCCGGCGTCGCCGCCGCCTGCCCGCGCCCCTAGCCGCCCGCGCGCCCGAGTCCCCAGCGGCTCCTCCGCGCCCAGCGTCCTCGGTCCCGGCCTCGGCTGCTCCGGCTGCGCTCGGCGAGGGGCGCGGGCCCGCCCGCGGCGGCGGCGGCATGAAAGTGACCGTGTGCTTCGGACGGACCCGGGTGGTCGTGCCGTGCGGGGACGGCCACATGAAAGTTTTCAGCCTCATCCAGCAGGCGGTGACCCGCTACCGGAAGGCCATCGCCAAGGTGAGGGGCCGGGGGCGCGGGCGGGGAGGGGGCGGCGGCGGGGACGGCGCCGGGATCAATATGGCGCTTCCTGGAAGGGGGAGGAGAGGCGCAGGGAGGCGGGGAAAGGGAAAGTGCGGCCGGTCGGGCCTCGCGGGCGCCCCCCGCCCCGGACTGCGGGCGCCAAAGTTCTCTGCGCGGGCCGGGGCGCAGCCTCTGGGACACCCAGCCGGGTCCCGCGGCCCCCGCCCTCACCCTCCGCCCGGGAGCTCCGGCCTCGGTAGCGCGGGGCGAGCCGGGCAGCGGCGCATAGGCCGGCCCTGGGCGCCTCCCCGGAGTCTGCAGACCCAGCCAAGCCCCGAGCCAGCGCGCGGGGGGCGCAGGCCGGGAAATCCAGCCCCAGGCCTTTCCCGGCTCCCAGGCCCCGGGGGCACAGGCCGGGGACTGGGAACTTTTGGTGTGAGGAGAGTTTCGTGACTGCCCTTCCGACAGAGGCGGGTTGCGAGCCTTCTGCCTCCTCTCCCTTACTCGGGCGGGGGCGGAACAGCGGCGGGGGGCTTTTCCTCCATGTCCCCTGCTGGTAGGGGCCGGCAGGGGCGGCCCGTCGCGTCCGGGGGCTGCAGGGTTTGGGGAGTCGCCGGCTTGGGGTCGGGGAGGCGTTCCCGGGAGGGCCACCGCTGGCACTTGGCACTCGCTTGCGAGCATTTACTGAGCTGATCCCACTTGCTGGGCTCTGGAAAGCACAACCTTGGAAGAGTCGCGGAATGAAAAGTTTTCCTGCGAGGACCTCAGCTCCTACCTATCCCGGGCTGGTTCCATGTGGCTGGGCTGCGGGGCCGGGCCTGACTTGGGAGTTGAGTGGATTTCCCTTTTTCCTGGTGGACTGATAACATTGTCTCCACTTCACAGCATTCCTCTACTGTGTGTCAGAAGTGAAAAGGCGTTTTGTTAAATTGTTTTACCGACTGTGTCTGTGTTTGACAACAGCCCACGCTGAAGTTTCTCCCAAGCACCCGGGGATATATTTCCTTTGTAGTAGAGTCCTCTTTGGTGGGGAGCGCATTCGTTTGGGTGCAGTATTTCCCATTTGTTCCCGACAGTGGCCTGGCCCCTGTGGGCTTGGGGGCTGCAAATGACGTTGGAAAGTGGCTTGGTCAGCCCTATTGAGCGTACACAGGGTACTCCGGTGGCATCTTCAGTTCTCTCAGAAATTAAGAAGTAAAAGCTTTTTAGACTTTTGTTTTGCTTTTAGTATATATTGGAAAAAATAGCATAAATTTGGCCTTTTAAAGATAATTTTGGGGGACGTTTGGAGACCCGACACAAGGATGGAAGACGTTGGCTTTAGTAGCTCTGTTATGTTCCTTACAGTTGAACTCTTTTATTGAAAATCAAATAAAATTAGTGGGAATTGGGCACCTGTTTATCTTGCAAAGCTGACAAAGGGAAAGAAAACCATCTAAATGGACATTTAGCATTTTTAAGTGTTGTTTATGTGTGACAGTTTATGCTTTAAATGTTCCAAAAGAGTACTCAAATTGTTCAGGCACTCTGGAAACCAACAAAACAAATTGTGCAAGGAAAGAGAAATAAAGTAATATGCACTCTGCAGTACGTCTAGGCTCCTGAATAGGAAGAGGGTGGTCAACATTTTCTTTCACTTTACTAATTTTATGTGATTAAAATTGTTTTACCTACTGTGTCCCATGTTTCATCCTGCACAAAATAGACATAGGCTGAACTGCCTGTTTGGCAGTAGTTCAAATGTAGTTGTTCCAGGCATTCGTTCCACAGAAATTCTGAAGCTTTGACTGTGTCCATGGCACTGTTCTGGGTGCTGGACATCTAAGGGACCCACTGGCTGTGAGAAGCTGAGCAAGAGGCTGCGGGGTCCTCCAGGTGAAGGAGCTGGTGATGACATGGGGAGAAGAGGTGGCCTCTGGGATGCTGGGTGGCTAGAGTGCAGGGCCTTGGTCACGGACCTGGTCCTTATTAACGATTAGCAGTGGTTGTTTCACAGGGCGTAGAAAAGGGAGTGCAGTTTTTTAAGGGTGTCTGGGAAGGTGTCACAAAGAGAAAAGGGGCCTATGAGCTGAAGGAAGGGAGGGTGATAGTGACATGGGAGTTGGAGATGAGAGGGAGGGTCAGAGATGGGTCAGGGGTTCCAACACTTACATGCTCTTTAAGTACAACTTAGAGTTCTGTAGGTGAATTTTAACGGGGGCTTTGCAGTATACCAAGTTCAGTCATTGGATCCCAAGATTGTTGACCCTTAAATGTTGCCAGAGCTGGAGTGTCTTCTAGGTCTCCTTTTTCTCGTTTTTCTTCTGAAATTGCTAGACAATGATTAAGATTAATTTTTAGTCTTTCTTACTACTTTTCCCATTCTATATTAAGTGATGAGGAAGTGTTAATATGTATTTAACACTGTTTTAACTTTTATTCTCTATCTGTTCCTTATCCGTATTGCCTAATAGAACAAGAGAAATTCTGTGTGAAGAATTGGGTGGCTGGATAGTTGTGGAGTGGTGTTTAGGTTGCTAGGTGACATGTGGCTTGATGAGCTCCCATCTGGTGGGGAAAAGTGTGGGCAGATCATGTTTATGGCTTTGGATAATAACCAACCAAGCCAAAAATAAAAAATAAAAAGGAAAAGAGAAAGGTCCCAACTCTCAAATCACCAAGGCTTTCTCTGCAGTAAACATTTTCTGGTGTGGTGGGGCTAATTTTCTGGCATTGCATGTGAGCTGTTTTCTCTTCAGATTACACAAATCAATTTTTCTGGATAGTGAAGTGTCATGATTTAATACTAGACATGTCCTCAGTGAGTAGATATTTGAAGGCTTATGCTTAGTCATGTGTGACATTTCTTTTTTCCTCTCCTGAAAGATGGTTTTGTGGTTGTGATCACTGATGGTTGGGAATAGCTGTTCATCCTCATCCACCCATCTGCATTAGGAGCCTCGCTGAGGACAGTGCGGTGCTAGACATTGGGAACCGCGTTACATGGACCGTTCTCATGAGGGCGCAGGATGGGAGGATGGACCGTGTCTGCATCTGTTCTTCTGCGCTTGCGACCTGACACGCGTGATTCCAGGTGGACATGGTGCTGAGCTGCAGCGCTGTGTGGGGTTGGTTGAAGGGCTGCTGTGTATAAAAAGTCATGCTCTATGAAAAAAATATAAGACTGAATTCGTGCAATTTTCAAAAAAAAGTATAATCTAGGAGACAGGAAGAATATATAACAGTATAAATAACAGGAGGTGGTAGCATTAATTGGCACCACTGTGATACAGTCAGTAATCGCTTCTGGATTTTGGAGGTGGGTGCTATCATTATGGGGTGTGTGTGGGAGTCTCATTTAGTCACTAGGATTTGAACTGGGCTTGGTTGGTGGGAAGGCTGACCTTGATATAGGGCAGTGCTTGCTAACTGGGTGAGGCACCTGCCTGCAGGGGCAGATGGGCTCTGGGTCTGAGGTCTGCAGTTGGGGTCTAGGTGTGTGAATCTGCAGAATGTCTGCTACGATTCTGATAAGTGAAAGGGAGGGCATTCCAGGAAGGCAGTATGGACAAAGGCGATTCAGGCATTCAGCCCAGGGGGTCAGGATCAAACTGAGGAGGACAGAATGCCAGGGCAAGACCCTGAGACTTCGTGCAGTAGGAAGGACTGTGGTGTTTAGCTAAGAGTCAGGGTAACAAGTAGTTCTAGGAGGATGACCTGAGCAACCTTAGATGAGGTTTGGATGGATAATTCCTTAGCATTTCATTCTAAATAAAGGTTGCTGAGTGACCAAAAGGGGAAGGAGAGAGTGAAGGGCAAAAGTGAGGGCAAGGAGGTGCTGGAGCCCCTTTGCTCACTGTTCCCACCTCCCTCATAGCTCTCCTCTCAGCCTGTAGGGGAGCTTTGGATTGGGTTTGGTGACTTAGGTTTACAAGCCATTTAACCTTGGGTATAGGGGAGCTTTGTATTGGGTTTGGTGACTTAGGTTTACAGGCCATTTAACCTTGGGTACACCAACCCTACGGAGCCCCATTATCTCAAGTGGAATATTCCCTGGCAGGGTTAATGTAAGTATTAAACAGGATGATGAGAGGGAAACTCTAAAGTCCTGGGCCCGGCCCATACTAGCTGCTCCGTAAAGATGAATGGAATCACCAATATGTTTTATCCACCAAGCAGTTTTACACCCAGGGAACTTTCCCAGGTGTCCCACTATTGCTGCTTGGATTTTTCCTGTTTACTTAAAAACGCAGCATGTAATTTCATTGAAGGATAGGTAAGAATGTGAGATTGAATGACGTGCAGCACCACAATCAGGAGAACAAAATTGTGTGTTGCATGTGTGTATGGGCTGGGGAAGTAAAAGCTGCGGGTATTGGCTTGATTACAGGTTGATTATTGGGGCCTCTGGCTTCTGTCCCCAAGCACATCACTTTAGAGTGATTTAATAGCAACCTGTTGTTATTACAGGTTGAGCATCCTTTATCCAAAATACTTGGGACCACACAAGTATTTTGGATTTTTCTGGACTTTGGGATATTTTTGTATATATAATGAGATAGGTTGAAGATGGAACCCAAGTCTAATGTATTGTTAGAATTTATGTTTCCTACGTACCTTATACACATAGCCTGAAGGTAATTTTATGCAGTATTTTTGTGCTTGAAAATAAGTCTGTGGTAAGTACTTACATGTGGAATTTTCCAGGTGTGGCGTCATGTGGGTGCTCAGTAAGTTTCAGATTTTGGAGTATTTTGGATTTTGGATTTTTCAATTAGGGATGCTTGACCTGTATTTTTTAAAAAGTTGAGCTCATGGACAGAAACTTTTGAAAATGTGCTTTTTTGGTGGCGGGAGACTGTTGATTAGTAACAATGACAGTCATGGTTTTTATGAAAAATCTTGTGGTTGGTATGGAATTTTTCTGTGAATAAATGTATGACTGCATGTTATTCATTTACAAGCGTATTGAAACTTTTAAGAAAATAGTTGTACTGTTGCAGAGATTGAAAGAAAATAGAGGCAAGCATAAAAATAGTGAAATGAAAGCAGCTTTATTTATTTATTTATTTTTTTAACATTTTCTGCCTTCCCTCTAAAAAGGAAAAAGAAACTAAACATTTTTGAAAGGCTGATCTTTCCAGAATTCAAGTCACATTGTCCTCTGGTGCTGAAGCGCCTTTGTCCCGCGTTCTCCAAGTCCTGCCTTCTGAGCACAGCCTGTCCCTGTAGGGACCCCTCTTGCCTTCCAGCCACTCCCTCTGCAGCTGCTCCACCCCCTGGGACTCACATACACTTTGCTGCCTCTGTTCTGGCATTTTCTGTTTCTTCTGCCTGGGACATTTGCTCCTTCCTTGCACTCATTCGTGAGTCTTAGCCCAGACAGCCATCTCCAGGAGGCTGGCTCTCCATCCCAAGCTGCTAGAGGATCTTTCTCCCTGCCTGCTGCCTCTCCTGGGGACGTCCTGGGTGTAGCTCCTGTACCGACTCAGATGCTTGGGCTGTGCTGTGTGGTTTTCAAGTGTATCCGTGCGCCCTTCCTCCCTCCGGGTGAAATGCTTGAAGCGGTGGCTGAGCTTCAGTCTTGGTGAATAGCCCGTGTCTGTCACATTGCAGTCAGAATGTTGAGTAAATAGAAAGCTGAGAATCAACATGTTACACTGCTCTCACACAAAAAATACACTTCTGCTGAGAGGACTATCATCAGCACTCGTGAATTTAAAGGACTTTAAGGTTTGGTGTGTTTGACCTACTGGCACAAACAGCTTGTAATGGAAACTAAGATTTAATGAGGTTTGGAGTACTTGGAAGTTACTCTTTCGTATCAGCTGTCTTGAGGGAGTTCAGTTTGTTTTTCAGCTCAAGCAGAGGACCCTCCTGGGATTCGCCTTGGGCGAGGTTCAAGGCAGGTGGCCAGGGCTGTGTGAGAATCTGGCCCTGGAACACACCTATGCTTGGTCTGGCGCCTCTGATTCCGTCAGTTGAGATGCTTGGCTGAGTGCCAGGACTAAGTAGGAATGTTTAGGATCTGAGATTCTCAGAGAGAATCTGGCGGATGTGAAGCGCTTCTTGGCTTGTGGTAGACATGGATAAATTGGTTGTGGAGGGAATATTTAAAGTCCCACTTGGATGCAAACCCACAGACGGATCCTCCGTCTGTCCTGGGAGGTTCTACCTCCCCACAGAGTTGGGTGCAAGTTGGTGATGTTGAGCTCCCCATAGATGATTAGAGCCCTCGGTATTTTTTATCAAGGATGGAAATAAACATGTAAGATTGGGCCAGAAGGTGCTTTCTATAGGTAATTTTCCATCGGGGGAGATGGCATGCTAAGCCCACACAGCATGCTTTCATCCTGCTTGGCCACTCGCTCAACATTCCTGGCTGGGACCAAGGTCAATGGCAGTAGAGCTGGACATCAGTAAATGTATACAGTTTTACCTGTTTTGGGTACCTTTTCTGTACAAAAGCAAATCTTTATCAAAATAAATGCCGAGTTCAGTGAATAAAGTAGAAAGATGACTGATTTTTTTTTGTCTTTTAGTCATTATTTACAAGTTTTTTCTTTCTTTCTTTTGTTTTTTTTGAGACAGGGTCTTTGTCACCCAGGCTGGAGTGAAGTGGCGTGATCTCTGCTCACTGCAGCCTCAACCTCCCAGGCTCAAGCGATCCTCCTGCCTCAGTCCCCCAAGTAGCTGGGACTACAGTTGTGTGCCGCCACACCTGGCTAATTTTTGTAGTTTTTGTAGAGACGGCATCTCGCCATGTTGGCTAGGCTGATCTCAAACACCTGAGCTCAAGCAATCCACCTGCCTTGGTCCTCCAGAGTGCTGGGATTACAGGCACGAGCCACCATGCCTGGCCTAAATTTTAGCAAATAAGTAAAAATAACTTTGTTTTAACTTATTTAGTAAATAAGTAAACATTTTAGTAAATAAAGTTAAAATAACTTTCGTGTATAGGTCTGTGCCTTCTTGCATCTGGCCTGCTATCTTTACGTGGTTTTTGCCATTTAAATATTACTTTTGTGTATTCCTTTTTTCTCCATCAACTCATATTGGTCCTTGCAAGTAAAATTTCAAGCTCCACATCCAAGTGACTTTAAATATCAATTATTTATTTTTTTCACCTAAACAGAGTATATTTTGTATATAGTCTCTGTACTCTATTCTGTATATATTTTATATATACTCTTTATATATATACACACACACACAAGCACACAAGAGAAATGAAAATGTGTACACAAAACCTGTACATCAGTGTTCATAGCAGCAAGCCCACATATTGTATAATTCTGTTCCTATAACATGACCAGAGTGGGTAGCTCTATAGAGACAGTAGAGTGGTGTTCCGCTAGGACTGGGAGTTTGGAGTCATGGAGACTGTGAATGGGTATGAGGTTTCCTTTTGGGATGATGAAAATATTCTAAGATCATGGTGATGGTTGCACAGTTCTATTCAAGTGTATACTTTCAATGGATGGAGTTTATGGTTATGTGATTATATGTCAATAAAGATGTTAGAAAAATAGACTGCATAAGCCACTATGAACAACGCTCCATTTTTAGGTATTTTGTAGTTCTGAGCATTTCATAAAATGACATATATATGTGTATCAGAGATGCTCAAAACACTTCAAATGAAAACTGGCTGTCTTTAGGAGTTTTCCATATAGTGTGGAATCCCTGCTTTCTCAGGCCTGTCCAATGTGTCCTGTTTAGTGTCTGGTAAGCTCCTGGCTGCTGAGCCTCCAGGTCCCCTGGTCTCTGTGTGCTACCCCCTACCCCCTCTAAGGGCTTCACCAATTGTTCTTTAGCCAGAGACTCCTTCTACCCAGCTCGCCAGCTACCTTTGTGCAGTGGAGGTTGAGAATGCCCCAAGGATGCACGTAATGGACCAGCCTTTCCAGCATTTGGCTTTGGCTCCCAGAAATTTTGAGCTTTGGCAAATCTTACAAGCTCTGTGAGCCTCTGTTTCCCCATGTTCTCATATTCAGAGGTGCTGGGCTGGACTCCCACTGCCAGTTCCCTGAGCTGTGCAGGGACTCCTGCTCTGCATGGTTTGTTTTGGTGCTCATGGGACCATAAGTGATGTGCAGTGGCTTTTCAGATGGTTATACAGGGTCCAGGACCTCTTACTGCTTCCCTCCATGCTGTGAGAATATTTTGCCTCACCCCGACCCCCCCAACTTTGAAATGACGGGGCTTGCTCTCCAGGTCAAATGGATGCTATTCAGAGTTAGGGTAAATTTTGCTTAGGGTTGGCTGGGTGAGAAGGCTCACGCCTGTAATCCCAGAGCTTTGGGAAGCTGAGGTGGGAGGATTGCTTGAGGCCAGGAGTTCAAGACCCAGCCTGGGCAACATAGTGAGACCCCGTCTCTTTTTAAAAAAATTAGCCAGGCATAGGCCGGGTGTGGTGGCTCACGCCTGTAATCCCAGTACTTTGGGAGGCCGAGGTGGGTGGATCACGAGGTCAGGAGTTCGAGCCTGGCCAAAGTAGTGAAACCCCATCTCTACTTAAAGTACAAAAAATAGCTGGGCATGGTGGTGCACACCTATAATCACAGCTACTTGGGAGGCTGAGGCAAGAGAATCACTTGAATCCTGGGAGGCAGAGGTTGCAGTGAGCCAAGATAGCGACACTGCACTCCAGCCTGGGCGATGGGGAGATTCATCTCAAAAAAAAAAAAAAAAAATTAGCCAGACATGGTTGTGTGCATCTTTAGTCCCAGCTGCTCAGGAGGCTGACGTGGGAGGATTGCTTGAGCTCAGGAGTTTGAGATTGCAGTGAACTATGATGGTGTCACTGCACTCCAGCTTGGGTGACACAGCGAGACTCTGTCTCTAACAGAAAAAAAAAATTTGTCTAGGGTGTCCTTCAGAATTTCCTTCCTTCTTCCTTTTTTTTTGTCTTTTTGAGACGGAGTCTCGCTCTGTCGCCCAGGCTGGAGTGCAGTGACGTGATTTCGGCTCACTGCAAGCTCCACCTCCTAGGTTCACGCCATTCTCCTGCCTCAGCCTCCCGAGTAGCTGGGACTACAGGTGCCCACCACCACGCCTGGCTAATTTTTTTGTATTTTTAGTAGAGGTGGGGTTTCACCGTGTTAGCCAGGATGGTCTCGATCTCCTGACCTCGTGATCCGCCTGTCTCAGCCTCCCAAAGTGCTGGGATTACAGGCGTGAGCCACCGCGCCCGGCCCCAGAATTTCTTATTGTCTCAAGGTAAGTATCTTTTAATGTAAATCACATCATGCTCAGAAGTGACTAAGACAATTCCCTTTGTGAATTACAGATGTATGATATTGCATGATACGAACTGTACGGTGTATATATATATATATATATATATATGCACATACGTGTGTATTTCTGGGGTGATCTTTTATGGTGGTATAAATTTAAGTCATTTTAGAGATGATAGTCAAGTCAACATTCTCCCAATCTTGGTGTTTTTAACTATTCAGACACTGTAAGATTTAAGGTTTTGGAACTCAGATGTATATTTTTCTAGTGTCTGGTTTTTCCCTTCTTGTATTTGAGACGGAGTCTCACTTTGTTGCCCAGGCTGCAGTGCAGTGGCAGAGTCTCGGCTCACTGCAACCTCTGCCTCCTGGGTTCAAGCGATTCTCCTGTCTCAGCCTTCCGAGTAGCTGAGATTACAGGCGCCTGCCACCACACCTGGCTAATTTTTTGTATTTTTAGTACAGACAGGGTTTCACAATGTTGGCCAGGCTGGTCTTGAACTCCTGACCTCATGATCCGCCCGCCTCAGCCTTGCAAAGTGCTGGGATTACAGGCGTGAGCCACCGCGCCCAGCCTTTCCCTTTTTGTTGATTGTACCGCATCCCTTTAGATTAGAAAACTAATCTATGTTATAGGGTTTATATATTTCAAAAAGCCTCTTTGAGATAGACTACACTAAAAATCAGTGTTTCCTTCTTCAACACTTAAGAAATCAACTTGATATTATGTCTCAAAAACCTAAAATTGCTAACCAATCAAAAGATGTGTATTAATATTAAAAACACAAAGAAAGGAGTGTTGTTTTTGTGTTGGTGGTATATATGAGACTAGATTTTTTTGTTCAATTTCTTTTACATAGACAATACAAATTGGAAAAAAGTTTTTATGTCTGTGTTTTAATTTTCTTCTCTAAGTCCAATGTTAAGTCCAAAATTAAAAAATAAACTCTTTAGAAGTCTGAGGGACAAAGGAAAAAAGAAAACTCTTCCAGGAAACGTATTTTCTTATACCACAAAGGCATTTAACATGTGTCATTTATAATGCTGAAACCCAGTGTGCAAAACCATATGTGAATAATGGTTAGCCAGATTCCTGCCCAGCAGGGTTATACTCTAAACTTGGATTTCTTTTATTACAGACAGCAGCACCTGCAGAAGAAGGAGGTAAAATGTGCAGGATATTGGTTCCTGATGTACTACAACACAGGATGTGACTAATCACTAAATTCATTAATGTTGAACATAGGATTTGGTACCTTTACCACTTTGTTAGAGATCTGGAAAAAAAATCTTCTAGACAAATCAAGTTGATCTTGGCCAAGTGCAGTGGCTCATGCCTGTAATCCCAGCACTTTGGGAGGCCAAGGTGGGCGGATCACTTGAGGCCAGGAGTTCAAGACCAGCATGGCCAACATGACAAAACCCCATCTCTATTAAAAATACAAAAAAATTTAGCTGAGTGTGATGGCAGGTGCCTGTAATACCAGCAACTTGGGAGTCTGAGTAGTGAGAATGGCTTGAACCCGGGAGGCAGAGGTTGCATTGAGCTGAGATCGTGCCACTGCACTCTAGCCTTGGCGATAGAGCGAGACTTCATCTCAAAAAAAAAAAAAAAACAAAAACAAATCAAGTAGATCCCTAAGTGCATCATTTGGATTGATAACTATTTTTTACTGCATCTGGAAGGTGGTGGCATTTTAGCGGTTGTCATGTTGAGGAATATGAAATAAATATATTTTAAATTATGAAAGCACATCCTATCAGGAATATTTTTTCCAAGGAAACTTGCAATGCTAACAAACTCCTGAACTTGATTATTGTTATTTTTTATTTTTATTTTTTATTTTCCGAGATGGAGTCTTGCTGTGTCACCCAGGCTGGAGTGCAATGGCGCGATCTCGGCTCACTGCGACCTCCACCTCCTGGGTTCAAGCAATTCTACAACCTCAGCCTCCCAAGTAGCTGGGATTATAGGTTCCAGCCACCACACCTGGCTAAATTTTTGTATTTTTAGTAGAGATGGGGTTTCACCATGTTCATCAGGCTGGTCTTGATGGAGTCTTGAACTTCTGACCTAAAGTCATCCGCCTGCCTTGGCCTCCCAAAGTGCTGAGATGACAGGCATGAGCCACCGCGCCCGGCCAACTCCTGAACTTTCTATGGTGGAGTCATTTTTGTCTTTTACGTTTTAAGACTCACACAGATGTTTGCAAAAACACCGTTAGCTGAAAGTGGAAAGTTTGGTGATGGGTATTTTGCTTCTAGGAAGCAAAAACATCAGAGTGACACATCATGGATCAGGATTCTGAAGAGGAATCTCTCCCAGACATTTATGGAGAGTTAAGAGAAGTACCTTTGTGAGCACGTGATTCCTGCCTTCTATTTTTTTTTTTTTGTTATTATTTATTTTTTTGAGACGGAGTCTCACTCTGTTGCCCAGGCTGGAGTGCAGTGGTTTGATCTCGGCTCACTGCAACGTCCGTCTCCTGGGTTCAACTGATTCTCTCACCTCAGCCTCCCAAGTAGCTGGGATTACAGGCATGCACCACCACGCCCAGCTAATTTTTTTTTTTTTTTTTTTCATTTTTAGTAGAGACGGGGTTTCATCTTGTTGGCCAGGCTGGTCTTGAATTCCTGACCTCAAGTGATCCACCCGCCTTGGCTTCCCAGAGTGCTGGGATTACAGGTGTGAGTCACCGTGCCTGGTCGGGAGTCCTACCTTTTAATACCACCTGCTTTGTGGGGTTGTTGTCTGGGTTCAAAGAGAGAATGTGAAAAGGTATTGTAGGAGGCCAGGTGGACTACATGTTAGCCGTACTGTCCCTTTGTTTTTACCAGGAGTGTTTGCCAGTGATTAAGTCTCACTAGAATAGGCTTTTCTAAATTGTTTTATCTCATCCTCATTAGAACTTCACCACATGTGGGAAATCATGTGGCAAAACTGTCTCTCTTAAAAAAAAAGTCACCAAGGAAACCTCCTTCTGCAATTTAAGAAATAAAATCCCAGTGACATTGATTTGGATGCTCCAAACATGTCCATAATGGAAGAGCTTTTCCAGGTTTTGGTTTGGGCCCCCCAGACCAAAGCTTTGACACATAATACAAGCTCTGTAAGTCTGTTTTCCTGTCTGTAATTTGGGATTGTCATCTTTGTAGGGTGTCATGGAGATTAAGTTATTCACTGTAGACAATGCCCCTTTCATGTAATAGATTCTGTCAGTATTAGATCTTTTTCTTTCTCTTCAAGTTTCAAACATAGATTAGGCAAAATTTTAATGGCTATTTCACAAAATCAGCTTGATTCTTGTTTATGACATCAAGTGTTGTTTTTCCAGGTTGTCTGTTAAAGGGCTACTTTTTTTTTTTTCTAAAAGTGCTTTAGAAATTCCAGTGTTAGTATGTATGCATCATTTAGCTAAGAATGAAGATATAAAGATCACCCAACAGTTTAAGCTGATTCTTTTACAGGTCAAGGAGAATTGTGTTTGTCTAGCTGTCTTAGCCGTGTAGGACTTTCTACTTGTTACTTCCTAAATAATTGCAGCCGCAACACTGCTACTTCAAAGGAAATTACATAAATTTTATTTGCTGTATTTAAAGTACATTAAAAGGCATCACTTACACATTTTTCATTAAAAATACTTTTAAAACTTGGAAAGGATAAAAGTATAAAATGTAAATACTGTCTGTATTAATAAAATGCAGAGATGTTTTAAAGGCCTTTAGTGTTTATTAACTAGTAATAGTTCTGAGAATACCCTGGAGCTCAAATAGATAATCTGTGTTATAAAATAAATGGGAAAGTTGACATTTTTGTGACTTTTCTAATCCTTACTATATAGGCCTCTATAATTCATGTGCCCATAACACTTCTTAAGATGTGATTTTGGGCATCTTAAGATGGTGATTTCGGGCAGCTAAATCAGCAACAAAGGAACACAGAACATCTTTTGCTTAGGTAGGTAGTTGTAAGGGTTGACAGATTGATGCAACTTTTAATACTTTAGTTTGGCTAAAGGCACCCAGTGCAAATCACCTGAAGACTTCACCCAGGAGTTGACCTATTTATCATACTAAATAGGGAGTGGCGTCTTGAAGGCTCATTCACATTCTGGGCTTGGCAGGCAGTGCGATGAAGTCAGACTTGCAGTTATCAACACCCTGGCTTTGTATTCAAGAGGACTACCTCCTCTCATCCGTCTTTTTCATACCACAGTATTGAAGGGGTTGTTTTCCTCTTTGAAGACCTTAAACATCTCATTAATTAAAGTAATGCTTCTTCCCTCTCCCCATATGCATTTAGGGAAGTCGCTAAGCAGTGATTGAAGTAGTAAAGCTTATCTAATGGCACAGCACTCCTATTTTGACTCTGATCCCTTCCTGTATTTATTTGTAAACATTTTTTCATGTGAGTGTGTTTGAAATTCCAAGTTTTAGTTTCCTACAGGATGTGAAAAAGACCTAGCAGCACGGGAGATAGGAATGTATTTTTGTGCGTCTGTCTCTTGCCTTCACGCTTCCCCTTTGTTTTTGTGCTTTGCTAATGGAAGTGATGAATGGTGCTTTCAAAAACTTTCCAGAATACTCAAGTGTTTTATAACAAAATTGCAGAGAAATAATTCGGAGAATTTTTGACAGATCTTAGAGTGTTTTGATAGGGGGGATTTTAGTCCGAGGCAGAAGAGTTTTGGCCCTGCATTGTTTCTTTACCGATGAGAAGTGAAGCTGCTTTCTTTATAGATTCCGGGGAGTGGTATTTTCAGCTCAGTCTCTGCTTTTGGTGTTAGAAAGCTTTTTAGGTCAGGACTCATGATCGAAAGCTCTTGCATAAGAGGTGCTTTTATCAGGGGCATTATTTATCTGCCTATTAGTTTAGGAGGTTGTTGGGAAGGTACCGTTTTAACAACAGTGAAACCTGTCACTTTTTTTTCATTCCTAACTTACTGTGAAGGAGTCTCAGACAGCAAGGAGGAGATCCAGGAGACAGTGGTATCAGAAAATGGTAGTATTACCATTATTATTTTTTATTTTTTGTTTTTTTGAGATGGAGTCTCGCTCTGTCACCCAGGCTGGAGTGCAGTGGCATGATCGCGGCTCACTGCAAGCTCTGCCTCCCGGGTTCAAGCAATTCTCCTGCCTCAGCCTCCCGAGTAGCTGGGATTACAGGTGCCCACTACCACGCCTGGCTAATTTTTTGTATTTTTAGTAGAGATGGGGTTTCACCTGGTTTATCAGGCTGGTCTTGAACTCCTGACCTCAGGTGATTCGCCTGCCTCGACCTCCCAAAGTGCTGGGATTTACAGGCCTGAGCCACCGTGCCTGGCCAGTATTAACATTATTATCAAGAGTAATGGTAAGCACTCATGGCACATGTTGTATCAGGCCCTATGTGCTGGGGTCAGTGCTTTATGTGTATATGTTAATCTCATGGAGTTGTGATATTGGTGTAATCCAGAGTTTACAGATGAGTAAGCTTGGGCTAGAGAGGATAAGAAACTTTTTTTTTTTTTGGGAAGTTGCACAACTGAGGGTCTTGCTCTGTCACCCAGACTGGAGTGCAGTGGCATGATCATGGCTCACTGTAGCCTCAACCTCCTGGGCTCAAGCATTCTTCCTGCCTCAGCCTCCCGAGTAGCTGGGACTACAGGTATGTACCACCTATGCCTAGTTAATTTATTTTTATGTTTGTAGAGATGGAGTCTCACTGTATTGCCCAGGCTGGTCTTGAACTTCTGGGCTCAAGTGATCTTCCTGCCTCAGCTTCACAAGTAGCTGGGACTACAGGCATGCGCCACCACACTTGGCTAACTTGTTTTTTTTTTTTGTAGAGATGAGGTTTTACTTTACTGCACAAGCTGATCTTCAACTCCTGGGCTCAAGTGACCCTCCCACTTTGGCTCCCCAAAGTGCTGGGATTGCAAGTGTCAGCCACCGTACCCAGCCGGCTTGGCTGCCTTTGGCAGACTCTAACTTCAGAGCCTGCACAGTGAGTTGCTATACCATGACAAACTGATGTGCATTTTAAGATGCTGCAATTCCATAAGAAAGAGTAAGTGATCCCGCGGGAGAAGAACAGGGTTTTTTCCTGACTTGGGTTTGCTTGAATGGCTTATGGGTTCAGGGAAGAAGTGCACCTTTGGGATCAGCTTCAGGCTAGTGAGGGTAAAAAAGGTGCATGGCTAGCTGTCAAAGACCCTTGCTTCTCTGGTGTGGCCTCTGGGCCAGCAGCACTGGCATCTCTTGGGAACTTGCTGGAAATGTACAATCTCGGGGCCCATTCTAGACACCTCCGTATAGGAATCTGTATTGAGGCTGGGCATGGTGGCTCCCGCTTGTAATCCCAGCACTTTGGGAGGCCGAGGCGGGTGGATCACCTGAGGTCAGGAGTTCGAGACCAGCCTGGCCAACATGGTGAAACCCCATCTCTACTAAAAATACAAAAATTACCTGGGTGTGGTGGCAGGCACCTGTAGTCCCAGCTACTCGGGAGGCTGAGGCAGGAGAATCGCTTGATCCCGGGAGGTGGAGGTTGCAGTGAGCCGAGATTGCGCCACTGCACTTCAGCCTGAGTGACATCCCCAGTTGGTGCTAGAGCAACTGCTCTTAACCTTGGCAGCAAAGGTTTTAGAATGTTGATACCTAAGCTCCATATAAACCAAGGGGGTGAGGTCTCTGGGTCACGTTTGGAGATTGGTGTTTCTGTAAAGCTCTTCAGGAAGCTCTTCAGGTGGTTGTCTGTGCAGCCGGGTTGGAGGACTCCTGGCCCAGGCCAACCTCCAGACCTTTTGGAGTTGTTGCATTATGTGATTTGCAACCCTGCTCGCCTTTGGACTGTGCATGGAAATTTCCAAAACACAAGTTGAGATGATCAGCCAGCATGCTCAAAGGCTGGTCACTTGTGTGACAGTGGATCAGCCTGTATGTGTGGGTTTTTTTTTTTTTTTTTGGAGACAGAGTCTCACTCTGTTCCCCAGTCTGGAGTGCAATGGCGACATCTCGGCTCACTGCAACCTCTGCCTCCCGGGTTCTAGTGACTCTCCTGCCTCAGCTTCCTGAGCGGCTCGGGTTACAGGCACCCACCACCACATCTGGCTAATTTTTGTATTTTTAGTAGAGATGCAGTTTCACCATGTTGGTCAGGGTGGTCTTGAACTCCTGACCTCAGGTGATCCACCTGCCTCAGCCTCCCAAAGTGCTGGAATTACAGTTGTGAGCCACTGCGCCCGGCATGTTTTTTTTTTCTTCTTCCTCTTCTCCTCCTCCTCCTTTCTTCTCATTTCTTCTTCTCCTTTCTCCTTCTCCTTCTCCTTCTTCACGGGACAGGGTTTTGCACTTGCTGTGTTCCCCAGGTTGGAGTATAGTGGTGCCATCAATAGCTCACTGCAGCTTCAAACTGCTGGGCTTTGGTAATCTTCCTGCCTCAGCCTCCTGAGTAGCTAGGACTACAGGTACATGCTACCATGCCCAGCTCATTAAGCATTTTTTTTTTCTTTTTGTAGAGATGGGTTCTTGCTAAGTTGCCCAGGCTGATCTTGAACTTTTGGTCTCAAGTGATCCTCTTGCCTCAGCCTCCCATAACACTGGGGTTATAGGGGTGAGCTACCATATCCAGTCTGTATATTTTCTTTGTGTCTTTGTGTGTTTTCTTTTTTGAGACCGAGTCTTGTGCTGTTGCCCAGGCTGGATATATTTTCATTTTTGACTTTTGAAGTCATTCAATTCTCCTGCCTGTTAATTTTGTTGAGTTTTATTTGTAGAAACAGAGACAACACATGTGCAAGGTCATCCTTAGGTTTTAGCTGTTGACTCTAAATGATGTCTAGTCTAATAGCCACTTCTACTAAACAGAAATTGGTTAAGGAAGGGCAGTGAGAGACAGCACGGGGGAGTTGTAATGAGATGGGGGAAGGAAAGGCCAATTTGGATAAAATATATGAGTTATCCTTTGAGCCAGGTTATGTCCTCTGGGTGTTTGTATATATAGAAACCGGTCAACTATGGTATTTGGTTTTGGGTAAAGCAGAGATGAGGGCTTCTGAGTAGTGGACAGAATACTTCTCTTGCAAGAGTTGCTTTTCGAGCTTGTTTATGGATACACATCCATTTTTATTGGATGGAGCAGTAGTATTAGAGAAGACTGTTGGCACACTTTCACAAAGTAGGTAAGGGATTCCTTTTCTACATGTTTAGACTTTACTTTGGCCAGGTGCGGTGCCTCACGCCTGTAATTCCAGCACGTTGGGAGACTGAAGTGGGAGGATTGCTTGAGGCCAGGAGTTGAGACCAGCCTGGGCAACACAGTGAGACCCTGTCTCTACAAAGAATAAACATAAATTAGCCAGGCGGGATGGCATGCACCTGTAGTCTCAGCTACTCGGGAGGCTGAGGTGGGAGAATCGCTTGAGCCCAAGAGTTCAAGGATGCAGTCAGTTATGGTTGTGCCCCTGCACTGCAGCCTGGGTGACAGAGCAAGACCTTGTTAACCACTTACTTAGCTCCTTGGAACAGTCCCACTGAACAAGTCCCCTCATGACACCAGATTGCCAGTGGGCCTGGCTGTTGTTGGCAAATATAAGCTCCTGGTTGTGCTGCCTCATGAACCTAACCATGGGTCTGACAATTTTTATGTCCATGGATTGATTTTATTTCATTTATTTTATTTTTTTTGAGATGGAATCTCGCCCTGCCATCCAGGCTGGAGTGCAGTGGCACGATCTCAGTTCATAGCAACCTCCGTCTCCTGGGTTCAAGTGATTCTCCTGCATCAGCCTCCCGAGTAGCTGGGATTACAGGCATGCACCACCATGCCTGGCTAATTTTTGTATTTTTAGTAGAGACGGGGTTTTGCCATTTTGGCCAGGCTGGCCTTGAACTCCTAACCTCAGGTGATCCACTCGCCTCGGCCTCCCAGAGTGCTGGGATTACAAGCGTGAACCACTACATCTGGCCAGGAAATAATTTCTTCAAGGGTACTTTCAGGGCTGCAAAGTGCAGTTCTTTGAAATACTATTTTAAAATATTTTCTTCAAATCTACTGCAACTATGGGAACTGACTAGTACTGAATTTTATAGACCTGATAGAAATTACTCTAAAGACATAATGTGTCTGATAGTAATGTCCATGTAAGAATTTTAAAAATAATATTCAGCAGTTTCAAATAACACTTAACCCCAAGTTGATAGTAAAAATGTTTTTTGAACCCTAGTTTATATTTAGGTGTTGCTGCATAACCAACCCAAAACTTAATGGCTTAAATAAACAATGATTTAATTATATCTCATGATTTTGTGGGCCAGGAATTTGGGCAGGGCTCAGCTGGGTTATTCTTCCGTGCCACTTGGGGTTACTTGCATGTATTTACCTGGCAGATGATGACCTGGCCTGGAAAATCCTAGATGGCTCCATTCATATATCTGGTGTTTGGTGGGGGTAACTAACTAGAATGTTGGGCTCAGCTGGGACTTTTTTTTGTTTTTGTTTTTTCAGGTTCATAGTTTATTGTACAAATTGAATTATCACATGATGAGTTGACATTAGCTTTTCCATGGAACTTAGATTAGCATGGGAATTTAACAGATGAGGCACAGTTTGGAACCCATTTATACTGCTTTCACAGCTGGAGTTTTTAAAGATCTTAACTTGAAGTGTAAGATCATGAAAGCAATGTCTCTATGTGTCAATTCATCCCACCTGTGTGAGTATAAGAGTTGACTTTTTAATTTTTTTATTTATGTTATGTTATGTTATGTTATTTTTGAGATGGAGTTTCACTCTTGTTGCCCAGGCTGGAGTGCAATGGCACGATCTCAGCTCACTACAACCTCCACCTCATGGGTTCAAGCGATTCTCCTGCCTCAGCCTCCTGAGTAGCTGGGATTACAGGCATGCACCACCACGCCTGACTGATTTTGTATTTTTAGCAGAGATGGAGTTTCTCCATGTTGGTCAGGCTGGTCTTGAACTCCCTACCTCAGGTGATCCGCCCACCTTGGCCAAAGTGCTGGGATTGCAGGCGTGAGCCACCACGCCCGGTTTTTTTTTGAGACAGGGTCTTGCTCTGTTGCCCAGGCTGGAGTACAGTGGTGCAGTCAGCTCACTACAGCCTCAAAATGCTGGGCTCAAGTGATTCTCCCACCTCTCAGCCTCCCGAGTAGCAGGGACTACAGATGCGTGCCACCATGCCTGGCTAATTTTTGAATTTATGTAGAGATAGGGTCATACTATGTTGCCCAGGCTGGTCACAAATTCCTGGGCTTAAGTGAGGCTCTTCCTTTGGCCTCTCAAAGTGCTGAGATTATAGGTATGAACTACCATGCCTGCTCTGAAATACGTTTTACTACCAGTGAACTGGAATTGGGCATCTCCCTCCGGACCTGCCGTGATTTTAATCTTGCCAAAGCCACAATCAATCCCACAGCCAGTGTCCTTCAGTGCAAGCAACCCTCAGGTGGGACTTGTTGACTGGAGCACCTGCATGTGGTGTCTCCAGCATAGAGGCTTCCGGATGGTTGGACTTCTTGTACTGTGGCTCAGGGCTCCTGGACAGTATCCCAAGAGTCAGGAAGAAGCAGCTGTCACTCTCTCAAGTTTTAGACCTGGAAGACAGCACAGCTTTATTGTCCCTGTATTCTATTTGCCAAATTAGTCAGTAAGCCTGCCTAGGTTCAGGGCAGGGCATGCAGACTCCACTTGTCAGTGTGAGGAGTGTCCAAGGCCTTGTGGTCATCTTTATTCTGCCATAGATACGTGTGTATGTGCGCATATGCGTGTGTATCACATATAACATCAAACATTTTTTTTTATTGTTATGTGTCATGTTTCAAAGTCATCTTTTTCTTGATCTGGGCAAGGGCAATAAAATGTATGTCCTGAACTTTTGAAGCTGACAAACTTAAGAAGTAGTTTGTGTTCATATTTCATGAGCCCAAAGATCTAACAACTTTCCCAGGCTATGTGGTAGAAAGAGATAATGATAATAACATCTTAGGTTTATGTGGCATCTTCTAAGAGGTTCAAAGTGGTGGTTCCACTCATTTCTTTATGGGAATATACTGTGAAGTCCATAAGCAGTAGTACCCCCAAGTTCATACACAGAGGTGGGAATGCAGTAATTTCATCATTCTACTAATGAACAGTGTTCAGAAGGCAGTTCTTGTAGTGATCTGTTTACTGATAGAACTTCTGTGAATCTGCCTTTCTTAGATAAGATTTTGGAAAATGATAGAAATTAACTTTTGTGTGCCTGGTAATACATAATATACTATTTATCAAAGAGATGTCATATTTGAAGAAGAGTCAGTTATTTTTCTGAAGTGAAATTCTTTGGGGGAGAAGTTTTAGAGGTATGGCATTGCAGGGATGTCTGTAGTAGATTAAAAAGTCTACATCCTCAGCAGAGGCAGAAAAATACAGTGGAAAGGGTATAGGTGGTTATGTGGCCATCCCTGTACTGAGTATATGGCCAGGACTGAGGGTGACACTGCAAGTGGAAACCCTTGTCCCCTTGTGATATCTGTTCATGAGTCCCCCCAACCCCCACCCCCCGCTGACTGTGGGAGTGTCTCTTTGTACTTACGGGAGATTGAATGGAGTTTTCAAGTATAATTCAACCATATGTTGAGTTTGCTTACCTTTGCTGTTTAGAGCTTATCCTTTGAGTAAGGTGCAAGTCGACTGTAAATGTGGTATTACTTAAATACATTCCATTTTTCTTAAAATGAGATACTTTACCTCTAATTGAAGGTATCAGGGGATAAACAGTTTTTCAGGCACCATTTGTTATGGATTATCTCCTGGTTCATGAATATTGCATTCTTATGTGAAGTGATCCACCCTTCATGTTTCCCCAGAGTAAAATTTTTTTTTTTTTTTTGAGATGGAGTTTCACTCTTGTTGCCCAGGCAATGGCGCAGTCTTGGCTCACTGCAACCTCCGCCTCCCAGGTTCAAGCAATTCTCCTGCCTCAGACTCCCAAGTAGCAGGGATTATAGGCGTGTGCCACCACGCCCAGCTAATTTTGCATTTTTAGTAGAGATGGGGTTTCTCCATGTTGGTCAGGCTGGTCTCAAACTCCTGACCTCAGGTGATCTGGCTGCCTTGGCCTCCCAAAGTGCCGGGATTACAGGTGTGAGGCACCGTGCCCAGCCTTCCCAGAGTAAACTTTCTAAGGATGGCTTTTATATCCCTGACTAGTACAGAGAACTCCATGGGTTCTGTGTGGTTTTCCAAGTAGAATTCAAATTTATCAGCCTGAAAACTGACCCCAGCCTGCCCTCTTCTCTTTACCGCCACGACCCCTTCCTTCCCTCTCCCTGATCATGGCAGAACTGACTCTCACTGCTGCCCTGGAGTCCTACTGCCCTCCAGCTCCCTTGTGTTCGTGAGTTGTCCCTGGCCTGGGATACTCTGCCCCTCCTTTTCCCTCTCCTCTTGGCTCTCCCATTTTTTCATCTGCACTGCTGCCAGAGCTGTGCTTTTTGTTCAGAAAGCTCTTTGTGGCCTCTGCGACGGCCCCCCGGCTCCCCAGGTGGGCTCAAGGCTGACTGCACCACCCTGGGCTTCTCAGTGCCACACCAAGTGCCACTGCTGGAGCCCACACCTGCAGTCCCTGCTGCAGCCCCAGGCATTGTCCAGATGGTGCCTTTGCGGATTCTCCACCCACAACCCAGGGAGATGCAAAAGTAGATTATGTTGAATTCAAGGTATATAAAGAATCACTGTACAAACATGTGCTTTTTGAAAGGAAGTTACTCCGATAATTTTGACCGTGTTATTACATGTTTTATTAGTTGTAAATAATTAAAAGTGGATGAACATTTAAGAGCGAGTGAGCTGATACCATCAAGGAGGATTTCTGCAGTCTCCTTCTTTGGCGAGGGTGTTCACCCAGCAGCCTGTAGGCATGAGCAGTGCCTGGAGTCCTCTGCTTTCTGCTGCCAAATTTGCTGCTGCACAGGTCACTGTAGACCTCCTGGGTGCAGGTGCAGCTCCAGCGGGTGGCGACTTGTTCCTAGGTAGACAGAACAGGGGGACATGTATCCTTGTGGGAAAACAGTGTACTTGAGAACTGCAGGGCAGTCACGACTAATGCTGTTATTAAGAAATACTCCTGGCTTTGTGACTCTGGGTGTTTTTAATCTTTTATAATTAAACATAAGTGAATATTGAGGTGTATTTTAGCATTTGCTGTACTCTGCTAAGTAGAGTTTGTGACGTGTTGATAATGGGAGAATGGGTGCTACTGTAGTAAAGAAAAACAGAGAGCTGGTGCTGGGTGCGGTACCTGTGCCTGAAGTCCCAGTGCTTTGGGAGGCTGAGGCAGGCGCGTCGCTTGAGGCCAGGAGTGTGAGACCTGCCGGGGCAACACAGCGAGACCTTGTACTTTTCTTCCTACAGGGAAGAGCCTGTAGACTCTATTCTGTCTCCACAGGTCTTCTCCCACCCAGCGTTGGGTGGAGCCAGAGAGCTCCGCAAAGAGCACGTGGGCGCACGTCCGGGGAGAGCTAGGGGTGCACAGGTCCGGGGCAAGCACGTGGGCGCGCATCCTGAGGCAGGAACAGGGCGCATATCTGAGCAAGCGAGCACCTGGGCGCATGTCACGAGGCGAGCACGTGATGCATCCTGGGAGGTGGCCGAGGGAGGCTCAGGAGAGATTGGAGTGGAGTTGAAAAAGCAGGAAGCAGAGAGGGAAGTCCGTGTGTAACAAAACATTCAGTTTGTAGGCCCTTGGGTCAGAGGAGGTGACAGCCATAATTTTGGCTCCCTGGGAAGGGTCTCAGGCAGTGTCCTGATTTTTTTTTTTTTTTTTAAACGAGGCAGGGTCTGACTGTGTCTCCTTAGCTAGGGTGCAGTGGTGCAATCACAGCTCACTGTAGCCTCGACCTCCTGGGCTCCAGTGGTCCTCCCACTTCTGCCACTCGAAGTGCTAGGACTACAGTGACTAATTTAAACAATTTTTTTTTGTAGAGATGGGGTTTTGAATCCCTGGCCTCAGGCGATTGTCACAGCTGGGCCTCCCAAGGCACTGGGACTCTAGGCGCTCACTACCACACCTGGCTCTGACGGGTTGAGGCTGTGGGGACCTGGCTCTTTCACTGTCCTTCTTTGCCACATGTCCCCGCGTCTTGTCTCTTCTCGTGAGGGCTGAAGCCATCCTTTGGAGGAGCTCAGGAGCTTGTCCTCTTTATCCAGGGCTCGGTGTTGGCTTCGAGCCGGCTTCCTGGGGAGGAGGCCCCGGCCTGGTCCCGGGCTTGGTGATGACGCTGCCCACAGTGGGATGCTGGGGAGCTTTGGAGCCTTGGTTTTGCGGCTGCCAGCAGTGTGGTGGAGCATCGAGAGGGACGCAGGTGATGAGACTCAGGCCAGTGGCTTCTACCTGGGACTGTCAGGGTTGCCTGCGTTGGCTGTTGGCTCCCTATGTAGCTGCTGCTCGTTGGTGACGGGTACAAGCGTCAGTGCTTCTCACTCAGGGCAGTGTAGAATGTTACACAGTGATAGTTTATGTCTAGCCAGGTTTTGAATGCTCTTACTGGAAACAGTCATATTTCCTATTATCTAACTGAATAGAGAAGTAAGCAGTTGAGAATACAGTTGGGCTGCACTTGTCTTTTTTTCCAAGTGAGTTATTTTGTATTTTTTGATACTCTGAAATGATCAGTAAGTGTGTGTGTCTGTGTGTGAGCCCATGTGCGTGCCACGCATGCGCTTCCCTGTGCATGCGTGTAGGAGGCTGGGATGGAAGGGATGGCCATAACTGACTGTTGGAATTTCCAGGAAAGGCTTGGAATTTATTTTTGGGTCACAGGCCATTTTTTTGGTTTCTTTCAAGCACTAAATGATTTTTTTATGTAACTTCACAGATTAAAGAAATGCAGTCAGTTTTTGTATGACTTAGTAAATCTTAAGGAAAAAACCCTACTTACATTAGGATACATTTGCTGGAATATTTACACAAATCTTACAATAAAACTTTTCATCTTTTAAAATTTTTTATCAACTCAGCCATAACTTATTTATTTTTTGCTTCATTTTAAAGAGAATACTCATTCTTTTTTTCCTCTTTCCTGGTACTTCAGCTTCTCATTTGCTTGCAGCCTCTGCATTGCATGGATGCTGGTTTTTCAGCAGTTCTGGCCCTAACAGAAGCATCCTAAGGATAGGAGGATTTCAGTCTGGGCTTGCTAGCCTTATCAGGGGGAGAGCAGAGTTGCTAAGTTTCCATTCTCTGTCACTTTCAGTTACTCTGCTGTGGCTGCTCAGTGCTGTTCCCAGTGAAATAATTTTAGCATATTTTTTCCTCTTGTTTCTGCATCAGCGTCATTACTGTTCATGCCTCCCTGGGGATCAGACTGATTGGTAAATTAGTGCCAGCAGAGGAAGTAGAAGACAATGTGTGAGCGTGTTTTATTTAAACACATACACTCTACAATTTGTTTTATTGGATTTTGTCCTTTGAGAACACCACAAGTAATCCCATTACAGTCTAGAAACTGCTTGCTCACCACGCCTCCACCTTTGAAAGCACATAAGTCTTTAATAAATGAGGCAATTTCCAGATTCATCAATAATTAACCCAGAACATGACAAGTTTTATCACAACTCAAAGCTTTCCCATGATTCAAACGGTCTGCTCCTGCCACTGAATTGTCTGTATAGTTTCTGGTTCAGCTTCCCAGAGCTCAGGATTCTGCCATGGAGACACTGGTTTGAGCAAGCATACTGGATGTTTTCTTGAAAAATGTTAAGCTTTAATTGTTTATAATAAAATAAATTCATACTTATTGTAGGAAATGTGGCCAGCACAGATGATTTTAAAGAAGATAGTAAACACCCATATTCTTACCACCCAGAATAATCTACAAAAGAGCATTTCTTTCATTTCTTTGCATTCTTTCTGTTTGTTTGTGTATATATAAATACAAATGCTTATTTTTTTGGGGGGGCGGGTGGTAACAGGATCTTGCTCTGTTGCCCAGGTTAGAGTGCAGTGGTGCTATCAGAGCTCATGGTGGACTTGACCTCCTGGGCTCCAGTGATCCTCTTGCCTCAGCCTACTGAGTAGCTGGAACTACAGACACATGTCATCATGCCTGGCTAACTTTTTGTATTTTTTTTTTTGTAGAGACAGGGTCTCAGCATGCTGCCCAGGCTGATCTTGAACTCCTGGCCTCAGACGATCCTCCTGTCTTGGCCAGCCAAAGTGTTTCGATTACAGGTGTGAGTCATGGCACCTGACCAAATGCTTTTAAAAATATTGATAATTGAAATCATAATGCATACACAGTTGTTCCTAGTTACTTTACTTAATTTATCGGTGTCTTCCCATGTCTCGCAAAAATTTTGGTAATTTTTTTCCTTTTTGAGACAAAGTCTCTGTCGCCCAGGCTGGAGTGCTGCGGCACAATTCTTCATGGCTCACTGCGGCCTCGGCCTCCTGGGCTCCAGCCATTTTCCTGCCTTGGCCTCCAGTAGTGCTGGGATTATGGGCGTGAGCCACTGTGCCCAGCCCATAATACTTTTTAGAGGTCGTATAGCACTTCATTATGTGGATATACAAGTATTAACCTAGTTAACTATTGTTGGGAAGTTAATTAATTTTCTCATTTTTCATCATTTAAAATATTGTAATAATCTTAGTGTATATTATTGACAAGTTTTCTGAAGTATAATTATTGGATAGGAAATTATGAACATTTCAAGGCCCTCAGTTTCTGCACTTGGCCAGTTTGCTTTCCAGATGGGGTGTGCCAGTGTATACCTGGCCTGCATGGGAGAGTGCTCTCTGCCTCTGCCAAGGAGGGGACCTCCTGGGTCAGTAGGTGATGGTGCTGCCACTGTTTTTGCAGCCGTTGTTGAGTGGCTGGGCCCAGGACTGCAGTCTCCAGTCTCATTTTGATCATATGTTAGTGGAGCTGTAATACCCTCTTCTCCTTGAAGATTGTATGAGAGATACATATGTAAAGAACCAGACCTACAAGAGATCGAGACCGTCCTGGCCAACATGGTGAAACCTTGTCTCTACTGAAAATACAAAAATTAGCTGGGCATGGTGGTGCATGCCTGTAGTCCCAGCTACTTGGGAGGCCAAGGCAGGAGAATCACTTGAACCCAGGAGGCGGAGTTTGCAGTGAGCCGCGATCGTGCCACTGCACTCCAGCTTGGGTGACAGAGCAAGACTGTGTCTCAGGAAAAAAAAAAAAAAGAACTGGACCTAGAGCTTGGCCCAGGTAGGCAGTGGCTGCGTGGTAGATGCGGTGGTGGTGGTGGCTGATCTTATATCAGGTGTTTAGAGTCGTCCATGTTAATGGAGCAGAGTGCTGAGTTGGGAGATGACATCAACTGGTCCTGCGCTTTCTGGGTGACACACAAAGTGCTTCTTTGAACTGGGGTTCTGTAGAAAATAGTTTGGAAAGCAATGTGTAATATTAATTTTTTTCTTTCCTGAGAATGTTACATGGAGTGAAATTCAAAAGTTTCCTGATGTCTAGATAACTTCCTATCTGTCCACGTGGTCTTGTAAGACCCTTGCATGAGCCTGTCCCATTTGTGCTTTATAAATGCATGCTGGGGCTGGGGCGACGTTACTTATACCTGTAGTCCCAACACTTTCGGAGGCCAAAGCAGGAGGATTGCTTGAAGCCAGGAATTCGCTAGCCACCTGGATGGCATAACAAGACCCTGTCTCTACAAAAAAAAAAAAAAAATTAGCTGGGCATGGTGGTTGTGTTCCTTCAGTCCTAGCTACTCAGGAGGCTGAGTTGGGAGAATTGCTTGAGCCTAGGAGTTTGAGGCTGCAGAGAGCTCTGGTTGCGCCACTGTACACCAGAGCCTGGGCAACAGAGTGACACCCTGTCTCAAAAGTAAAAAAAAAAAAAAAAGGATGTTGGTTGCCCATTTGCTGTGTGCCTTGGGTGTGGACATTTTTCATATATTTTCTCCTAGCCTGACTGGATTATGACTATGACGGTTATCTTTTCTCCCCTTCAAGACATACACATGTAATTTGCTTTTTCAGTCTTCAGGGATTGCTTCCATCTTTAACGAGATATAAAAATGCTGAGTACCTCTCTGCAGCATTGTTTGTGCTGCTGCTCAAATGCTCTGCAGCCTTACTGAGACCAGCTGTAAAGAGCATCTGCCCTTAGCATTTTCCTTGACAAGTCTTGCTTGGCTGCTCACCTTCTTACGGACGTGGGTAACTTCATCTGGTTATCTGATTAGTACCTTGTCTTTCCTTAAGACTCTGCCATTTTGGAATTATTATTATTGTTTTTGAGATGGAGTCTCACTCTGTTGCCCAGGCTGGAGTGCAGTGGCGCGATCTTGGCTCACTGCAACCTTCGCCTCCTGGGTTCAAGCAATTCTCCTGCCTCAGCCTCCTGAGTAGCTGGGATTACAGGCGCCCGCCACCACACCCAGCTAATTTCTGTATTGTTAGTAGAGTTGGGGTTTTTCCACATTGGTCAGCTGGTCTCCAACTCCTGACCTCGTGATCTGCCTGCCTCGGCCTCCCAAAGTGCTGGGATTACAGGCGTGAGCCACTGTGCCTGGCCTATCTTTATATTCTTGGTGTATAGTAGATTCATAGGGATTTTTGCTAAGTCTCTAAGGATTGATAAAAGATGTAAAAGATCTAGCAGTTTTCTGGTTACTTGACTTTTGAGCTGGATGTGGTGCTAATTTTTAGACTAGTCGTTTTAGATAACATGTGTTTAGAGCATTGCAACTGTCTATCTACCAGTTTTTTTGTTTGATCTACCTAAAATAATGATCTCTTTGAACTCTGCATGCCATTTTTGGCCTTCCAAAAACCAAATCTATATATGTATATTGGAAAAGAAATATATGTAGGATCCTAAAACTCATTTTTCAGTTTTTAAAAGGCCCCTAGTAAGCAGTAAGTGTCAGGAGTGGATAAATTTTAAGTGGCTTTTTACAGAGTACTTAAATAGAAACATTAATTGGATCAGTGTGTGGATCTCATGGAGATCTGTCCCTGTCATACGCTGGCAGGCACATTCCATTTCTTTCTAATCCCCAGATGTAATAAGATGCCTGGGTCTGTGGTTACTTGCATTTGCCATTCATAAAATTGCTGATCAGTCCTCCCAGGTGGCACTGTTGTTTATAAGGCTGTTCAAAATGTCAGTGGACTTCTGCCATCCCTAAGAGCCTCCTTGTTATTTCTCTTATGGGGCCTAACTGCTGTAAAATATGTATTTTAACATCTAGTGGGATATATTTCTTTGTTTCTTTGGGCTATTCCTTCATCATCTGTTGACCACTTTTAGTCAATAGTTATGGGTCAAAGCTTTGGCCAGAACACAAAATACTTGATAGGAAGAGTCATTGTGAGAATAAATAACATGTAGTGGAAACTCTGACATTGGGATGGGACATTGAGTGGGCTCATCTGCTGAGAATATTTGCAAGATGGAGCTTCCACAGAGCCTCATGGGCAAAGCCTAAAGAGATGAGTTAGCTGGGTGAGAGGGAAAAAGTAAGTTGTCAGAGTTCTGTATTTCATATGTGATTTCGTTTGTATGTCTGCCTCTGTCTGTTGACATTACGTCACTGATTATTGGCTTTACCACACACATGAGTGAAGAAGAGGAAGATGCGCAGGGTGGGGAGAAATGCAGGGAAGACACTGTTCCTTTTTTTTGAGACAGGGTCTTACTCTGTCACCCAGGAGATGACACGTAACTACATCAACTGGTCCTACATTTTCAGGCGAACATACAAAGTGCTTCTTTGAACTAGGGTTCTGTATAAAATAGTTTGAAGAGCAATGTATAGTATTAATTTTTTTTTCTTCTCTGGAATGTTACGTGGAGTGAAATTCAAAAGTTTCCTAATGTCTAGATAAATTTCTCTCTGTCCACACGGTCCGCCCATGTCTTATAAGACCTTCACATGAGCCTGTCCCATTTGTGCCTTATAAATGCACATTAGTGATGTGATCTCTGCTCACTGCAGCTTTGAAATCCTGGGCTCAGGCAATCCTCCCACCTCAGCCTCTCGAATAGCTGGGACTACAGGCATGCACCACCATGCCTGGCTAATTTTTTTGTAGACATGGTCTCGCCGTGTTACCCAGGCTGGTCTCTAACTCTTGGGCTCAAGCAATCTGCCTGCCTCAGCCTCCCAAAGTGCTGGGATTACAGACGTGAGCCACTGTGCCTGGACTCTTTTTCTTTCTAAAAAAAAAAAGTATGATGCAAAAAATGCTTTTACTTCAAGAAGATTATTCTGTACTTCAAGAGTATAAGTTGCAAAATGCAAAATTAAGGATATAAAATTGTGGATTTATATTTCTGGGGTTTCAAAAGCATAAATGTGTGATACATGTGCAGGTTTTTGGATATTGAGGTTTTTTGAGATTTGAAAAACCATTTATTTTTTAAAAGATAAAGTTATATCTCATTTGTGTGTTTAAACAAAAAGTATAACATCTCAGATAGCTTTGCATAGACAGAAAGATTAATGACATTCCTGCATGAGGCATTAGCAATTATTTTCCCTGTAATCGTCCTTAGAACTCTTTGTCTAGTAGTCCACATATAGAATTTTTCTGCAGCACATATATTAAGTAATCAGTTTAATATTTGTTCCTATAAATTAAATAAATTCCAGTATCCTTTTTAGCCATTTCCAGCAGTCTAAGGCAGGGAGGAAACTTAGTGATGAGATTTCTGGCACTAACTTTTCAAAGAGGACATTAAGAGGTGAAAATGGGAATGAATGCTAGAAAAATGACTGTTGTACATCACAGCAGGGAGGTTTTGCGCTGATGAACAGTGATGTTTCCGCTTGACAGTGTGAGGATATTTAACTTTCCCAGCCTTCCACAAGATGAGAAGGGATGAAGAGACGGGGAAAAAAGGGGAAGAAAATCCTTAAAAAAGTATATTGGGGCCGGGCACGGTGGCTCACGCCTGCAGTCCCAGCACTTTAGGAGGCTGAGGCGGGCGGATCGCTTGAGGTCAGGAGTTCGAGACCAGCCTGGCCAACATGGCAAAACCCTGTCTCTACTAAAATTACAAGAATTAGCCTGGCATGGTGGCGTGTGCCTGTAATCCCAACTTGGGAGGCTGAGGCAGGAGAATCGCTTGAACCTGGGAGGCAGAGGTTGCAGTGAGCCAAGATTACACCACTGCACTCCAGCCTGGGCGACAGAGTGAGACTCCGTCTCCAAAAAAAAAAAAAGTATGTTGGAAAATACCAGGAGAGTGTTTATCTCCACTTTGCCCTACTCTTGTTAGTATTCACATCTTCATTGGGGAATGTAAAAGATCCTAAAACATGTGGGTCTTTTTTTCTCCTTCTGTCTCACATGGGGCTGCAGTTTTCTTTCTTTACTCTTTTATATATTGCTATTTATATTTTATGACTTGGAATACTATTAACTTTTTAGAATACTGATGTTTTTATTTTATTTTTTGAGACAAGTTCTCTCCATCACCCAGGATGGAGTACAGTGGCGTGGTCACAGCTCACTGCAGCCTCCACCACCCCAGCTCTAGCAATCCTCCTGCCTCAGCCTCCCAAGTAGCCGGGACTACAGGCGTGTATCACCATGCCTGGCTAATTTTTAAGAAGTTTTTTGTAGAGACATGGTCTCTTTATGTTGCCCAGGCTCATCTCAAACTCTTGGACTCAAATGATTCTCCTGCTCAGCCTGTTAAAGTACTGGGTCTACAGCCGTGAGCCACTGTACCTGGCCTAGAATACTGATTTTAAATGACAGAATGATAGTTATAAAACTGTGAAAGTTTGAAAAACCACTTAATGAGTTGCTGTTACATATATAGTCTAGTTCCAAGTAGTTAGAAAAAAAAATGCACTAAGTGATTTGGCAACGTACTAAGCCAATAATAGTATTTGCTTTGGAGTAATGGGATTATGGGTTGTTCTCCCTTTTTTTCTTTCTAAAGTTTTTATGATGTGGTTGATTATACTTTTGTGACAAAACTGTATAATCACTTGTTTTTATTATAAATGTGCAAGAGGACTTACATTCTTTTTTTTTTTTTTTTTTTTTTTTTGAAGACGGAGTCTCGTTCTGTCGCCCAGGCTGGAGCACAGTGGCGTGATCTCAACTCACTGCAAGCTCCGCCTCCCGGGTTCACGCCATTCTCCTGCCTCAGCCTCCTGAGTAGCTGGGATTACAGGCGCCCGCCACCACGCCCAGCTAATTTTTTGTATTTTTAGTGAAGACGGGGTTTCACCATGTTAGCCAGGATGGTCTCGATCTCCTGACCTTGTGATCTGCCCGCCTCGGCCTCCGAAAGTGCTGGGATTACAGGCGTGAGCCACTGTGCCTGGCCGAGGACTTATATCCTTAAATGATTAAAATATATCCTGAGGCAAAACTATTCCAAATAAAAATGGAGGCCAATCAGAAATATTTAAAAATTCAGATAAATGTATTTTAGAGAGTGTATTTAGAAACCCAGTTTCTAGATCAGAGTGCCATCATTCAGTGTGTTATACTCCCAAATTAATGCTTTTTACCTATTGTCCCTTGGATTAAGTAAATTCAACTTGACTCAACTAAATCTTAAGGTTTGACACCCTGACAAACATGTCTTAAAATGTTTTAAAGTACATAAGATTTAAAACCTTGGCCAGGCATGGTGGCTCACGCCTGTAATCCTAGCACTTTGAGAGGTCGAGGTAGGTGGATCATCTGAGGTCAGGAGTTCGAGACCAGCCTGGCCAACATGGTGAAACCCGTTTCTACTAAAAATACAAAAATAACTGGGTGTAGTGGTGCATGCCTGTAATCCCAGCTACCTGGGAGGCTGGGGCAGGAGAATTGCTGGAACCCGGGAGGCAGAGGCTGCAGTGAGCCAAGATCACGCCACTACACTCTAGCCTGGGTGACAGAGCAAGACTCAGTCTCAAAAAAAAAAGAAAAAAAAAAAACTTTCCTAATGTTTGTATATTCTCACGTTAAGTCCTTCTTGGAATAAAGTTGGTGTAGAGTGGGGATGGGAGAAAAATTAATCTCCGTAAGTTGCTGGGGTAGAGGTAACAGTGTTTTATGTGTAGAGGAAATAATGTCTACTGTTAAGTCTTTCGATCAGCCAAAAGTGGAGTGGATAGTGCTTAAAATGTTTTGATGTCGTTGTGAGGATTAAAGTTATTTAAAAAGAATGGATGTGGAGTTGATTTTAACATTTTGGGATTAAGAAGGGTGGAGAGTTCTCACTGGAGGTTGTTTGATGTGCCCTAAGGCTGGTTGAGCACCTCTGGCTGCCTCTGAGCATGTTGCAGTCCCCTGTCAAGATTCCCTGGGTAACCTTTCTAAAATTTTGCTCCAGCGCCCAGTGGAGGAGGCTGGATTCTGCCTCTGCTGTCTTAGAACTTCAGTCTTTCCTTACAGGTATAGCTCTCTTCATACACACTGCTTGACTGCAATGTGTTCAGGTTACATGCTGTCCTTAAATCAGGCCTCCATAATTTCTTGGCAGCTTTCCTTTTGCAATCAAATTAGCACTTGGGTCTAGAAGCCAGTTAGGATGATTGGAAGAAAAAAATTACAGATGGTTAAAATTGGGTCAAAGTGCACTTCCTTACTCTGTTCTCTTTACAAGTTAAAAATATCTAAAAAATCATTGCAGCTGTGTCAGCATTTCTCAGTAGGTGCCAGATTTAGGTACTACCTTTCAGAATGTTTATGTACTGTGAAGGGGAAAATCCATTAATTATACAGTTCTGTTTGTCTAAAACGTTCAAGAACATTTCCACTGCCCTCTGCATGTTTGTGATTTTTGGGCCATTCAGTTCAGTCTGGATTATCCGATAGAGCACAGTGTTCTGTCATTGGTTCAGGCATTTGGCTGTCTTACCCCACAGAACTGTGTGTTCTAGGTCGGGGGCAATATTTTATATCTTTTACACTCTGTGTATAGTGCTGAGCATGTTACAGTTGGAAACTGTTAATTAATTTTTGTTCTATTTTCCTGCACTCAACTTTTCCTCCCAGAGGCCCCACCTGAATTTAAGAACAAATAAGTTATTATAAAGTCTTGTAGGAAAAGGCCTGGTATATTTAGAGAATCAGATCCAGCTGTCACCTACCATTCATACAGAACCATACTAACCTTTTCCTAAAAGTACCATCAGGCTGTTGGTTTTGTAAGTTTTCTTTCGTTCATTTTCCTTTTAAACCAAGCCTCATCTGTGAAAGGAGGCTGAAATCTGGCAGACCTCTTTATTATGCTCTATTTGTCCACATGTGGAAACCACCAGAAACCAGTAAAAAAGAATGGGAAGTGACCAAAGAGCAGACAGAAAATACCAGTTGCCCTAGGGAGCACCCAGCTCTTCCAAGGACTGCATGGGTCCTGGTCAGAGGGGCAAGTGAAATACCGCAGCTGCCTCCTGCAGAGGGGTATCTCTTTTACTTGTGAGCAGCGTCTGCAGCTGTGCAGGCTCTCAGCAGTGCTTAGTGTCAGCCATGTCCCTTGATTTATGCTCGTGTGAGCCTCTGCACATGTGGGTGCTCCAGCAGGCTAGAGGGGGGAGGGGTGCCCCAGGTCCCCAGAGGCACAGAGCTTTTTTTGGATACCGAGCCTGAGCTGAGAAGCGTGGGATGCAAGAGTGATGTCCTGCTCCAAGTTCAAGGAAAGTACAAAGTAAGCGGAAATGCATCCCTTCAAATAGAGGAAATCCCAAGTTGCTTTTATGTTTCCCGTTATAGCTGTGTGAAGTCATATCTTGAGGTTTAGCTTTCACGTTGAGTTTCAGCTGCTTTTTATGTGTGGCGTGGTGAATGTTAGTTTTCAGCATTTCCTTATTTCAGCGTATGTTGCCTCCGCACTGATTATTGTCCTTTGTTAGTTTAGAAGTCTTGTTTTATCCAGAGAAACAGAATAGGAAAATAACAGCAATTTTGAATGGCAGCTTCCCCTCCTTTTATGATAAAAAATACAGCTTCTGTAAAAAACTGCGGCAAGAGAAAAGAAAGGGCGTACTGTTGTCCCTGGGGATAAAATAGACAGGAGACCAAAGACTACATTTCTACTGAGCAGTGCTTTTATTAATGAATTCTGGTAGAGTTTTAACAGCAGGGCACGATTTCCTCCTATTGTGACTCCTGATGACCTCCAAGAAATAATTCCTGAATGTCACGCTCATAAGACATTTTTCTGATTATGGGCTTGTAATAATTAGATGTTTATCCCTAGAAAATATTGCCAACAAAAATTTATTAATAGTGCAAAGGAGGTGCTTATGCACCTTATTATGTAAATTGTTATTTTATATTCAACATCATTACAAACGTGTTTTGAGAGGGCTATTGAGATAGATCTCCAAGACATCTGCCGTAAACCAGTACTTGGACTTACAGCCAGTGCTCTCCACATCTCTATGGTAAGGAGCATTCAGGTCAGGAGGTAGAAATGGAAAACCAGGAAGGTATTTGGTGATTAGTTTGTGAAGTTAGTTGTGTCAAGAGCAAATTAATTTTTTTAATAAAATAAGTCTCAGCAATTTTAAAACCATTCATACAAAAGAAGCAGAGTTAAAATGGACTTCACAGTAGTTTCCATGGGGATTACCAGAAGGTGTAATGCATCTTCCGGGGAAAGAAGAAGATGGAGGGAAGTAGAATAGGATGGGGAATCGTAGAGAGTCACAGTTGATTTCAGGTGCCACTCGGTGGCATTACTGTCATTGTTTACTTCCGAGCATTTAGATCTACAGCTAGAAGGGACTCAGAGAAGACAGACCCAAGAAAATCACCAAGGAATTTGCCTGTGTATAGGACTTTGAAATGGACACGTCTCCTTGAAAGTGCCACGTTGGATGTCTCCAGGCATGGATCTTGTCTAGATGGCATTTGCAGTTTTGCATGCTTTGCTATTGAAATGTTCTAGCTAATGAATGTCTTCCACTGCCTGCCTGTGTGTGTCAGGTAATGCATCTTTCTTCACAGAAGGACTGAATTCAGAGGGTTTCTTGAAGAAAATTTAAAAGCTGGTGATATCTGCATAGTTGCTTTATTTTATTTTATTTTTGAGATGGAGTCACGCTGTGTCGCCCAGGCTGGAGTGCAGTGGCGTGATCTCGGCCCACTGCAAGCTCTGCCTCCCGGGTTCATGCCATTCTTCTGCCTCAGCCTCCCGAGTAGTTAGGACTACAGGAGCCCGCCACCATGCCTGGCTAATTTTTTTAATTTTTTTTTTATTTTTAGTGGAGACGGGGTTTCACCGTGTTAGCCAGGATGGTCTCGATCGCCTGATGTCGTGATCTGCTGGGCCTCGGCCTCCCAAAGTGCTGGGATTACAGGCGTGAGCCACCGCGCCCGGCTGCTTTATTTTATTTTATTTTTTGAGATGGAGTCTAGCTCTTTCACCCAGGCTGGAGTGCAGTGGCATGATCTTGGCTCACTGCAGCCTTCACCTCCCAGGTTCAAGCGATTCTCCTGCCTCAGCCTCCCGAGTACCTGGGATTACAGGTGTGCACCACCTGGCTAATTTTTGTATTTTTAGTAGAGACAGGGTTTCGCCATGTTGGCCAGGCTGGTCTTGAGCTCCTGACCCCAAGTGATCCGCCCACCTCGGCCTCCCAAAGTGCTGGGATTACAGGTATGAGTCACTGTGCCCAGCCTGCTTTAGTTTATTTGGATGGTGACTGTAACTTTAAACATATTAATACTGAACAACTAAATATACTATGTATGCTGAAGGATGCTAGATTTTTCTAAGTCAGAATCTGACAGCTTTCTCAGTTAGCTGCTGTTTGTCAGTCCTTTGTGAACAAAAATACTGGTCTACCTCATGTTAAGGAAACGATAGGTGAAATGAGATTTATTTAATCATACCAGGTATTTTAAACAGCCAGCTCTTTTTTTTGGCAAGCTCTTAATGTTATTAAAAACATAATTTGTCACTTAAGTCTTTTCAGCATACATATAGTTTCTTAGTCATGTAATTCATAAAATAGAATTTAGAGTTGAAAGGAACCTAAGAGGTCCCTTCTAAATGTGTAGATCTTCTGAACAGTGTAGAAATTTTCCTCCACCATGTCTCTGCTGGAGGATATTGTCTGTGGCCATGCACTTGGCACCTTTCAAGGCAGCCAATTCTAGGGAATAACATTTCTTATTGGAAAATGCTCTGTTGGCCTGATTGTTGCTGCATTTTCCCCCTTGTTAATTCATGTTTGCCATTTAGCAACACAAACGAAGTCTGTTCCCCTTCATTCATGATGCTCAGTTCTTAAAGCTGAGAACATGATGGTTAAGGCAGCACAGTGAAATTGCCAACTACTTGCCAAACAAGTGGATTTGAACCAGCCTTTGCCTCATTTCTGTCCTTGGCCCGAGGGATTTAGAATCCAGCAGACCGCAACCTTCCTCCCTATTTCCCCTGTCCATTTACAGATGAATACCTGGAGATACCACAAGCTTAAATGTCTTGCCTAAAGCCACACACATTGGCTTGGAGCTTAGTGAGTTTGTATTAGGTACTATAAGTGATTTAGAGCTGATTTAGAGTATACAAGAGGTTATATGCAAATGCTGCGCCATTTCATGTCAGGGAGTTAAGCATCCTTGGATTTTGGTATCCACAGGGATCCTGTAACTAATCCATTACGGATATGGAGGGACAGTGGTACCTCTGAAGGCTGCTGGAGGATAAAGCTCTAACTCAAGAGCCGTGGATGTGGTGGTAACTTGGCAGCAGTCTCTTTCCCAAAGGCCTCCTTGCGGGAGGGAGGGCAGTGCTCATCTTAATTTTCTGGTCTCTTTCCTAGACTCACCATCATTCCTCAGGGAATCAGTTGATTAATTAACAAATGCTTGGCTGGGTGAGGTGGCTCACACCTGTAATCCCAACACTTTGAGAGGCTGAGACAGGAGGATCATTTGAGCCCAGGAGTTCAAGACCAGCCTGGGAAACAAAGCAAAACCCCCATCTCTTAAAAAAAAAAAAAAATTAGCTGACTGTTGTAGTGCATGCCTGTAGTTCCAGCTACTCAGGAGGCTGAGGTGGGAGGATTGCTTGAGCTTGAGAGTTTGAGGCTGCAGCGATTGCACCACTGTATTCCAGCCTGGGTGACAGAGTGAGACCCTGTCTCTAAAAAATAAAAATTATCCAAATGTCTAATGAGCATCTACTGTATACCTGGTGCTGCACTGTGAGGATGCCCTCTAAGAGCCCCCTGTGCGGGGAGAGAGAGGTTGTATAAAATGTTTGCAAAGGTGGAAATGGAGTAGGAGACACATATGTGAGGACATGGGGCTGCAGGGAAGGCCTTCTCAACTCCTCTCAGGCTGATGGTGAGTTAGAGACCAGCCAGGGAAATTGACATCTGAGGCAGATCTGGCTGAGTCCACCAGGGGAAGAGGGTGGGATGGTGGAGGGAAGGGGCTTGAAGGACTGAGTGTAGAGTCCTTTGTCACATAGGAAGATGTCCGTGCTTTGTGAGCAGGCAGGAGTCTTCGAAGGTTCCAAAGCAGGGAAATGACATAAGACTACTGAAGGCCAGGCATGGTGGCTCACGCCTGTAGTCCCAGCACTTTGGGAGGCCGAAGTGGGTGGATCACGAGGTCAGGAGTTTGAGACCAGCCTGGCCAACATGGTGAAACCGTGTCTCTACTAAAGATACAAAAAAAAAAAAAAAAAAAAATTAGCCAGACATGGTGGCACATGCCTGTAAGTCCAGCTATTCAGGAGGCTGAGGCAGGAGAATCGCTTGAACTTGGGAGGCAGAGGTTGCAGTGAGCTGAGATTGTGCCATTGCACTCCAGCCTGGGCGACAGAGTGAGACTCCATCCCCCACCCGCCCCCCCCCCCCACAAAAAAACACGACTGAAAATACTTGGAAATAGTCTCCTTAATTTGTTTTTTTTTGTTTTCTTTTTCCACCAATGGTGGAATTCGGATGGGAGGAGGCTTCTAATTTTCTGCTCACAATGTTGTTCCTTCACTAGTTTGAAGATTCTTCTGTTGTGAAAGACCAAGAGAACATATGATTAGTTAATAGGAGCTGTATTCTATCTGTAGCTTATCTCTTCCTGGCCCCAAATATAGCTTAAAACCTTGCTGTCCTTCCTCTGCTTACTAAAAAAAAAAAAAAAATTGTTCAAGAACTTCAGCTAATTCTGGATTTGTCTTCTGACAAAGTTCCCTGTGGTTCATACCACATTTTTGTTTCCTCCCTGGCCATGTGCTGGCCCCTGAAGTGTTTAGATCTGCTGTTTTAAAAACTGAGCTCCCTAGCCAGTCAGATTAATTGCTTTGGATCATGCCATTCTGTCTTTCTCAGATTGTCGTATGTTAGTGTCTCCTGTGCCACATAAATAGTAATCTCTTGTAGGTGTCTGAGGTATATTTTTCTTGGACTTGTCAAAATTAGTTCTCAGAGCTTAGAGATGGTGTCCTGCTGGGTTTATTGTTCCCTTGTCTTCTTGTTACTAGTTCCAAAATTATATTCTCACTTTCTTCCAGGGTTCTTGGCTGCCTAACTGATCAATTCTTTTTTGGTCAGAGTTATGGATGAATTTTATTGGCTTCGTACTTTTCCAAAATTTCAACCATGAGCCTATAGGGTTGTATATATAAATTTTTAGTAGAGACAAGGTCTTACTGTGTTGCCCAGGCTGATCTCGAACTCCTGAGCTCAATCAATCCTTCTGCCTTGGTCTCCCGAAGTGCTGGGATTACAGGTGTAAGCCACCATGCCTGGCCATATATTACTTTGTAAAATGAACAAAGTTATTAATTGAAAAGCATGAAGGTGGTGAGGATGATAGCTTTGCTTATTGCTTTTTCAGAGGTGGGTCAAGAGTTCTTATGATATGTCTTTTAAATTCTAGAATAATACCTACAGATTTCTCTTTACATCTTGATTCTGTACAAATTTGTGTGGTTTAAAAAAATGAGAGAGTTCTCTCCACTTCTTTGGTTTCTTTAGGCAGTAAGTGACAAACTCTCATAGCAATACTTCATCTACTTTGCTTTCCTTTATATTTGCACCCAAATTTCTTCATTCTCTCACGCATATATCTCTTGTAGTAGATTGTTTGGACAAAGGGCACCTTGAACTGGCAGCCTTGCATTCTGCTTGCCTGCCCAGGCTTGGTCCTGTAAGGAGACTTGTCCTTTCTTTTTGTTTGTTTTTTGAGATAGGGTCTTGCTCTGATGTCCAGGCTGGAGTGCAGTTGTGCATCACAGCTCACTGCAGCCTCAAACTCCTGGGCTAAAGTGATCCTCCTGTCTCAGCCTCTCAAGTAGCTGGGACTGCAGGCACACACCACCATGCCTGGCTAGTTTTTTTGCAGAGATGAGGTCTTGCTTTGTTGCCCAGGCTGGTCTCAACTCCTGACCTCAAGCGATCCTCCTGCTTCAGCCTCCGAAACTGTTGGGATTACAGGTGTGAGCCACCATGCCTGACTGATTTGTTCCTTTTGGTGGTCAATCTTGGTTCAGTAGTATATAAATTTAGAGTGCTGCTGTATTTTGAGCAGCTGCTCTGTCATATGAGCTTGAAATATTGGGTTCTATGCTGCTTCTATGTTGTGTAAGTCTCCAAACTGAAAGGATTTGTGACTTTAAAAAATGCCCACTTTTGCTCATATTTTTTGTTTCCTTTATTTGTTTGGCACTTGTTTTCACAGCGGTGACTTCAGAGCACAATTACTGAGAAACCTTGAGTGTTGATGTAAATCCTCCACTGGGTTCTACTATTACATACATCTTCGTAACTAGGTAAACTTCCAGGAGTCACTGAAATTTGGTATCTGTAAATGAAAAATTATATCAAATACAGATACCAGTGAAATTGCTAGATTTCATTGATGATTTCAGTTCAGTATTCTAAAGTCTGGATGTCACTTAGTACTTGGCAGGATTGCAAAGCAATGACATATGTGCATGCAGGTAGTTTTAATTCAAGCCAATTGTGAGAAGGATGTTTTATTGGTATAAGATCAGTGTAGTGTTGAGTTGGTTGTGGTTTTCAATTGCTGCTTTTGTTTTGGTTTTAAATTATAAATTAGTTCATTTGTCTTTATCATCAGTTTACAGTTGCATTGTGTCATGTGCATTTAACTTATACTAATTCAAGTCTCAATGTTTGCTTAAAAATAATTAACAATATGTATTTTTTTCATGCAACATCTCCTTAAATACAGGCCAGATGCGTTTCTTCTGGTATTCAACCATAGAAACAGCAATCCCTTCCAATGCTGCAGGAAAATTGGCAGGGTTAGGCTTTGTGAAAGGTAATGCAGCACTCAGAAAACCACATGTGCTTACTGTGTGTGCTATTTAAGTAATTTTCAAGGATAATTTTGTCTTAACCTTAGCCTTGATTTTAGAAGCCAAGCCTTGCCTAAAAGGTGACTCCGTGCAGTTTGTGGAGAGTTCTTTGGCCAGATCTATAGGATGTAGTGCTGTGTTTTTAGCATCAGTAGTGCTTTGGAGTTATAATTTCCTAATAATGAGAATTGAAGTCAGGTATGTTTTGCTGTTAAAATATGACTCATTTGTGACTCTGTTTCTAAATAGGTGTGTATTTTCTCCCCTCTGTTTACGTGGTGATAGTCCATTTTTATCACTGAGTTTGTTCTAGTGGAAAGCAGTAGTGGGTGAGAAATGTGGACTGTGTTTAGTAACTTGGAAAGCCACTGGCTTAAAGTAAAGCACATTTTATTTCCCAGAGGTGGGAGTCCTTGGGGGTAGTGATAATGTTGGTTTACTTCTGAACATTTATCCAACTAATCAGTGATGGAATTAAGTCTCTATTATTCTTTCATATTATGAAAGCTTCTAATTGAAAATGCAAAACAATTATGAGGCACTTTAACCCCATCAAGTTTATGAGAAGAACATTAAGTGCCTAGTGGATGTTTGCCCAAAGGACCCAAGTGGGCAATTCACAAAGGAGGGAATTAACCAGTAAAAAGCCACAGAAAAGCACCGAATAAACCTAGTCTTCAGAGACTCAAAAGTTAAAATATTATCCTATATCCTGTTAAATTGGCAAAACCAAAAATGATTAACATACCTGACGCTGCAAAGTCACAGTGGCCTGGTGCATTTGGACGTTGTTGGTGATGTTGTGTAAAAGACTGCATCTTCTCGGAACAGCAATTTGGCATGATTATCAAGATCTACAAAAATGTTCATGCCCTTGCAGTCCTCTGTAATACTTGTTATCCCTAGGGAACTGAAATTATGGGTAAGGATATTCAGTCCCACATTATTTAATTTCCGAAACCATTAGAATAGCTTCAGAAGTTCAACAAGAGGAAAATGGTGAAGTCAGCCACGGTTATTCATTAGAAGAAACAACATAGAGTCTATATAGCAGAATGAAACATGCTTGTACTAGGCCAAGTGAAAAAAGGTAAAACATTAAATGAACACTGATGAGAACAAGGTTAAACATGTTATAACTAACATAATATCTAAGTGTTATTAGTTGTGGGGCAAGCGTTTATAGATGTATTTTCTCTTTTTTTGTTTATAATTAAATTCCTCATCAAAGTAAAGAGAACATTAAAGAATTAGATAAGGCTATGGTAGGATGAAAATGAGATGCTGGGATGACTTTGTTTTAAATCCAAGGAGATGTGTCAGCTGTTTTTGGTGTGCCGTGTGGTTCTACAAACTGCTCATTTGCTGTGTAAATGGATGTAGCTTTCCAAGATGCCTGGGTATGAATGAGAAGTAATTTTGGTAAAGTAACATGTTAAGGGCATATTTTAAAGTTCACATTCCATCTGCTGAGTGTTCTGTATTTGCAAAGGTATTTATTACAGGCTTTCTTGCTCCGTTGAGAATACAAGCTATAGAACCATGTAGAAATAGTTTTTTTTTTTTTTTTTTTTTTTTAGATGGAGTCTTGCTGTGTCACCCAGGCTGGAGTGCAGTGGTGCGATCTCGGCTCACTGCAACCTCTGCCTCCCGGGTTCAAGCAATTCTCCTGCCTCAGCCTCCCGAGTAGCTGGAGTTACAGGCGTCCACCACCACGCTTGGCTAATTTTTTTGTATTTTTAGTAGAGACAGGGTTTCTCTATGTTGGCCAGGCTGGTCTCGAACTCCTGAGCTCAAGTAATCCACCCGCCTCAGCCTCCCAAAGTGCTGGGATTACAGGCGTGAGCCACCATGCCCGGCGTGTATTCCTCATTTTAAAGCTTTAGATCATTTGTATTTACTTTGATTTAAAGATACTGTCTTACATTTGATATTGTCAGTTGGTATCAACATTTAAAAACAGGTTTACAATTGATAATGAGAAAATAACTTTTATTCGAGGAATGCAAGTCCTTTTATTTTTTATTTGTTTTTGAGATGGAGTCTTGCTCTGTCACCCAGGCTGAAGTAGCTGGGATTACAGGGGGCCTTGCTAATTTTTTGTATTTTTAGTAGAGACGGGCTTTCACTATGTTGGCCAGGCTGGTCTCGAACTCCTGAGCTCAAGTGATCCACCCGCCTCAGCCTCCCAAAGTCCGGGGATTACAGGTGTGAGCCACCACGCCCAGTGAGCTTGGGTTTTCTGCTATAGAACTGACCAGGGCATTCTGGATTTGTGAGTGAAAGCAGGAACCCCTGGAGGGGTGCATCTTGCATTCTGCTTGTTGGGCGAGATGAATGTAGGCCACTCTACCTTCCAGACTGCAGAACTTCCTTGGTATTTACCTTTGTGAAAGGGATCCACAAATGACTTTTTACCCCTGCCAGGGGTTGATGGAAGTTGTTTCCAGGTGTGACCCATCTTCATTGGCTTATCCTGGCGAGCTGTTAGGAAAAAGTGTCATTTTAACTTGCTGTATTCCTCTGAAGCTCCAGAATACAAGATCTGAGCTCACTCTGTTGAAAAACTCCTTTGTTTCTACCTGAAAGCACAGGATGTTCATTTCTATCAGATCAGTTCTTTTCTGTATACCAGCCTGAACATGTGTGTGTCTTTGTCTAAGCACCTCTTGCTTCATAAGATACACCACCAAATTGAAAAGAGTTAGTGACAACTGTTCCTTGGCTGGCATCAAAACCAGACACCAAAGAAAAGCCAGCAAGTAATTTTGTAAGACTAGGTCGGGCTGACCGACGTCATTTTTCTTTCTCAGTTTTGTGTAACTTTTCTGTTTTAAAAAATTGTTTTGCATTAACACGCTGACAGAAATATGCTGCTAATGACATAGTCATGATCTTGATGATGGTGATAATAACTGTAGCCAGCCTTCCTTCACTCTTTGCTCCCCATGTGCCAGGCACTATGCTACACGTGGGACCCCTTTAATCTCACAGTGATCCTGTGTGGGGGGCATAGTTGTTGCTGTTACCTCAGATGAAGAGGGGAGGCTGAGCAATGTTGAGTCAAACCACAGGGACAGGCAGAGCCACGTTCTGAGCTGCACCGTCTTTCTTCCTGATGTAACCATTGTGCCCAGCACATTTAGCATCACCATTTGCTTTCAAAAGCCAGAACATTTTAATCAGAGGAATGCAAACTTTTAAAAGACATTATGAATTTACTTTTTGTGCAGTTTCCTGATGAAAATCACAGGGCTTGCATGTTTTCAAGTGACCAATTTTAATACTAGGTTGGTATTCTTCCTTCCCTCCTTCCTCTTGTCTCTCCGTCTTTCCCTTTTATGTCTTCCATCACAGGGAGTTCTGCATCTCCGTTGCAGAACAACCCTGTAGACTTTTAGGGTTTTGAGTTCCCAGAGGAGCATCTCAAAGCCTTTCCAAATCCAATGATGTCAGACCTTAAAGATCACGGGGCCCAGGGCTGGCAAATCCATGGCCTCACTTTGCTGCCCACCTTTCCGGGTCTGTCATGGAAACTGAGAACAGGGCACATCCCTGTCTGGAGTCTTGGAATCTCTACATCATTGCAGGTGATACCCCTAGGAAACTGGAACTTAAGATACAATTTATCTGCCTTTCCTAATTTACTCTGAAAGCAAAAGTTCTAGATTAGATTCCTGTGGTCCGTGGTGGGAGAGTCATCTGTCCAAGGCCACATACCTTGTAAGTGGCAGGTGAGTCTTGACTGCAAGGCTAGCGTTTTCTGCTCTGCCGGGACACCTTGATTTTCTCAGAATGCAGGTCCAGCGCAAGAGTTTCCTGCTCAGAAATGCCCATGGCTCCCTTTCACTTACAGTTCTTCCTGACCCTCAGGGCCTCTAGGATGAAAAGTCTGGGAGCAAGTTACTTCATCACATCCAGATAACCCTTTTATGTGCAGGGTGTTTGGTTGGAGGTGCTGCCCTCAAGGCGTTTACAGGCTAGCCGAGGGCTCGAGGTGTCATCTCCGTTTAAGAATGCTTAGAATACCAGGCAAAAAGTGATAGTTTTAATCAGCAGTAAGAAGTGCTTTTGCAGTTCAAAGGTGTGAGATGATCATGGATTGGCCATAACCAGGAAAGACTTTTGGGAGGAGATGGCATTGACTAGATCTTCATAGAAGGACAGATGTGTGGGCATGGTGACTGAAACAGCATGAAGGGTGACTTGTGTCTAAGGAGCAGGAAACATTTGGCTGGGTGATGTGGTCTGCAGGCAGAAGATAAGGCTAGGAAATGACTGTCCCGGAGGGTCTTGGATGAAGGGCCATCCGCTAATACTGAGGAAGTCATTGGGAGCCAGTGAAAATTTTTGAGCAGGGAAATTGGGGCTGTATTTTAACCAGATGGAGCTGGTTTGATGGTAAGGGTGTACTAGAGAAGGGGAACCCCACATTCTGAATTAATGTCACTTAGGAAAGGACCCCTTGTAAGTATGAAATGGTTATAATTGTGTGTGTGTGTGTATGAATTTGAGAAAAGTGTATAACTGAAGAACACTAGGTATGGTTTTCTTGTTTTTTTTTTTGTTTTGTTTTTTTGTTCGTTTGTTTGTTTGTTTGTTTTTTTAAAGACATGGTCTCTCTCTCCCTCTGTTGCCCAGGCTGGTGTGCAGTGGCATGATCACGGTCACTGAAGCCTTGACCTCCTGGGCTCAAGTGATCCTCCCACTTCAGCCTCCTGAGTAGCTGTGACTACAGGAACGTGCCACTATGTGCCAGGCTAATTTTTGTATTTTTTATGGAGACAGGTTTTTGCCGTGTTGCCCAAGCTGGTGTCGGACTCCTGGACTCAAGTGATCCACCTGCCTCAGCCTCCCAAAGTGCCGGGAGGTATGGTTTTAGACAAAGAAAAAAAAAATTACAGTAATGATTTTCACCTGGAGAGGATAAATGGGAGGAGGTGGGCTGAATTCAGGGCTGACTGTGTTTTTTGGCAGTGTCGATTTGGTGTTCAGTTTTCAGAGGCATTCCGTTAAGCCATTTGGAGGCAGTATTTTAAGTGAGAATGTGGCTATAGGGGTGGGCAGATAAGCTTGTGACTGATTCGGTCAGGGTGTTGGTAGGCAGACCTAGCCCTGGTGGTCGCCGTACCGGTGGTGCTCAGTATCCGTGGAGGTCTGCCAGCATCCTAGAAGCCCTGGGGGTTGGCTGTGCCATCAGCCCTGTGCAGACAGCTGCAAAGCATGACTTGGGGCAGAAGGGGCCACCTTGTTTATGTGGAGGGTGAAGGTTTGCTGACAGTGACACCAGCTTGAGATTGAGAGACGGTGGGGTAATGGAATTCATTCAGTTTTGGCAGGAGGCAGAAGTCAAGGGAGTTTATTGATCCGAGCCTTGAGAGGGCGGGTAATGAGCAGTGTATCTTAGGTGGGCTGAGCGGTAAAGTTTGGGCACCGAGGGTGACGTGAACTGGAGTTCGGCGCTGGGAACTGGATATTCACCTCCCTTCAGAGCTCTGTCACCATGCCTGGGGTGGAGCCGCACCCTGAGTGCGCTCAGCAGGGAGTGGCATGTGTGCAGGGCTTCAGCCAGGGCTGGCAGCCAAGGACCAAGCCATTTGCCTGGCTCCACCATCCAGAGTGCAGAGAAGAAAAGTGGGCCAGAGCCAAGTAAGTTTTCCCTTCTCTTTTTCACTCTGCTGTGACACCCTCAGAGTGTTGAGTAATAGGGCTTGTGAAAGGAAAATAAATCTTGGGGGCCCCAAAATCACTAAGCAGGGAAAAGGCAAGCTGGGAACTGCTCAGGGCAAACCTGCCGCCCATTCTATTCAAAGTCACCCCTCTGCTCACAGAGATAAATGTGTATCTGATTGCCTCCTTTGGAGAAGCTAATCAGAAACTCAAAAGAATGCAACCATTTGTCTCTTATCTTTTATCTACCTGTGACCTGGAAGCCCCTTCCCAACTTCCAGTTGTCCCGCCTTTGCTTCGAGTTGTCCCGCCTTTGCTTCGAGTTGTCCCGCCTTTGCTTCGAGTTATCCCGCCTTTCCAGATGGAACCAATGTTCATCTTACATATATTGATTGATGTCTCATGTCTCCCTAAAATGTATAAAACCAAGTTGTGCTCTGACCACCTTGGGCACTTGTCATCAGGACCTCCCGAGGCTGTGTCACAGGTGTGCATCCTTAACTTTGACAAAATAAACTTCCTAAATTGACCGAGATCTGTCTCAGATTTTTGGAGTTCACAGGCTCATGTATGGAGAACTTGGACAGTAGAATATCCTTAGAGCACTGAAGTCTAGTTAAGTGAGGACTGACAACGTAAGGAGATGTTGAAAAATAGTTTCAAAGAAGAAAAAATTGCACATATGTTTTTGAAAACAAACTCATGCTTCTTATAGAAAGATTAGAATCTCATTGCTTAACATTTATATTTTCATCCCTTTAAAAATCTCTTTTTTTTTTGAGACAGAGTCTCACTGTTACCCAGGCTGGGGTGCAGTGTCACAATCTTGGCCCACTGCCACCACAGCCTCCCAAGTAGCTGGGATTACAAGGGTGCGCCACCATGTCCAGACAATATTTTTGTATTTTACCGTCTGTACTAAAAATACAAAAATATTAGCCCAGGGTGGTGGCGCGTGCCTGTAATCCCAGCTACTCAGGAGGCTGAGGCAGGAGAATCGCATGAACCCAGGAGGCGGAGGCTGCAGTGAGCCCAGATTATGCCACTGCTCTCCAGTCTGGGTGACAGAGCAAGACTCCATCTCAAAAAACAAACAAACAGACAAAGAAACAAACAGAAGAAAGGCTGTAATTGTATAGTCCCACCAGCATACCAAAGTCTTTTTGGAAGTAACCTCTCATTAGCTCAATTAATGAGGTTGAATTAAAAAGTCACGGAGTCCGTCAGGCTGCTGAGTGTTCTGGGCACTCTGTGAGGGCCAGTTAATAGGATGTGCACCTCCTGAGCTGTGTTCCTTTCTCCCCTACCCTGAGCACACGTTTCAGAGGAACATGGCGAGTTCTCAGGTAGCGACGCTTCCCAGCTGCTGTGCCATCAGGTGGCACTCCACCTGTCCCTCTCTATCTCGTGATCTTGTTTTATTTTCTTCAGCGTGTTTCTTACTAACTGAAATTATCTTACATGTTTGACTTTGTCTCATTGCCTAGACTCCCAGCTCTGTTAAAACAAGCACTTTGTTTTTCTAGTTCATGCTGAATCCCCAGCCTTGGGCCCATAGTGGGTGCTGAATATATGTTCATTGCTTGAACTCCAGAGGGTTTCTGTAGCCTCTGTCTCCAGTTTGCCCCAAGCCACTGTCTCAGGCCATCTTTATGAATGACACTGCAGGAGTCCTGGGCGCTGCAGCTCCTGTTTAGGGATGTGCTGCTTGTGGGACCTCTTCTCCCTGGGATGCCTCCTTTCTCGCTGAGTCTAGGTCTGAGGACATGCGGATTCTTTAGGACCTAACTCAGTTGCTGGTTTCTTCCACAAAACCTTTCCTAACATCCTAACAGGCTCTAGTGCTTGCCTGTTTGAGCCTCCGAAAGTCACTGTGGTTATCTTAAAGATGCCTTACACCACGTTCCTGCGTTGTAATTGTGTGCATAGTTGTCTGACGGTAGGTCCTTTTGAGTCAGGGAGTCCCTTGAATTTTTTCCTCAAAGGCCTTTGTTTCTATACCCCTGCTTTTTTTCCTCCTCTGAAAATTTTCTCAACATCTCTCATCTTAGATCTTCTGGGTCTTTTTTTTTTTTTTTTTTTTGTCAATTAAGTATTTTAAAAATATTAGAGCTGGTAGGAATCTTGGCTGATGTCTAGTCTCATTAGAATGTGTATCTGTACTGTGATTTTTCCATTAACTTTTGCCTCAGGAGTTTCGAATCAGCTTTGGGGCTAGTAGCAAATGTAGATAATTGTTTCCTGATTAGGAGTCAGATTTGACACTTCCTTATTGAAATGTTTTGCTGTCTGGGATATGAAGCAGATGGTAGCTTCTGGCAGAGCAGATGTCTGTGTTGAATCAGAGTATTTTAAATCTGCTCTTGTACCTTGAAGTGTTTCCCTTGGCAAATACCCACTTCTGACCTGCTAGTGTCAGCTTTGGGTGATCCCCCCACGTCCCCCATACAGGATTACACAGATCCTTACTAAGAAGTCTGATAAAATACAAGTAATAAAACATAATTTAGTATTGGTTAATCCATGATGCTTTATTCTGATGCAAGTACAACGTGTTGATTGACTTGGTAACCAGTGAATCATTAATAAATGCACTGTTAACTTGGACTGTTGATTCATAACACTAAAAGGAGTAATTTCAATAAAAGATAGTTTGATTCTTCAGATTCCCTATTGGGGTGGTTCAGAGCACAGACTGTAGGTAGGCTGTCTGGATTTGAAATTCAGCTCTGTGTAATCTTTAGGCAAATTACCTAACATTGCAGTACCTCAGTTTCCTCATCTGTGGAATGGGGTGTGTGTGTAATAATAGTACTTACTTTTAGGATTGAATGAGGATCACATGAGTTAATAAATGAAAATTGTTGAGAATGTTCCGTGGCTCACAATCCCTGCAGAGATGTTAGCCACTTTAATACTACCATTAAGGTCTCTTCTTCCTTCTCCTCTGAGAAATAAGCGCTTAACGATATCACTGCTCCTGTTTTTAGTACAAAGGCTGGATGAAGCCCAAATCTTTTTTTTTTTTTGAGTCTTACTCTGTTGCCCAGGCTGGAGTGCAGTGGTGTGATCTCAGCTTACTGCAATTTCTGCCTCCTAGGTTCAAGTGATTCTCCTGTGTCAGCCTCCCGAGTAGCTGGGATGACAGGTATGCACCACTATGCCTGGCTAATTTTTGTATTTTTAGTAGAGACGGGGTTTCACCATGTGGGCCAGGGTGGTCTCAAATTCCTGACCTCAGGTGATCTACCCGCCTCAGCCTCCCAAAGTGCTGGGATTACAGGTGTGAGCCACTGCACCTGGCCGAAGAAGCCCAAATCTTAAGAAGAAATGCTCTACTCAAAACCATGCCTGGTTTATGTAATGTGGCTTTCTTTCTCCTGAGCTGGGGGTTGCACTAGCTGTTACCTGGGACACAAATAGTATGGATGGAATGCTATAAATCGGAAGTATGGGTTTTTGGACATCTTGCTTAGATTTGAGCTTTCACCCTTAAACTTTGTATTTTTCTTTGGACGGAAGTATTGGATAAAGGTACCAGAAAATCAGTGCGTTGAATTTGAACTGTATCTTTTTGGGGGAAGGGGCAGGTGTGTCTTTCTCTCAATACTATGTTTACTTTTGGCTCTCGTATACCAAAAGGAAGGGAGGATGCTAAAGTCTAATAGTTGGCAAATAGCTGTCTTTCCTGCTGTGGGTGGCACTGAGAAGGATGAGACCTAATCCTAACTTCGTAAACTTTTCATCTTATAGGAAGGTGAAGTACATAGATTATGGACAGTGCAGGCTGTTTATGAAGATAAATGTTTTCATCTTAACAGTACTTTGAGCACTGTGTGCTGGGCTAATGAGAAACACAAGACAGCCAGGTGCTTATCTATAAGAGCTGTCTCAGAAAAGGTGGTTCAGAGCCAACTTGTGAGGGAAACCCTGCTCCCACTCCTGGGCTCAGTTTTGCCTTCATTTTCTTTCCAGTCAACAGTTCCCACCATTTACCTCTTAGCACACTACCCTTAACACACACCAAGCTATTTTTTTTTTTAGTAATGTTTCATTATGGAAATTTTCAAAGTAAACAGAGAGTAGAATAATGAGCACTCAGGCACCCACCACTCAGCTCCAGCAGCTGCCGGCACAGACACATGGCCGGTCTTGTTTATCTGTAACTCCCTTCCCCACTTCCTCCAGTACCTGCTGGATTAGTTCAAAGCAAATCCCCCAAAATATATCATTTTTCCTATAGATTCTTCTACATGTATCACTCAAAGATGAGGAAGGACTCTTAAGGAATTCTATTTTAAACTGTATTTTCCAACCACCATTTTTTATTCAAGGAGATTGCATTCATTGGCTAAAGTACGTAGGCGGGCCATAACATGTCAGGTGAGTGTATAATTAGGAGATCTTATATTTAATGAGCACCCTGCATTTAGAATGCCTTCCTTCAGAAGTTTCAAAGAAATCCTAGGTTGCCCATTTTCCTTAAGGTCTTGCAGACAAACTCTTGTTGATTAAGAAATTTCTATTGGGTTTCTTGAGAATCATAAAGCTGCAATAATATATGACCAGTGCCTGGGTCATCTTCCCAACTAGCATGCAGGACGGTGATGCACCTTAGTCCTTGAGGAAGCCAGGTATGAGCAGTCCCACGGTGTTGTACAAATTCCGTTTTCTTTTTATGCCATTGAGTATAAAAGCTTGGGAACCAGTGCCTATTTATTGGTAAACTAAGTGAAAATCCAGTGACTTCACTGACATATTTGGATCTTATTAGTATATGGCTGGGAGGAGATTAAGTCATTTGAATTTATTTCAATTCTGAAAAGAAAGTGCTGCCTAAAAATTATTATAGTATTTGGGAATATTTCTACCCAGTATACATGGTGGCAGAAAATCACATAATCTGTGTTGTGGCAAAAGCATTGAATAGGAAGCCAGGAGATGTGGGTTCCAGTACCCACATGCCGTCTCTCCTGAGTACCCAGGTGGCCGTGGGCTAGACACAGCTGCAGGTGTCTAGTTTGTAGGTGATGGGTTAGAAATGGGCTGTAAATGAGATGAAGATTGCTTTGGCCTTGGTGGGGTGGAGTGGTGACATTTATCCTTACCTTAAAGCTGATAAGTTCATGGTGATGGTTCTCAGCCCCATATGACTCAACATCTCTATTTTTTCTTTTAATTTTGAAATAATTACAGATTTGCAGGAAGTTGCAATGATACAGGGAATGACCCTGTGTCTTTCTCCCACCTTCCCCCAGAGGACACAGGTTGGCAAGCTGATGCAGGTGGGTGGCATTGCCACTTAATATCACAGACAACCTTGCTGCAGCCCTCAGCTCTTCAAAAATAGTGACCTTTCCTTAGAAAGTTACTATTTCAGGAATGCATTGCCCATGCACTGTCAACACTGGGCAAAAATACTTTGTGTTTATGAGCTCAAGGCTCAGAAAATTATAGACAAATTTCTGACCCGAGTGTCTGGTGGGACCTTTAGATATTGAAGACAATTTCTTCCTTTTGTGGGACTGTCCCACACATTGCAGAATGTTTAGAGGTCCTTGACCTCCGCCACTAAATACCAGCAGTGACCTCCAGTCATTGTGACAACAAAATTTCCAAAATGTCCTCTGGGCAGTGGTTCTGCCCCTTTAAGAACTACTAAGATGGTGAACAAATACGCCTTCTGATAGAATCTGTCCCTCAGTGCCCCCACTGGCATGAAAATTCTCAGTGTATGGAGTGTTGATTTGAATCATGTGATAATGTTGATGGTCTGATGTACAATGTTTCTTATTCTTAAAACATACCAGGTGTGTATTATATTTGCAAAGTAAATGTAGTGCTTCTAGTGGTAGCTGGTAGGTTTGCTGGTAGCTGAATGTGGGAACCCTAGAAGTCATGTCTATGGCTCATCTTCACTGTGAGTGCAGAGTCCTGCCAGCCCAGCACAAATGGCTAGTGTTTCTTCATCAGCAACAGTCATTTTCCCCGACTCCCAGTCTCCAATACATCAAGACTATTTTGTGGAACGTAAGAGTTTTTGTCAAGTATTTAACATCATATAGATAGAGCCTTTTAAAAAGTAAACTTTTGGCTGGGTGCAGTGGTTCACACCTTTAATCCTAGCACTTTGGGAGGCTGAGGCTGGAGGATTGCTTGAGTCCGGGAGTTCAAGACCAGCCTGGGCAACCTAGTGGGACCCCATCTCTACAAAAAAAAAAAAAAAAAAAAGTCAGGCATGGTGGCATGTGTCTGTGTTCCCAGCTGAAGGCTGGGATGGGAGGAAGGCTGAGGTGGGAGGATCACCTGAGCCTGGGAGGTTGAGTCTGCAGTGAGTTGTGATCGTGTTACTGTACTCCAGCCTGGGCGACAGAGTGAGACCCCATCTCTCTCTCTCTCTCTCTCTCTCTGTCTCTCTGTCTCTTTGTCTCTCTCTCTCTCCCTCTCCCTCCCTGCCTCTCTCTTTCTCACACACAAAAAAGTAAACTGTTTAGTAAAGTGGGTTGATAAATGTTTTAGGGTTTTGTTTTAGAACCTGAACCTATTGTAGGAGTGACCTGGGTGACTTTCAGGTTTGGAAACAGCATTAGAGTTTCTATTTATGTGATTTTCTTTTTTAAAGACCAACTTATTTCAATGTCAATAAAAGTATGGGTGTAAACTAGGGCTTCAAAATAGCTTCGTGAAATAAAATTGAATGCTCTTTTGTGGCTGTGTTCAAATCACGTATACCTGTATTTATATTTTATATATATGTATTTGTATTTATATCTATGTTATGTTTATATGTGTGTAAGCACTTTTTCTAATCCCATCCTTGACACATCATCCTCCCTGGTTCGTTTATCATGATATACATAATTTTTTTGGTGGCTGTACTTTGTTCCTTTAGGACTCATCGTTTTCTTAAGTAGAACACCATAGCCCTTTCTTTGTAGAAGTATAGTGCACTGCAGAACATAAAATACTACAAAAAGATAATGGAAGGCAGGCATTTGTCTTTGCTTAACATTGATTCTCCAGGGTAATCTGCTCATTTTAATCATCAAGGGAGGAATGCTGAATCATTTTATGTGAGTTAGTAGAAGAAATAGGCCATTATTTGCCACTGGAAATCTCCCAGGAATTTTATAACTTGGCTATATTTCTAAAATGTTTCACTAATTACTTTTTAGGACTGAAAAATAATCAATCTGATTTGTTTTGTTTTAAACTAGCCTAGATACCAGAATATGTGTATAATTTTTTTTATGTTTGAAAGATAATCCAAATGGGGATTCCTTTTATTTTTTGACAGAGTCTCGCTGTGTTACCCAGGCTGGAGTGCAGTGGTGTGATTGTGGTTCACTGCAACCTCAGCCTCCTGGGTTCAAGTGATTCTCCTGCCTCAGCCTCCCGAGTAGCTGGGACTATGGGTACACGCAACCACACCTGGCTAATTTTTGTATTTTTAGTAGAGATGGAAGTTCACCATGTTGGCCAGGCTGGTCTCAAACTCCTGACTTCAAGTGATTTGCCTGCCTCAGCCTCCCAGAGTGCTGAGATAATAGGCATGAGCCACTGTGCCTGACCCCTTTTGTTTTTTTAAGGCTAGGTACTTGAATATATTTGTGTTTCACCCCACTTTTTTTTTGTTTTTGGTTGAATTTTATGTCCAAATAATGTTATATGTTCTGTGACAGGATCATATATAAAGAAATATATTAATTATCCAATTTAATTTAATTTATTTATTGCAGTATAACACATTATCCCAAAACTTAGTGGTTTAAAAAACAGACATTTACTGACTCATAGTTTCTGTGGGCCAGGACTTGAGGTGTGTGTTAGTTGGATCTCCACGGCTGTCTGTCTCAGGTTGCAGTCATCTGAAGGCTGGAGCAGGGCTGGGCATTCTGCTTCCAAGCTTATTCAGGTGGTTGTTGACAGGAGGTGTCAACTCCTCACCACATGCAGCTCCTAATCTGAGAGAGAGCCAGTGAGTGCCTAAAACAGAAGGCACATGCTCTTTATAAACTAATTTGGAAGCAACATCCTGTCACTTCTGCTATTATATTAGAAGTAGAATGGGGCTGGGCACAGTGCACATGCCTGTAATCCCAGCGCTTTGGGAGGCTGAGGCGGGCAGATCACTTGAGGTCAGGAGTTCTAGAAAGCCTGGCCAACAAGGTGAAACGATCTTCTCTATTAAAGATACAAAAATTAGCCGGGCATGGTGGCAGGTGCCTGTAATCCCAGGTACTTGGGAAGCTGAGGCACAAGAATCACTTGAACCCAGGAGGTGGAGGTTACAGTGAGCAGAGATCCTACCACTGCACTCCAGCCTGGGTGGCACAGTGAGACCCTGTCTCAAAACAAACAAAAAAAGTAGTAGATTGGGACCAGGCATAATGGCTCATGTCTGTAATCGCAGCACTTTTGGAGGCCAAGGTGGGAGGATCACTTGAGTCCAGGAGCTGGAGACCGGCCTGGGCAACATAATAAATACTGTTTCTACACCGCTGCGCTGTCCCCCACACCCCGCCTGCCAAAAAAAGGTAGATTGGGGAGGGGTTTACACAGAGACATAAAAACCAGAAGATAGGGAGATCATTTTAGAGGCTGCCTCCCACATTGAGATTACTTACATAATATAGTTGGCTAAGATTGGAATTATACTAAACTTGTTGAAACCTATATACCTAGTGGCATTGTGAAAGATTTTGACAGGTAAAGTCATGTGCAAATACGAATAAAGGAATTCCACTCCCCAAAACGAAGTATTTTTAGATTCATAAGTGTTCTCAGCTAATAAAGTAGACAAAAATCAGAAAGCGCAGCAGTATGTGCAGAGCTTTTCACATGATATTAAAAATTAAGCCATAAGGCAGTTTGTCTCTTATTCCACATGTGGAATAAAGTGACTTGTGAAATGCCATGGTGGGTGCCTTTATTCAAGAATCCTCTTCAGTAGTATTTTTACCGCAGCACACACGTTATGCTGGCTGAAATCCTTGTGCGTAGCATGTTGCCTGCTGAAAATAATTCTGCCTTGGCCTTAGGCGATGTGCTGTTGAATTGGCTGCCTCAAATTGTCCCTCTCACTTCCTGTTTTATATGAATACTTTTTCTTTGCTCTCTTTTACTTGCTTAAAATCGGAATGTTTGATTGCTATGTGCATCATCCTTCAGTGAAATGTTTGAGGTGGAAAGTTCTAGAAGTTTCTTTTTCCCTTTTGTTGATGCGTGGAATAGATACCAGTCACTTTTAGAAATACTTGGGTGGTTCTAGCTAAAATGTGATATTCTACTTTAGCAAGGCCACTTGTGAAACAGTTCTCAAGAGCACAGTGTATCTAGTAAGTGCTTACTCATTGATTAAATATTATGTACATTGTTTTTCTTCTAATGTGATAGGACCATTTAGGACCTAAGTTTAAAGATTTACACGTGTGAATAAAATCCGTTGCATACCCTGTTCTGAGCCAGTTTTCTATGCCGTAGTATATTTCTTTGGTTCCTATTAGAAAAAAAAAAGTGCTTCATATCCAATTCTCATTGAGTTGTATCTATTCTCAGTATTGAGTTTTTTTTTCTTTTTTTCTTTTTAAAAAAGTTTCAGTATTGAATTTTGATTACTGGAAGCCATTTAATTTTGTCTTCATTTATTTTAGTTTTCATTTATCTTCAGTGCCTATGATTCTGTAGCTTTTTCCTTCCGCCTCTTTCTATTCTTTTTGTGCAGCAAAAATCATCCTCCATGTCATAGTCTTTGTTTGCATAACCTGTTCTGTCTGACACAACCATCTATCATGACCTAATTTAGCCGTTTCAGTCACACCTAGTATAATTTATACCATGGGGGAATTTCCTGTGCTGTTAAACCTTCCTTGTCATCCGTCACCAACTTAAGGAGCTTCCAGGTGTGCCCTTTCACAGGGTGGGCTTGGACTTTTCTAGTTCTTGCATTTTAGGTAGGAGCTGTTCTCAGGAATTTTTTTCTTCTGTGAATGAGTAAAGTGAAATTAATCCAAACTCAGTGCTTCCAGGATTAAAACACATTTCCATATTACACTGTCTGTAAGTTGAAGGGCCTTAGTGCTTGAGTGCCCCAACTAGAAAATGACTCATCATGAGGTGTCCTTCTGTAGACAGTGTGACGTGATAAGAGGAAGAAGGAAATTGTGGGCAACACAGTGACTTCCCAGTGACAATTCACTTGCCTCTCCTAATATCCTTCATTCCAAAGCTGCTCTTCTGCAGATGGTTATGAGGCATAGTGTGGTGGAGTGGAAAGACTTTGGAATAATGCTCTGCCACTTTCTAGCTGTGTTATTTGGAAAAATTGCTTACCTCTCCCTGAACCTGGGTTTCCTTATCTGTAAAATGGGGAGCATACTACCTTTCTTGAAGGGATTTGTTAAAAAGAATGTGTAAAATAACATATAGCAGTGGCATGTGGAAATTGTTGGATACTCCAAAAAAGTTGATGTGATTTTAAAACTTTTTCTTTACTCAGCTAATGTTTATCCTAGCTTTTCTCATGTTAGTACTAAGCCCTGATTGCATGAGGTTTTCTTAAAGTGGCCCATGTAGATAATTATAGCATTTTCTAGCATTTCATAGTTTAGGCCAATATTGGATTACAGAATGAATACTTTGAGTGCTTGCAAAGGGGTCAGGAACAGATGCATTTTTAGGAGTATCAAAGTCTGCCAATAAGGAAGCTGGTTTAGGAAATTAAATTATATGCCCAAACATTTTATGTCTACAGATGCAGGTTTATCTAGAAGAGAGGAGAATTTTCTAATAGTATACTGAAGCATCATCAGCAGAACCCTTCCAGTGCAAGGACAAAATGGGGCATCGTTTACTCTGAATTTTATGACCAGCGGCAGAAAAATGTGTCACTGATGAGGTTAACTGGGGACCAGAATCCTGGGCATGGTCCTAGTTGGCATGAGTAGAATTTGCAATGGTTTTCAGGATGTATTTTCTTCTTTTTTCTTTTCTTTTCTTTTTTTTTTTCTTGGAGACAGGTTTCGCCCAGTGGCACGATCTTGGCTCATTGCAACCTCTGCCTCCCTTGTTCAAGCGATTCTCCCACCTCAGCCTCCCGAGTAGCTGGGTTTATAGGCGTGAGCCACCGTGCCTGGCTAATTTTTTTGTATTTTTAGTAGAGATGTGGTTTTGCCATGTTGGTTGGCCAGGTTGCTCTCGAACTCCTGGCCTCAAGTGATCTGCCTGCCTTGGCCTCCCAAAATGTTGGGATTACAGGCATGAGCCACCGCACCCGGCCAGGACATGTTTTCTTAAAGACAATTTAAGAGTCAGGAAGTGGAAAAGGAAAGACAGGTAGATGAAGGACAGGCTGTAGCATGTCACACCTCACAGTTATTTGCAACTTTCTGTTAACCAGATACTGTGTTAGATGAGAATAAGAACTTAAATTTTTTATTTTTAGTGCTGACTAGTAATTAACTATAATTTTCAGTCATGATCACTGTGTTTGAACCTCCTGTGCAGATATTGTGGAAATATGTATTTTAGATGTGAGGAAGTTCTAATATAAATGAAGGCTCTAAGTAAAGAAAAAGATGCAAAATGCTGTCATAGACTTCGAAAACAGATTTGGATAAAAAACATTGCACCTACCAGAGGAATCAAGGAGAAATTTTTCCTCACAGATATTCAAGACATTATGTTATTTATCTTGTTTATGACTTTAGAACCTTTTTTTAGGGGGATGACAGTACCTTTTGGTGATTTGAGTCTAAAATTTGAAACTAAGATTCATGCAGAAAAGTAAAAGAAGAAAATTTTCGGAGAAGAAAGCAGTGGTTGAAAAATCTGTTAGCAGTGTTCCCTTTTGTCTTTTCAGCCTGTTCACCAGGAACTCGGAGCTTTGCACTGTGATTATTTTATTGGTTCAAAGGACAGAGATTGTCTTTAAAATGATGAATGGCTTTGATTATGTGTAGTGGCTCACACCTGTAATCCCAGACTTAAGGAGGCTGAGGCGGGAGGATTGCTTGATGCTAGCAGTTTGAGGCCAGTTTGGGCAATGTAGTGAGACCCCATCTCTATAAAAAGTAAAAAAACTAGTCAAGTGTGGTGGTGCATGCCTGTAGTCCCAGCTACTTGAGGCTGAGGCAGGAAGATCACTTGAGCTCAGGCGTTCAGGACTACCACTACGCCACAGCCTAGGCAACAGAGCTGACTCTTTTTTTTTTTTTTTTTTTTTATAAGAAAAAAAAAAAAGGTGCATTGGCTGGGCGCGGTGGCTCAAGCCTGTAATCCCAGCACTTTGGGAGGCCGAGGCGGGCAGATCATGAGGTCAGGAGATCAAGACCATCCTGGCTAACACGCTGAAACCCCGTCTCTACTAAAAACACAAAAAATTAGCCAGGTGTGGTGGCGGGTGCCTGTAGTCCCAGCTACTCAGGAGGCTGAGGCAGGAGAATGGCGTGAACCCAGGAGGTGGAGCTTGCAGTGAGCTGAGATCGTGCCACTGCACTCCAGTCTGGGCAGCAGAGTAAGACTCCGTCTCAAAAAAAAAAAAAAAAAAAAAGGTGCATTTTTTTGCCATGGGGAGATTGGAGGAGGGAGGGTGAGGGGTACTGCCAACCTGTACAGTGATTTCAACCCAGATTAGCATCCTAGCCCCTCTCTCTGCTGGTTTGGTTTAACAACTTATTGTAAGTTTGGTGCTCCTGTGTGAGACTAGAGTAAAGGACCATGGGCATCTTCATGGTTGTTGGGAAGCTGTTAGTCCCCAGAACTAGAGCAAGTGGGGCCAGTAGGTACAATTCTCAGATATGGTGGCCTTTGAAGCAGGTAAGCACAGCCTGTCTTGGGCCTTAACATTAATGCCTGTCTTGTTGATTTGTCATTATCATTTTAGTTTTGTAATTGGTTGATTGAGACAGAAGGGGAAAAATGGCAAAAAAAAGCATGTTATATATGCTTAGGATGGAATGTTTTCTTTTTCCCATTCCTCATCTCAATTCCCAGTTTAATGCCAAATCTTTGAGTATCCATATTCTTGAGGAGAGACTGTTCTTGGAAATCATTTGATGAGAAAACTGCTGAGAAGCTGATCAGATGCCAACATCAGAGGGCAGTTTAGGTTATCTGCTAACTACAAGCAGATCCAGATCCTAGTAGCACTGAGCATAGACAGACACCAAGTTATGACCTCTCAAGTTGCTAGTTGAGCCTCATGAAAGGAAGATTTGCTGTGGGAGGGCATACCCTTGCACTGGGCTCTTGTGATCGGCCCAGCAATTCTTTTTCTGTTATTTTTTTTGAGACAGAGTTTCTCTCCTGTCACCCAGGCTGGAGTGTAGCAGTGCAATCTCAGCTCACTGCAACCTCTGCTTCCCTGGCTCAAGCGATTTTCCTGCCTCAGCCTCCTCAGTAGCTGGGATTACGGGTGCATGCCACCACGCCCGGCTAATTTTTTTTTTTTTTTTAATTTTTAGTAGAGACGGGGTTTCACCATGTTGGCCAGACTGGTCTCGAGCTCCTGACCTCAAGTGATCTGCCCGCCTCAGCCTCCCAAAATGCTGGGATCACAGGCATGAGCCACCGCGCCCAGCCTCGGCCCAGCAATTCTTCTTGAAGCTGTCAGTCATCCTTTGCCTCATTGAAAATGTCGATTTTTGGCTCACTCTGCCTGTTTTAAGGACCTTGGAAAAGTGACAATCTCACATTGACCAAAACTTTCCATTTGCTCATAAGCTTTAAGGACTTCTTACACGTAGTCTTGTGTCCTTGTGGTCAAGGATGTAGGTCCCTGCTTATAAGCCCCACCTCATGTTCTCATCACTGTTGACATCATGGCTTTAGCTGAAGTGTCTCTTTCTGTTATTAGTTACTCATAAATGTCGTTTATTAACAGGAGGAAGGTTATTCTTAGAATTATTTCTGATGAGGTATTTGTATGTGTATAGTTTAAGTCAGGGGATTGTCTGTAATCCAACGCAGTCTGAAATAGTTTTTGGAGGTTGGCATAGTTTCATTTCACCCTGTCCAATTTGTTCAGAGAAGCCTGGAATTTTTACATGTTAGTAAAAGAAAGAAAATCTGCCTGATTTAAAAATTAGTGGCTTTTAACAATTGTATCTATGATATGAAAAGGAGAGATTTGTTGCAACAAAAGACTTTCTATTAATAAAGTATTTGAGTATTTTCTGTGTAGCCATGTGGGTGTGTACACGATAGGTAAATGTAAAATATGATCCTTGCTTTTAAAGAACTTGCTTATTTGGGAAAGTACAGGACAAAGCACGTGATGTTTCATAAGACGGGTTGTAGAAAGAGCTACTTATGACTTGAAAGTGTTTTTATTGGTAAGGTAAATAGATGCTTGTATGTTTCTCAATAAATTAATCTAGCAGTATAAAAAATTCCAGGCCAGGCATGGTGGTTCATGCCTGTAATCCCAGCACTTTGGGAGGCTGAGGCAAGAGGATTGCTTGAGGCCAGGAGTTCAAATCCAGCCTGGATAACATAGCAAGATCCCATCTCTACGAAAAGTAAAATTAGCCACATATGGTGGCATGTGTTTATAGTCCCAGCTATTCAGGAGGCTGAGATGAGAGGATCACCTGACCCAGGAGGCTGCAGTGAGCTATGACTGCATCAGTGCACCTCCAGCCTGGGCAACAAGGAGACGATGTCTCTAAAAAAAAAAAAATAAATAAAACCAGAATTCCATATGTTGTCTGATCTACGATGACTATTTTTGTTTTTTCTACGTTATCATAAAAAACACTTATTCAGGGGAAGCCACTTTAAAAGTATCCTAGATGAGAACTGTGTGCTCCTTTTTGTTTTAAGGTTGTGTGTTCTCCCTTGTCCTTTCCCTGACTCCCTGCATACTTTGAGATGGCTTGTGCAGCCCCGGCTTTTGCTTGGCATACTCTTCCTGTCTGTGATTCTCTGCTTCTCTCCATGGCTGGATTTGCTGGTCTAGAGATACAAGAAGATTTGAAACCTATGTCCTCTTGGATTTTATTAATCAAACATATGCATGTCCAGAATTCACACAACCCTCTGCCATGCCCTCCAGGGATGGGCTACTGGGAGGATATTTTTATCAATAAGTAGGCTAAATATTTATTTTTATCCCACTGGGTGGTTTCACAGGCATCAGCAAAATACAAAATTGCGTTATTCACCAGAACATGAGCTACTTTCTGTGTTGTCCATGTGGCAAGGTCTTTAGAAATATTTGTGTGGGCCTTTGCCATGTTAAATGGCTGTATTCCAAGGCTTCATTTGTGGTGGTCTAGTCTTTTGTAGGAGGATAGTAAGGACGAAATGAATTGGTGTCTTCCAGCAGTCAGATGTGGCACACAGGGCTCAGGGCTTGCACCAGTCGTCTGCCTGTTCTTCAAGGTTTGCCTGGAGCTTATTTGCCAGCTTCTCCAAGGGTGTCCCCAGCTCTTAGTTTGCTTTTCCATTTGTCAGTCCAAGTGCCCTTGGGGATAGAGTGTCATCCCCTTTGGCTCCTCATGTGGGCATGTATGAAGAAGAGAGACTTCGTTTGTACACACAGCAATCAGGACCCCTGCTGGAGCTGGAGAATCGAGGTGCTTTTCAGACCAATCCTGAGGCCCTGTCCTTGGAACTGAAACAACAGGCTGAGATGACTGAAGTGCATTAAGGAGGAGGCTTTAGCCTGCTGCCTTGGCTGTTTTCTTCCATTAGAAAACATCTCATGAATGGAGCATTTGGAAAAACAGGTAGTTTTAGAAAAAGAGAATTTCCACTCAGACTTTGAGACCAATCTCTGTAATTGTTTTGGTAGGGTAAGGATAGGCTTTCTTGAAACACTAGCCTTTAGCTGAGGTATTCGCACACAGCCCCTGTCTCTGCATAAGGAGATAATAACCCCAAATCAAAGGACTGTCTTCTGTTAATTACTAAATTCCCATTTTTCCACTTTAAGTTGTGTGGCTGGTAATAGCGTCCGCCTTCTGATATAAGTCATAGCATGCAACATGCACTTTGCAAGTGCATTTTGCTTGAATATTTTGCAAAGATATTCTATTGAATTGAGAGGCAGCAAGTATTTGATGTAATGATTACACTTGATCACACAAAAACACTTCACAGTGCCATGGCTGGTCTTCATAGTAGTCAGCTCTTGACTTTGCTTCTGTTTTTTTTTTTTTCTCCCCACAAGACTGTTAGCTTTTGCTGTGGCTTCAGGAGCATTTACATGTCTTAAAAGCTTATAAATAATATAAAAGGCTGACTGTGTTAGTAGTGCAGTAGTCAGTGCATAATGCCAAATTGGTAGTGATGTCTGCACGACATGCTGACTTGAATAAGTTATTTTCAAGTTGTCTCATTAAGGTTTGAACTGGGGATGGGACAGAGATAGCCTTTATCACATATTTCTTTTTAATTTTTATCTTACTTTTTTTTTTTTTAAGCTAAAGGCAAAAAGAATGCACATACTTATTTTAATGTGATTAGAAGATGAGTTGTTCCCTGGTAAGCTTGACCCACCAGTATGTGACAGTTTTGCAGCAACCTTAGAAGCTGGGTTTTTCTCATCCCACAGAAAACCCCCCCACAAAAATACATTGTTATTCTGTAAGAAAATATGACTAAATTATCATGTACTGAGAAAAGCATTAGGTTAACAAATTAGGAAAACTATGTCTTAGATGTACAACCAACTTTACTTCCCGTTCTCTGGTGGGCAGGCCTATACAAACCTACTCGCAAAGTCCGAGGAAGCTGAGAGGCTAAAGAAAGAGGCTCACAATTCCAGTTTCTCATAAAGAAACATTTAGGTTAAGGTGAGGTGGCCCAGGTTGGTAATCCCAGCACTTTGGGAGGCCAAGGCTGGAGGATCACTTGAGGCCAGGAGTTTGAGACCAGCTTGGGCAACATAGCAAGACCTCATCTCTATTAAAAAAAAAAAAAAAAGCTAGACAGGCATGGTGACATACACATGTGGTCCCAGCTACTTGAGGGGCTGAAGTGGGGGGATTGCTTGAGCCTGGGAAGTCGAGGCTGCAGTGAGGTATGATGGCCCCACAACACTCTAGCCTGGGTCATAGAGCAAGACCCCATCTCAAAAAAAGAGAGAAAGGTTTAATTGGGACTTAGGAACAGAAGCCACGTCTGTGTCTCTGCACTACCCCCAGACCCAGGGCTGATACACTGTGGGGAAAGGGTGACTCTGAAGGGATGTGTAGGACAATTAAAGTACTATAATGTCAAGGTTGTTTGACCTCTGGGCAGTGCCAGCTCCTGCAATAGATAAACGGGAAATCTTAGAGGCCTTCCCAGAACTGGGGTTAATCAGAAGTCAGCATGGCAGATTAATATCTGAGATGGAGTTGCTTTGGCCACTGCACCTCTCTGTCTTATAAGCATGGAGTATCAAGATAATTGTTATTTTGACCCAAATCATCAGCACAGCAACCAATTCCATTTATTAGGTAATTATGTACCAAATACGAGGCTATTTTTTTTTTTATTACATTTAATACTTGTAACAGCTCAGTTGAGGGTATTATCCCCATTTTGCAGCTGAATGGATGGACTTAATGGGAGATAAGCAGCTTCCCTGAGACACATCAACAGTGTGTGGAAGTGACGGGTGTGAACCTGGTTCTGTCTGTTGGCAAAACCTGAACTGATCTCTATGCCTCCCACTCCTAATATACAGTGTAAGAGAGTGTAAATAAAACATATTCTTAGGTCATCTGGGCGCGGTGGCTCACGCCTGTAATCACAGCACTTTGGGAGGGTGAGGCGGGAAGATCACTTGAGGTCAGGAGTTCCAGACCAGCCTGGCCAACATGGCAAAACCCCGTCTCTACTAAAAATACAAAAACTAGCTGAGTGTGGTGGTGTGTGCCTGTAATCCCAGCAACTCAGGAGGCCGAGGCAGGAGAATCACTTGAACCCGGGGGGCGGAGGTTGCAATGAGCCAAGATCGTGCCACTGCACTCCAGCCTGAGCAACAGAGTGAGACTCCATCTCAAAAAAAAAAAAAAATTGTTATGTCATTACCAAGAATAATCCAAATTAACATTAAAAATGCATTAACATTTATAAAACTTAATTAGTTCAGAGAAGAAATAAGGCTCCCTGCCCCTAACTCCTCACTCCTCTCCTGTAAATGTAAACATGTAAATTGTGCCTTCTGTGTTGCTTTCCTGTCCTCTATAGTCTTAGGGTGTGTGTGTGTGTGTGTGTGTGTGTGTGTGTGTGTGTGTGTGTGTGTTTGAAAGAGAGAAAGAGGATGTAACTGTAATGGTACTACAAATGTGTCTGTAGCTTTCTAGAAATGGAATTTCTTGATCATTTTATTTTAAAAATAATCACTCTTTTCTGCTTTTGCTTGAAATGTCCTATTTTCCATAGATTAATATATGTTTGACCTTTTCTGAATTAGATATACTGTTTTATTTGTTTTTTTCTCTTCTTCTGTTTTCAATCCCAAACTGGTTTTAATTCTAAAAAGGTACTTCCATATCGTTTTTTGTTTTCATAATTTTTGCGAATTTTCTGCTTTTATTTTCCAAGCTTATGACTTTGACTCATTTTGCCAAAGTGGACCCATCCCATGAAAACAACACAAATTCTGTTAATTTTTAAATTGAGACTGCGGGTTTTGTGTGTGTGTGTGTGTGTGTGTGTGTGTGTGTGTGTGTGTACTTTTTTTGAGAGGGGGTCTCGTTCTGTCGCCTAGGCTGGAGTGCAGTGGTGCCATCTTGGCTCATTGCAGCCTTCGCCTATTGGGCTCAAGGGATCCTCCCACCTCAGCCTCCTGAGTAGCTGGGACCACAGGCGCACACCACCACACCTAGCTAACTTTTTGTATTTTTAGTAGAGATGGGGTTTCACCATGTTGCGCAGGCTGGTCTCAAACTCCTGAACTCAAGTGATCTGCCCTCCTGCCTCTCAAAGTGCTGGGATTACAGGTGTGAGCCCCACTGTGCCTGGCCTTATATATTATTTTAGGAGGGAACTGACATCTTTCAAGTAGTTACTTCTGACTATCCAAGAAGTCCATATATCCGGCAATACATATTAAATGCTCTTTCACTTATCTTCTTTTTTGTCACTTTTTAAAGTTCTGTATACATCATATAAGTTCTATATGTTTGCTAAGTATTTCCTAGGGATTTAAACTTAACATTGCTATTTTCAGTTTTTTCTTATTATGTTTTTTAAACTGGTTATAATTTATATATAGTTTATTATTTTATTATATATTTTTTATAACCTTCATTTTTATAACCTTCAAAACTAATAATCCTCTTAGTTGTATATTAATTCAAGTTATTTTCTTGGGTTTTCCGAGTATGCAGTTTTATTGTGTGCAAATAATAACATTGCCCCCTTTCTGTATTTGTAGCAAACATTTACTTCTCTGTTTAATTGCACTGGCTAGCATTTCCAGAATAATGGGAAATAATCATGGTGTTAGGAAGCATCTAACTACATGCAAGACTTCATCATAATGATTTTTGGTGTCAGGACATCATGGTCTACCATAAGAACATGTGACTGCTATATTTACAATTTTGGAAACAGATAAAGGGAAAATAAAAGCAAAAGTATATGGGGTGAAGTAAGAGAATAGGACTAGAATTTGGAAAGTACATAATGGACAAATCTAGTGGGAGGAAATTGAAGTTGATGGGTTACGCTTCATGCCGTTAGTATTTAACAGCCAGTTGTGCATCAGGTCTGACAGGTGCTACAAAGATAAGGAAGATAACATCCACTGTGAAGGGCCTGTGGCCCAGGGGCACTCTGGGTGTTGATGAGTACAACTGAGGGGAACATCCTTAGTGATTAGTGCAGTGGTAGCCCGAATGTTATAATGTGTCCTGAGTTACAGCGTCATAGGATTTTATTAGAAGGCACCATCACCCACCTCTACTGCTGCAGTGCCTGCACTGCAGCAGGGAGCGGGTGCTCAAGTCTGTCTTCATGAATGAAGCCACTTCACTGTTCCTTGTGGTTCTTGGCCAGTGTTACGGAGGAGGTGAGCCAGGCTTTTGCTGGTAGAGAGAGTGGGAGCAGGGGGGGATGCTGCTACTTGAAGAGTTTGCTACAGGGGGTTTGATTCCAGACTTCAGGGCAAGTCTGTTCTGTCTGAGGTGTGGAGTGCTTACAGAGGAGCGAGGGGTGGGAGGGGAGGATGTGGAGGTGACTGAGAACAGAGCTTCCTTTCCTTTCTTTTTCTTTTTCTTTTTTTGAGACAGAGTCTTGCTCTGTTGCCCAGGCTGGAGTGCAGTGGCCTGATCTTGGCTCACTGCAACCTGCAACCTCCGCCTCCCGGGCTCAATCGATTCTTGTGCCTCAGCCTCCCGAGTAGCTGGGATTACAGGCGCACGCCACCACACCCAGCTAATTTTGGTATTTTTAGTAGAGACAGGGTTTTGCCGTGTTGGACAGGCTGGTTTTGAACTCCTGACCTCAAGTGATCTGCCTGCCTCACCCTCCCAAAGTGCTGGGATTACAGGCGTGAGCCACCACGCCTGGCCAAGAGCAGAGCTTTCTAAGTGATGCAGCATGGAGGGGTTCCGGTGGCTGAGATGTGGATTGCAGCCCTTGATGGCTGGCTGACCTAGACACCTCCTCCCGCATTTTCTGCTTTTTCCATGATGTTCCGGACAGCAAAGTGGCTTGTCATGGTGGTAACCCCCACGTCCATTCCTGTGCTCCCTCTCTGCTCCATGGCTGCCTGGGTTTAGGTCTCCTTGGTTAGGAAACTGTCGTGTGACCATGCCCAGCTACAAGGGGAGCCTGGACCAGTGAGTACAAGATTTTTACTTTTCCAGCCGCTGTAGGCAAAGAAAGGCAGGGAGAGAGAGCCTTAGGAGTGGATGCTGAGTCAGCCAGTTGCAGTGTCTGCCCCAGAACCATCCTATAAAAGCCATTTTCAAACTTTATTCATTGTATGTGAACATGTTTCAACATCTTTCACAAGTGGCTTTTAAATCGTTGTTAGTCATGGAAGCTTTGATTAGATGAACTCTTGTGAGGGAACCTGGCATGGTGGGCATACCACGACACCAGCTCTCAGAGACTCAGATGGAGGGAGCCAGGCTGGGTGTCGTGGAAGCCCCTTGAAGCTAAGTGAAGAGGGTATTGGCAAAGAGTAGTTGAAAATGAAAACTTTTCATTTTTAGTTGAGATAAGATGTCAGTAAAAGTTACCACTATGAGGATTTGGCTTTGCATTTAGCGATCCATTTTTGCTTTTCTTTTTTTAAAGTAGGAGAATAATATGTTTTGAACATTTAGAAATGGCCTCTTTATTGAAATACATAACCTTGTGTGGTTTGGGCTGGTGCTTAGATCCTCAAGAAGAATTTCCACATGGAAAACGAATTGCCACCTTAGTCTTCTCCAAAGATGCTGTCTCTCTCTAGAGTGGCTGTCTGCAGCCCCTGCCGCCCCAGCTCCCTTAGAATCGTGGCTCAAATGATATTCCTAATTCCTAAAGCTAAAGGGAAAAGAAAAAAAGCCAAAAAAGCAAACCAGTCAGAAAATGTACATTAGATTTTTACATTGATTTCCAATGTACAAATTTCTGTTCTTTATAATCTTAGCAGAAGCCAGTATCTCAGCAGAAGCAGAAGCAAATATCTTTAATTGAAGATACTTGGTTTCCATGATAAGCAGGGTTTCCACAAAACCACATATGAGAGCAGGAACCAATGCTGCTTTCTCTGCCTTCTAATCCCCGCAGGGAAGGGTCGAGGAGCAGAAATGTGGTGACCCTGAACCCCGGCAGCCTGGGTGTCCACTGCAGAAGTCAGGGTGTCTCGCCTGGGCATGGCTGAAAGATTGTTCTCCAGCTGTCTAGAGGGAGACACGGCTCCCTTTTAGTAAAAATGTCACAGAAACTTATTTATGTTTTATGTTATTTCCAATTGATTTATTAGTAGAAGCAAATAAATTCCTGTTTGTCAGAGGAGATTCCTGGAAACCTAGAAACTTAACACAGAAAGGAAATTGGGTATGTACATAGCTGCTTTTTTGAGCGTCTTTCATAATTTTTTATCATTTAAAAAGTAGTGAAATCAGTGAAGTTGACAATTTTCATTACAGATGCTTGTGATTATTTCTACTTGATATGAAGCTGGCTACAAGTTTGGGCTACTTATGGGCATATTTGCAAAAGTACATAGAATCTTAAATTTGAGACATTTGACTTTCATGGCTTTAATAAATGTGTTACTATTTTAAAATAGTATTAAGAAATTATTATTATATTTAGAGACGAGGTCTTACTCTGTTGCCCAGGTTGAGTGCAGCTGGGTGATCATACCTCACTATAACCTTGAACTCCTGGGCTTAGGCAATCCTCCCGCCTCAGCCTGCCGAGTAGTGGTGACTGTAGGTGTGTGCTGCCATGCCCAGCTAATTTTTTTTTTTTTTAATTTTGTAGAGACAGAATCTCACTTTGTTGGCCAGGCTGTTCCTGAACTCCTGGCCTCAAGTGATCCTCCTGCTGAGATTACAGGTATGAGTCACCGTGCCCAGCCAAGAAATTATTTTTGATAGTAGAGTTATTGTTTAGTGGCTTCTTTGTTTCTTAATTTTTTTTTCTTTTTTGTTTTTTGAGATGGAGTCTTGCTCTGTCGCCCAGGCTGGAGTGCAGCGGTGCGATCTAGGCTCACTGCAGGCTCCGCCTCCTGGATTCACGCCATTCTCCTGCCTCAGCCTCCCGAGTAGCTGGGACTACAGGCGCTCGCCACCATGCCCGGCTAATTTTTTGTATTTTTTTAGTAGAGGCGGGGTTTCACCGTGTTAGCCAGGATGGTCTCGATCTCCTGACCTCGTGATCTGCGTGCCTTGACCTCCCAAAGTGCTGGGATTACAGGCGTGAGCCACCGCGCCTGGCCGTTTCTTAATTATTTTCTAAGAATTACTGTGCCATTTCCTTTACATAGTATGGACTATAGTGGCGTGATCATGGCTCAGGGCTCACTGCAGCATTGAACTCCTGAAATCACTTGTAATCCCAAAGTGCTGGGATTACAGGCATGAGCCACTGTGCCCAGCTACAATTTTTTAAGCAATAGAAGGCCTGTCCACATTGCCGAGTCTTCCTTTGGTGATGGTTCATCTGAGGATTGCATGCCCAAAGCCCTGGAGTGGGAGGCTTAGATTCTTATCCTAGCCTTTCCTCCAACAGTCGACACCCCAGAGCGTGTGTATTCATTTCTTTCTTCCCTTTCTTCTCTCTCTCTCTTTCCCTCTCTCTTTCTCTCTCTTTCCCTCTCTCTTTCCCTCCCTCCCTTCCTCCCTCTCTTTCCTTCCTTTCCTTCCTTTTACTTCCTTTCTTTTCTATCTTTTGTAGATATAGGGTCTTTCTCTGTCATCCAAGCTGGAGTGTGGTGGCATGATCATAGTACACTGCATCCTCCAACTCTTGGGCTCTAGAGATTCTCCTACCTCAGCCTCCGAATATCTGGGACTACAGGCTCATGCTACCAAGCCTGGTTGATTTTTAACATTTTTTGTAGAAACGAGATCTTGCTTTGTTGCCCAAGCTGGTCGCAAACTCCTGGCCTCAAGTGATCCTCCTGCCTTGGCCTCCCAAAGCACTGACATTACAGGTGTGAGCCACTACAACCAGCCTTGTTTTTCTTATTTGTAAAACGATGAGGTTGGTTGCTAGGTTATTGCTGTTGATTTTTCTGGGGTCAGGCCAGAGACTGGGTTCCTGGGAGACCACAGGGTCCAAGGGGTGGTCGAGGATGCAGAGGGTCCTAGTTGCCCGAGCTCCTGGGTGTGCACCCACTTCCTTCAGTCCACTGCAGCTCTTTGGTCCCCTGTGATTGTGATGACCATCTGGAGAGAAGGTTTCTAATCTCCCCTCTTATCAGACAGGACACTCAGATGAGTCTGTTTTTATTTAAAATTTTGGCATTTTGCTTATCTTGGATTTTTGTGCATCAGTTTTTTTGTTCAATTATTACATTAAACTATTTCTCTTGACTACTGAGATTTTGGTCCTCCCTTAAATTTTGTGTCAGAGGCAAGTGCCTGTAGTCTCACCTCTGTTCCAGCCCTTGTAAACGCTATGATTCCTTGTAGTTTGTCATTAAAAATAGTTATCAAAGCCAAGTAATTTGGAAGTTAAATCAAGAGATTCCAGTGAAACGCTGGTAAGCGATGCCTGTTTATGCTCACTTAGTTGCTGGGCATTAGCAGGTGTAAAAATCTAACAAAAACAGCTGGAAGGCAGACCTCAAAGCTGCTGGCAGTCTCTCCCCTTGGGGACAAAAGAAGCCTTTCAGCTTTTTCATCTTGGAAGGTAAATCATAAACGACCAAATATTGGATTAACTTAGAAAAAGTTTTTTTATTTTTGAGATGGTAAATGTAATATCCTTGCTGTTGAATTCCTCTTCATGGTGACTATGTATTAAAACTGGGATTTTGCATGGAAAATATTTCAAGATTTGCATGGATAATGGCTAATGTACTGTCTGGCTTGTTGCATTTTAACTATAAAATTAAGTTGTTGCGCTATTTATTGTTATTTCTAAGGGACACCATGGAGAGCCATTTGGCCAGAGGGAGATGGGCGGTGAGGAGCGTGGTGACTGGTCTAGTTGGCACAGCTGAGATTTTTGCTGCTCTAGTAGTCATCTGGATTGGCTCAGGCCTGGCTGTTTGTTGCTTCTTTCACGGGCTCAGAGTGTCTGGAGATCTTTTTAACTAGCCGAGACATGCTGTTACTCTGAGCAATTCTCCAGGCAGCCATGAGTGCAAAGGGAGTCTGTGCCAGGTGCCCAGCACTGCTATATATGGCAGAGAAGGGTGGCAGGGGAGGACCCACCATGCCCTTATCTGGGGGCTGCAGCCAGGCGTGATTGTGGGGGCAGTCACACAGCTTCCGTGTGCTCTCAGACCAACCCTGTTTTTCCTCTCCCTCCTCCAACCTTGGCATTGATTTTAGACAGCCGATGTGCAGGTTCAATCTTCATGTGAAATGGAACAATGACTTCAAGTTCAGATACCCATCACTGGCAGTGCTGTATGTACAATCTATCAAGGCTAGTTAGGATGTCTTTGTGGCTCGAGAAAGCAGATTTTTAGATACGGGAGAGTTTGGTTACTTGTGTTTGTGATTCTGTGCTCTCTATTAATTGGCATGGGATTTTCGGACCTGAAATTTAGTGTAGATTTCAGTTTATTCTGAAAGATAAGTGTGAGGTTGAGATGTGGTCTTCTGTGTGACAGGTGCTGATTTATGTTGGAGTCCTATTAGGATAGATGCGTCCCACATTCAGTTGTATGTTTCTTAGGTCAATCAAAGAAACTGATCTGAAGGTGTACCACCACCTTCTCTCCCAAGATGACAAAGCTGTGTTGGGTCATTGGTTGGGAGCAGTGCAGATGAGAAGACAAATGCTGTTGACAAGTTGTGTGTCTAGTTCCTTAGGAAACCAGTCACCTGGTGTTGAAGACAGCAGCAGAGGAGTACCGTGGCCTAGCATGGAGCTCTGCCATGCCTTTGGTTCTTTCTGTGGACACATTTTCATGGAACCTAGAGATTTTCTGGTTTGGGGAAGGATACAATGGAAAAATAATTATGAGATGATGATGATAAGATTTAATTGAATATTTGCTAAGTCCAGTGCATACTATTAGGCCTTCAACATATGAATTTATAATCCAATGAATTAGATATTACGTTCCTTTCTTACAAAAGGACATTGAGGCTTGGCGATATTAATAAATGGCTGAGTGGTACTTGGCACCCAAGACCGTGTGACTCCGAAGCTCCTGCTTTCAGTGAAGGAGCCTGTGGTAGGAACATAGGGTCTGCAGTTTCAGATGTTGTGGCCTGCTGTGCCTTGTTGGTGATTGTAGATTCTTCACGATCAATATGGAGAAGGCTGCCTGCATTGTCTCCCTTCTTCTTTTGAAAAATTAGTTTTTACAGATAATTGCAAACAATGCAAAATTAAGGAATGCAATCTCTTTTTGACGTTTTACTCCCTAGTAGTGACTGGTATTAAAAAGCCTCCACGCAGTACAGGATGTGGGTAGATCAACCCTGGATTGGTTGGTTGGGATGTGATTCATTAGATCATCTATGAGATTCTCTGTTTTTTAGGTCAGAGTAATTGCCATTGATCTTATGATGCAGTTCTGCTTCCAGGACACTTAATGAACACGGAAACTGAAAAGTAAAGAACTTGGCCTGTAGGGTCTGTGAGACGGGACCACCCCTGGGAGCCGTGTTGTGTAGAGGCCATCCAGCCAAGGACTGCAAACGTGGAGATCTGTTGTGGCAGTGGATTGGATTAATCTCTATTAATCAGTCTATTAATCTGTTGATCTCTAGCTGAACAATCTCTTTTGTTGAATTGTTGCATTATGATATTTATCGTGACTACTGAGATTTTGGTCCCCCCCTTACATTGGTGTCAGAGGCAAGTGCCTCTGATCTCATCCCAGTTCCTGTCCTTGTAAACTCTGTGATTGTTTGTAGTTTGTCATTAAAAATAGTTATCAAAGGCAAGTAATTTGGAGGTTTAATTGAGTGGAGGAAACTTGGAAGAACCAAGTTTCAGTAGCATGTAGCTATCACGTGAATTTTCATCCTCCCAAGGTTGTGCTGGGGAGATTGAGACAAAAGAAGTACAAACACCTTGAAAACTAAATAGGCAGTTCCTGTGCCAGGCAATGGGATGGGATTGTCTCATTGCTTCTGAGTATTGTCGCTGAACCTGATTATTATGAATTTACCTTATTGTTATATTGTACATTTTAAGAAATTTTTAGGTATTTTATATTCTAATGCTTGCAAAATCTGGAATCATCCTGTGAGTTTACAAAAACCAGTAATGGTCTTTTTGAAGTACTTTATCAACTTTTGTTAATTTTTCTGTGTTGTATGTGCTTCATTAACTTCTGTTAGACTATAAGAGATTTCTCAGTAGTGCCTACTGAATCCATACACAATGAGGGACAATAGGATCCCAGGATCATCTGCTCCACAGAAGCAGGTATCACAGTGGCACCGACCAGCATGGGAAGAGTTTTTGTGCTGACAGCAGGGCATTCTCTTTGTTCTGTGGTCCATTTGTAGATGGCTGCGCTCCTCTGCACAGGGGCTGTCGCTTCTGCATGGATTGGTGTCTAAAAACCCCACCTAAATGAGAATTAGATATTCCCTTTCTTCTTTACCCAGAATTTTCTTTTTATAAATAAAAATAGGCTGGGCACAGTGGCTCATGCCTGTAATCCCAGCACTTTTGGAGGCTGAGGCAGGAGGATCGCTTAAGCTCAGGAGTTCAAGACCAGCCTGGGCAACATAGTGAGACTGTACCACTACAAAAAATAAAAAAACTTAGCCAGATGTGGTGGTGCATGCCCGTAGTCCAGCTACTAGGGAGGCTGAGGTGGGAGGATCACTTGAGCCCAGGAAGTTGAAGCTGCAGAAGGTTGTGATCGCACCACCACACTCCAGCCTGGGCAACAGAGTGAGACTCACTCTCTCTCAAACAAAAAAAAAAAAAAAAAAAATTTGGTTTACGAAAACACAGCAGTTGACTTTTCCATAGGCAATTTGTAGGTTTGGCATTTTACTGCCTTTAGAGATGTAGTATTGAGTATAGTCTGTTAGCCTGTTGGTCTGTTCACCCACAAATAGGCCAGTTCCAATTAGCTATAATATTTGTTTTAGGGGGAAAAAGTCTTATGTAAACAAATTATTTGCATTTATACTTTTGTTAAAAGTTGAACTCGAGTTAGTTATTTGAGACACCAACATTACCTGTCTACCATATTGTTCATATAGTGATAGTTCTGTGTAAGTAGACTTTAGTCAAGCTTCACATTAAAAAAAATTTAACCACTGTTTACCCTACTTGGTATAATTAGTAGGCTTTATCAATTTTTTTATGCTGTGAAGTCTAGATCTCAAAAGATATACGTCAATTTTTTGTTGTTCAGAATGAAGATTCTGTCTGAATCAGTAGGAAAAGAGGGGAGGGAACGTGATTTGTTGTTCACATGATATAGAAGAGGCTGGTGAGAGAGGCCTTTGGAAGCCTTAAAACAGCTTGGTGTGAAAGTTAGGGTGCCCTGGGAGCTGACAGGTAGGAGGAGTGGGAGGGGGAGATGGGGGCGGGAGTCAGAAGAACAGCTCAGCTCTGAACACACCTGTTACAGTCCTATCACTCACTGATGATAGAAAACCGCATTTTGTTGGAACGGGCACAGTGATTGTCAAGGAAGTTGTCTTGTGCTACTGCCATGGATTCAAAAGATTCTTGGGTCGTGAAAGAGGTGGCATCAGAAGGATATGTTTGTTGACAGGGAGACCAGATGCACTGATCCATTTTTTATCCTTTTGCCTTCAGAGCATCCTTGTCTCCTTGAATTCACTGCTGTCTCAGAACCCAGGAGGGCTGTCGGAGCCCTCTCCTGCAGCTCAGCTCCCAGGGGGCTCTCCCAGCAGGCTGGGGCTGTCTCCCAGCCGGCCAGCTCTGCTGGAACTGGAGGAGGCAGCCAGCTGCAATGGGACTGCCTCTTTTTCGTCTTGAAGTGGTTTCAGGTTTCCTCCCTTTCTCCTCTTGGGGTGGGGACGGGAGGCTCTCACCAGCTGTCGCCTTTGTGTTTTTCTCTCTCTCCAGCTCAAGTCAGCTGACACCTTTCCTTTCTTCCCTTCCCTTCTCCATGAACTTGCACGGAGTCGCTGGCGGGTCAGTGTGTAGGAGGGTGAACCGTAGCAGCTGTCCTTGCCTTCCAACTCTGGTTCTGCCCTCCTCCTGACTTATCCTTTCTCCCTTTCTTTGACAGAGATAGGGAATATTTTCCAGCAAGCTTCAGAAAACATTCTATGTGGTATGTGCAGAGAGATCCTCTATGCATAGAATCTTGCACAGGATTTAAGAGGTCAGTGCATGGGGCATTTTCTATCCCCTGCTCCCACTTTATTGAATATCATACTGAACTCAGTAGTTTAGGATGCATTCCTAAGTTTAGGGAAAGCTGTGAGGATCTTTTGATTCATTCTAGAACATTCCAAAGCACCACTGAGGTTGCACAAGGTGGTTCATAGCAATAGGACCGTGATGCTTATAGGGCAAGAGGAGGGGATATCACAGGACCTCTGGGACAGAGGGAAGCACTGAGGCCTTCTGCAACTCTGCAACAAAGTTCCTGTGATCCCCTGCCCTCGCCTCTCTCCCAGCACTCCTGGGATTTCAGCATTTTAATTAATATAAGTCAGGTGGACGCTTATCTTGCTGGATTCCTCAGTAGTACTTGATATGGTTGATCCCTTCCTCATTTCTTGAACAGCCCTCTGGTGCGGTCATTCTTTAACATAAACTTTTTATTTTAAAATAACTTTAGATTTATTAAAAACTGCAAAGATAGTAGAGAGAGTGTACCCCTCACCTCATCCTCTTTGCTAATGTCTTACATCACTGTGATGCATTTGTCAAAATGAACCAACGTTGACTTTAACTAAACTTCAGAATTTATTTGCTGTTCACCAGTTTTTCAGTTAGTGTCCTCTTTCTATGCCAGGATCCAGTCCAGAGGGCTACATTGCATTTAGTTGTCAACTTCATTTTATGTAATAAAAACTTTACCTACATTTCAGTGGTTGGTAATTTTGTTTAAGGAGGTGATCCCTTAAACAAAACGGAGAAAGTGAGTTACTTTCTGCTAGCTGAAGTGTTACTTTACATCCATTTGTAAATTTTTGTTCAGATATATCAATCATTACCATTTACTGAACACCCCCATTTGTGCTTGTTCTGGTTTTATGTTTTATGCTACAATGTGCTCTAAACATTTTAGAAATAAAATTAGCAGTACTTTGTGTGAAGTGGCAATAGGCTTCCTCCCCTTGACCCCTTCTGTCCCCTTATTTTGAGACAGGGTCTTACTCTGTCACCCATCCTCCCCCTGACCTCTTCTGCCCTGTTTTTTTAAGACAGGGTCTCACTCTGTCACCTAGGCTGGAGTGCAGTGCGGTGGCGTGAACACAGCTCACTCACTGCAGCCTGGACCTCCTGGGCTTAGGTGATCCTCTCAGTTCAGCCTCTCTGGTAGCTGGAACCGCCGATGAGTGCCACCATGCCTGGTTAATTTTTAAATTATGTGTAGAGATGGGGTCTCCGTATGTTGGCTTTTCTTCCATTTTAATGAGGTATTTTAATGAGGTAGTGATGTGCTGTGGAGCTTATTAAAAATGGGATTCTGAGGCCATGTGAGGTGGCTCACACCTATAACCCCAGCACTTTGGGGGGACCCCAAGACGAGAAGATCCCTTGAGGCCAGGAGTTCCAGACCAGCCTGGGCAATATAGTGAGACTCCATCTCTAAAATAAAATACAAACGAAAATGGGATTCTTCCTGTCTGAGTAGATGGATCTAGTACCAGCTTTCCCAGGACTAGTGGTGCTTATAAAATCCTGATCATTCCCTCCAGCTATCTTATTAGAAGTGTTTTCCTTAAAGTCATACATGCATGTATCATGTAGGATGGTTAGTCTAGCATATGTGTGTTTGTCTTTGGTGGTGGGGCAAGAGTGGGAGAAGAGGAGGTTGTATTTCTTCGTAGGTTAAAATTGGCTTTAAAGACAGAGAAAGAATAGAGTAGAAAATATTCGAGGGTATTGCCTGTAGTAAGACCCATATCCTGTATGAGGCAGTCCAGAGTCTCAGCTTTTTCAGCAAGACGCCCCCATCTGCTGTTGCCTTCTTCCTCCTGGGCCTTTGCCTAATGGGCCCTTTGCTGTGGGCATTCTCAATGGCAGTTCTGAGAACCACCTGCGGGCCCAGGCGTCCCTAGCGTGGTGTGCTGTGTTCTTGTGTTCCTACTTTCCTAGATGTTTCATGCTGGTTTGCTGTGTGTCTTAGTTCATTCGTGTTGCTATAAGAAAATACCTGAAGTTGGGTGATTTATAAAACAACAGATTTATTTCTCACGGCTCTGAAGGCTGGGAAGTCCAAACTAGGTGCCAGTGTCTGGTGTGGGCCTGGATTCTGCTGCTAGGTTGGTGCCTAGCAGCTGAGCACTCACGTGGTGGGGGAGCCGAGGGCCCTTTTCTAAGGCTAATCTCCTTCTAAAGGCACCTCCTCTCTACTGTTGCGTTGGGGATTAAGTTTCAGCATGAATTGTGGAGGGGACACAAATGTTCAAACCAGAGCACTGTGGTTTTGCCTCCCCCAAATAGAATGCTCATTGTGGGAGGGGATAGGATTTTCACCTCTGTGGTAAAATCGGCTCCATAGTGTTGGGCAGACGTCTTTCTTAGTCCTTGTTGGGGTGGAGGTAACCGCACCACTTCAGCTGTCCTTTAAGGCAAAATGTAGCCAAGCACCTGAGTGGAGCTTTTGGCTTCTGACTGTTGTTAGTGGAGAAGTGGGAAATCTTCCTTGCCTGAGCACATAGTTACAGAATAACCCTTGGCTCCTGTTGAAAAGTGAAAGGCACATTGTATGCATGAGATACCTTTGACCTCACCGACTATTTGCTCAACCACCTAAATAAACACCCCGTATTCTTGGGACCAGGTCAATACTGCAGACCCCTGCTTCTCTCCGTCCCCCTTTCTCCCCTTCACCCGCTTTCTCATTTCTGTTTCTGTAACTGTGTCTTGCTGTTCTCAGTTGGGATTGTGGAGCATCTCAACCGTAAAAGGGGAGGGAGACATGAGTTTGTTGCTTCTGACCTTTTGGGATGTCTAAAGTCACCTATTTTGGCCAGGCATGGTGGCTCATGCCTGTAATCCCAGCACTTTGGGAGGCAGAGGTGGGCAGATCACTTGAGGTCAGGAGTTCAAGACCAACCTGGCCAACATGGCGAAACCCTGTTTCTACTAAAAATACAAAAATTAGCTGGGCATGGTGGCGCATGCCTGTAATCCCAGCTACTTGGGAGGCTGAGGCTGAGGAGAATTGCTTGAACCTGGGAGGTGGAGGTTGCAGTGAGCCTAGATTGCACCACTTCACTCCAGCCAGGGCAATAGAGCAAGACTCTGTCTCAGTAAATAAATAAATAAATAAATAAATAAATAAATAAATTAATTAATTAATAAAGTAACCTATTTCCAACATTTTGAAATAACTCTTTCTTCAGTGTAGTTGTCACTTTCTTTATGAACACAGACAGTGGTGCGGATTCAAGTGATCTATTTTTGTTTCATTTCTTTTATAGCTTTGTCTGCTGATGAAAAAAAAATTTAGCTAGGTGTGGTGGCATGTGTCTGTGTTCCCAGCTATTCAGGAGGCTGTTGTGGGAGGATCACTGGAGCACAGGAGTTTGAGGCTGCAGTGAGCTGTGATCATGCCACTGCACTCCAGCCTGGGTGACAGAGCAAGACCCTATCACCAAAAAAAAAAAAAAAGGGCCAGGCGCAGTGGCTCACGCCTATAATCCCAGCACTTTGGGAGGCCGAGGCAGGCGGATCATGAGGTCAGGAGATTGAGACCATCCTGGCTAACACGGTGAAACCCTGTCTCTACTAAAAATACAAAAAATTAGCGGGTGTGGTGGTGGGCACCTGTAGTCCCAGCTACTCGGGAGGCTGAGGCATGAGAATGGCGTGAACCCGGGAGGTGGAGCTTGCAGCTAGCCGAGATCGCGCCACTGCACTCCAGCCTGGGCGGCAGAGCGAGACTCTTGTCTCAAAAGAAAGAAAAAAAAAAGTAACAAGTTTGGTGTGGTGGCTCATGCCTGTAATCTGAACAATTTGGGAGGGCAGAAGGATTGATGACTTGAGCCCAGGAGTTTGAGACCAGCCTGGGCAACAGAGTGAGACTCTATTTTTATTACTCCAAGAAAAGTGTCATTACACAAGTGGAGTGTATACCATATATATAAAAAATATTTCTGTTAAAAATGGGATTATACTACAGTACATATATTGCATTGCTGAAATGATTACAGGCAAAGTGTACTGATATCCGCCACTTACTTTAAAAGGAATAAAAAATAAGGGGGGTTGTTTCAAATTTTTTTTCCTTTTATACTGCAAAGGGCCTGATGAGAATCTTTTCAGATAAATCATTGCATATATCTACTTTATTTTCTTACGGGAAAGTTTGGAAGCCCATGTGGGTAGGTTAGCCCATTTTGATATTCATTGCTGATGAAGCCCAGGAGATGGAATGCTTAATATAAGCCAGATTTTGGGACTGGCAGCAGATCTGTTGTGTTGGAACAGATCATTCAAGGAGCAGGGACAGAACTTTGAATGTGGTTAGTTGTATTGGGGTTCAATGTCAGATTGAGTCAGAATTTCAATTTGCAGCTAGTGAGAAGTCCTGTAATCGTTATTGCATATTCCATAATATCTTGTCATATGAACCTATCATAACTTTATTCCTTTAATGAAAAGAATATTTTCTCAAATTTTCTGCTGTAAATAACTAGTGCTATAGCATCTCTACAGCTTTATTCTTGTGTATGGAAGCTACGAGTAGCTTAGAGCAAAAGAAACATACAACTTATGTCTTATTATTGACAAATTGCCCTAAAAAAGATAATTGATCTCTCTCGTGAATACTAGGTTATCTACTTATTATTTTCTGTTGTCCGTTTGGATATACTCAAAAAGTGCTACATCATCATTGCCTTAATTTCCCTTAGCACCAGGGAATTTTACTGTTTTCTCACATGTTTACATCCTTTTCTCAGAATTTCCTATTAATTTATCCATTTTGCTCTTGGGGTTTTTTTTTTTTTTTTCCCATAAGCCCTTTGTAATAGTAACTTTAAATGCAGTACACATTGAAAATATATTTTCTGTATTTTGTCTGCTGTTTAACTTTTTAAAATGGCATATACCATACTTTGTACAGAAATGTTAAACTTCCTGGCTTTTGGGTATTAACATCTAGTGTCTTGCTTAAGAAGGCCTCACCTTAAATTGCAAACATATTCTCTTTTTATATCTAATAGTTTAAAATTAATGAAAGAAAGCATTTTGAATCTAATCTTGAATTCATATGGGATTGATTTTGTATTTGGTAAGGTAGGGACCTAATTTCTTCCCCACACTCCTCCAATAGGAAAGCCAGTTGTTTCAACACAGCATGTGAAGTTTTTTGTTTTCTCTTTTATTTTAAAAATGCCCCATATGGGCCGAGGTGGGCGGATCACAAGGTCAGGAGATCGAGACCATACTGGCTAACACAGTGAAACCCCGTCTCTACTAAAAATACAAAAAAATATTAGCCGGGCATGGTGGCGGGCGCCTGTAATCCCAGCTACTATGGAGGCTGAAGCAGGAGAATGGCGTGAACCCAGGAGGCGGAGCTTGCAGTGAGCTGAGATCGCGCCACTGCACTCCAGCCTGGGCGACAGAGCGAGACTCTGTCTCAAAAAAAAAAAAAAAAAAAAAAAAAAAAAAAGGGCCCCATATATTTGTTATATGTGTAATCTTCAATGATGGGAATTTGGCAGATTTTCCAAGTGCAGAAGTGTATCACTCACATGCCTTTTTGTAGTGCTTTGTTGATATAATGAATTTACTTTTTAGTAGTTGAGTAACTGATAAGGCATTATAGTAAAAGTTTTTTAAAGGATTTTTTTGAACCTGAGAAATAAGTTTTAACATTCTAAATAATAAATTAGGAGATTAGGAAACATTAAAACCATATGGTTACTTTTTACACTTTTTTTTCTGAATAAGTGATTGTTATGTTTGGGGTTAATTTTGTCAATGGGAAATAAGTATAAAACAGCTTTGTTCTTTCTATGACTGCTTATGGTAAAAAAAAAAAAACAGCTTTGATTTTACTTTCGCAGAAGCATAATTTACTCTCTTCTTTTGTGAATTGGTGTTAGCTTTATATTAGGAGTTTTGAGAAAGATGGTTTATATTAATTTTGAGTCTGCTTTCCAGAACAAATACCTGATAAAAACTCTAACCATGGCAGGGTGCGGTGGCTCACGCCCATAATCCCAGCACTTTGGGAGGCCAACACCAGCGGATCACCTGAGGTCAGGAGTTCGAGACCAGCCTGGCCAACATGGGGAAACCCCACAGATCTCAAACCCCGTCTCTACTAAAAATATAAAAATTAGCTGGGTTTGGTGGCACACGCCTGTAATCTCAGCTGCTTGGGAGGCTGAGGCAGGAGAATTGCTTGAGCCCGGGAGGAGGAGTTCGTGGTGAGCCGAGATGGTGCCACTGCACTCCAGCCTGGGTGACAGAGTGAGACTCAATCTCAAAAGAAACAAAACAAAACTCTAATCATGTTTGTCACTAGTTGTTTTTTTAAGCTGAATAATTTTTCTTTTTAATCACAACGTAGAATTATGTTTGTATTGGAATCTTGGACAGCTGTTAGTGAATAAAATTTTTATTTAAATTTTGTCTTAAAGCATTTTTGGAAGAGTGATTGTAAGGGACTTTCAACACATTCTAATAGTCACTGTCAATGATACTGGGAAAATTCTACTTCCATTTGTAATCAGGAAATGACTAGTTAATCTTCACTTGGTTAGTCATGCTTTTGTGGATGGTGATTAACGGTGTTAACTTTGAACTTTGGTATAAAGTGTAAGTAGAGGCAGGCAAATATTTCATTGTAGTAGTGAGACTTTTATGTTTTCCATTGATAGAGGTGAGCTTCTTGTTTCCTTGTCCCAGACCCCTTTATTTTGATATCACCTTGTTTCCTGTAGAGGGCAGAAGAGAGAGGGAGTTCAAAGAGAGGGTGGGAGGTGGGGAAGAGACACTAGACTGGAGTCTTCATAGAGGAGCTCCTCCGTGGGTCCCTCGTCTGCCTGGTGCCCGATGGCTGTCCCTCATGTTGCTATTTGTAGTGGCCTTCCAGTATGTTCCTCACACTGGGTGTGAGTATTGCTGAGGGAGGTATGGGTTTGTGAGGGGTGGTTTTCCATTTATTTGAAGGCTCAACTTTCGTATTGCAAAGGCAAATATTATGGCGTAACGTAAATTCTATATGAATTTTAACTCATTTACCTATTTATCACCGATTAATCAATTACTAATTATTTATTATTGATTGATTGATTGTCTTGCTCTGTCCTCCAGGCTGGAGTGCAGTGGTATGATCATAGCTCACTGTAGCCCCAAACTCCTGGGTTCAAGCAACCCTCCCGCCTCAGCCTCCCAAACAGCTGGAACTACAGGCACATGCCACTATGCCCGGCTAATTAAAAGAAAATTTTTTCGTAGAAATGGAGCCTTGCTGTGTTGCCCAGGCTGATCTCAAACTCCTGGTCTCAAGCTGTCCTCCCACCTTGGCCTCCCAAAGTGCCATTATAAGTGTCAGTCATTGCACCTGGCCTGTATGTATTTTAAAAATAAAATCAAGATATCTCACAAAATACTTCAAAGACAATTTGTATGGGTGGGGGTGGACAAAGGGATTAGTGCAGTTTACTTCAGGCCTCCTACCCTAGAGTGTCTCCATTTTACTACTTTTGCATGTACTTGAGAAGACCTGCATTGTGAGGCTTAGCTGTACTTTTGTTAATGTGACTGTTTTGTAGTTTAATGTTTTCAGAAGATTGCGTTTCTTTTTTTTTCTTACCTTTCAATAAGCGTTCTCAGGTTGAAAGAGTGCATATCTCAATGATGGTATGTAATGTTTTCATCGAATAGCCCTTTGGCAGCCGGCCTTTTAAAGTTAGAGACAGGGAAAACACCCTGCTGTCATATATTTTTCAAGAAAAGATTAATAGCTGTGATTCATTCTGCAAATAGCTATTCTTTTTGAGAGTTAGTCTTGCAAAATTTCTTCCCTTCCTTTTATTGTTGTCCTATCAATTCTGAGAAACTGAGAAAAATGAGCCTTGGGATTATTTCTCATTATACTTGTCTCACTGAATTTAGTGGGCTTATTTCTTCACTCCTCTCTTGTAAATATTTGCAGACTCATTACAGCATTTGCCTTTCCTGTGATTTAAATTAAAAATAAAGATTTTGGTAAGCTGTATGTGGCATGATGAAAAAACTAGGAGACTGTGGAAGAAGGAATTAGGAGATGGGAATGTTGGATATTGCTATTCAACTACTATTTGATTGTGAAAAAAATTACTTCTTGATTTTTGAACTTCAACTTTTCTCAATTGTTGGTGACCTCTAGAGTCTTTGCAATCCCTTTAAGTTCTGTGATTTTAATGGCAAATAAGTACTTTTATTTTACGACCTCAAAAGTGTGGTCATTTTATGAGAAACTTTATAGGACATGTAGCTATAGGTTTTTGTGTTGCTTTCAGACAAACTTGGAATGATAGTTCAGGTAATGTGCTAATCACTACAAATTTGTCTAGTCAGCGCTAGAGCAGCAAGTGTAACTTTTATAGCTGTCCATGTCAGTGGATTGTGTAAAGACTAATAAGACTTGAAAAGACTAAGAGGTAGTGAACAGCTCTCCAAATGAGTTGATTGAAGTCTGTAGGCAACTGAGGGTCTCATATCAGAATACATTTTCTTTGCATACATTTTATGCCATGCAAGTTGAAACTCAGGCCTGCTCTGTAGAAGAATTCCTAAAAGAAGATGTCTTAATTTTATATTTTGACTTTTTTTCTGATTTGGAAGATCATTATAAAGGTGAGAGAAAACAGCGTAAAAAAATTGCTCATAGCGTATTCAACAGATGATTATAATGATGACTTAATCAAGTATGCACAAATATCTTTATCATATGGAAACCCTGCCCGTAGAAGTTTGTAGCTGTGAAATTCTTAAGTTTGGGGCACAATGTTGTGTACTTACACTAATAGAGCTATATAACCGGGTCAAATTGTGGGTTGGTTTAAGAATTTCACAAGAGAAATGAATAGTTGTGGTTCTTTCCTTGTGTGTATGCGCTCATTAAGGCTGCTGGAATCCTCACAGCGTCTACTCGCTTTGCAGGACCTAATGGAGTACGTTTTTCAAATTTAAATTTTTATTAATTTCAATTTTATTTTATTTTGGAGACAGAGTCACCTTGGCTGAGTGCAGTGTTGCAGTCATAGCTCACTGCAGCCTTGTACTCCTGTGCCCAAGTGAGCCTCCCACCTCAGCCTATCCAGTACAGGTAGGACTACAGGCATGCATCATCACACATGGCTAATTTTTAAATTTTTTTGTAGAGACGATGGCTTGCCGTATTGGCCAGGCTGGTGTACAACTCCTGGGCTCAAGCCATCCTCCTTCCTGGGCCTCCCAAAGTGTAGGGATTACAGGCGTGAGCTCCTAGCCATGGAGTATATTTTGAAGACTGCCTTTGGCTTCATCTTGTTTTTTTAAAAATTGATTTCCCCTGATTTCTATATTATTGTTAAAAAGTAGTCCTGCATTATGTAAATTTATAGCTGTACAGTGCAGTTTAAAGTTGGTGAAAACTTTTCAATCTGCAAACTCATTAATTTCCAGGTCTGGTTAATTTATCCTTTAGGAAAAAAAAAATTGGATTTTGGAGAGAGAGAGGTGAGATTTGTAGATGCGTTGCTTTTGTATACCATCCACTTCTCTTTATATATTGTTGGATTTAATTTGGTGATATATTGTTGCTGATTTTTGTACCTTAGTTCATGAGGGAGAAGATGTATACATATTTGTCTGATTTTGGTATCAGGTTTATTTTGGCCTTTATAAAATATTTTAGGTGAGGATATAGCCCTGAGACATTATTTTATTTTATTGAGCATTTTAAGAAACACACTAAAATTCTTAATGAATTGCTCTTTAGGTCTGGTTCAGGCTATAAAACCTATTAAAATTCTCCAAAGCACATTGTTGAAAGCCCCTGATTTCTAGGGGAGGGAGGTGATGTTGGATGTGTTTTTATCGGAAGGAAGGATCTTTCCTTCTCTTTCCAATCCGTTTAAATTTAATCTCTCCCTGGGGATGCATCACAGATGCGTACACAACAGCCAGGAGTGAAGTACAAGGAACTCCTTGGACCATGGTCAGATTACTTTTCCGGCTCCTCCAGGAGACTGCTCGCTGCATAATGAAGTTAATTTGTGTGTGTAATTTCCTTAGTGGATTTTTAATTAAGTGGAAACTTTTGGGGCACTTGTCAGGTTCATTTACTGTAGGAGACCCTTCTATATTAAATCAAGTTCTACTATTTATAGATGTTTAGCTTCCATTTTACATGTAGAATCCTTCAAATTCTCACAACAATCCTTTTTTATAGCATCATATCTTATCTTATCTTTTTTTTTTTTTTTGAGATGGAGTCTTGCCCTGTTGCCCAGGCTGGAGTGCAGTGGTGTGATGTTGGCTCACTGCAACCTCCGCCTGCTGGGTTCAAGTGGTTCTCTTGCCTTAGCCTCCCGAGTAGCTGGGATTACAGGCACCCACCACCACGCCTGGCTAATTTTTGTATTTTTAGTAGAGACGGGGTTTCACTGTGTTGGCCAGGCTGGTTTTGAACTCCTGACCTCAAGTGATCCGCCCACCTCAACCTCCCAAAGTGCTAGGATTATAGGCATGAGCCTCCACGCCTGGCCAATAGCATCATATCTTTAAAAGCGTAGGCTGCATTCAGCATTTTAAGGATTTATATTCATAGTCACGCGCCGCTTAAGGAGGATTCATTCTGTGAAATGAGTTGTTAGGCAGTTTCATTGTGCGAGCATCATAGGGTGAACTTACACAAACCTAGGTTGCAGAGCCTACTGCACACCTCGGCTGTGTGGTCTAACCTGTTGCTCCTGGACTGCAAACCTGTACAGCCTGTTACTGTCCTGAATACTGCAGGCAGTTAGAACAGAGTGGTACATAGTTGTGTTTCTAAACATATCGGAACCTAGAAAAGGTACAGTAGAAATACGGTATTACAATCTTATGGGACCACTGTCTGTGTGCGGTCTGTTGTTGACTGAAATGTTATGCAGTACATGGCTGCATGAGATTAACTTGATAATTTTGCCTGATATGAAACCTAGAATATTACATTAAATATGAGAAACCATTTAAAAAACTAATGTACCTCCTGAAAATTTGGACTTTTTGACTGCTACATCTAGGTAATGAGAAACAAAAGGCAAGTACAGAAATGGTTGTATTCTGCTGGGCAATAAAAGCCTTTTACTGCTGCTTGGGATGACTTCATCCAAATTGGGAGCACTTAGAAATAGACAACAATGTGACATATTTACTGGAAACTGATTAGCAGCATTAGGACAAACACAAGTGTGTCAGTTTAAAGTGGAGAGTACTTTGAGGTGCATATTTTCCATTTTTATTATTCATCTGTTAGGGCACATTTCAGGGTTGAAGAGAGGTTTGGTGTTTTTTTTCCTGAAGTGCCCCTGCGTCATTGCAGTTCTGTGAAAGTATTCAAGATGTGGGACTAGCTGGCTGCTAATGTGACTATTTTTCTAAATTACAAAAACGTTCAGAAATGACATTTAGCGTCAGAATCCTTTAGATACTTTATTTGCTATTTAATGTACAGGCTTCCTGAAGAATATTTGTATGTATTTGAAGCAGTATATAATTTTGTCAAATATTCAAGAGCCTAAATTTGAGTGTTTTCTAAAAACAGTATTTTATTACATATGGTAAATTTGGTAAATTCTTAACTAGATAGAAAATAGAGAATAAAGGGCTTTTACTCTGTGTTTTTCTTGCCTACAGATTCATCATACATACTGTGAAGCCTCGAAATGCCTAGAGTCTAATAAATTAGACTTAATATACCTACTTGTTGATCCAGAATGCATTGCAAGGATCTTGTATTGTCTCCGGGTTGACATGTTGAATGTTGCTTGTCAGATATCGGGTGCTGAAAAGGCCTGTGCCCAGTATGTGGTAATGGTTGAGTCTGGAGGGGTTGGATGGAAGTGGTGTGTGTGTGTGTGTGTGTGTGTGTGTGGCGGAGGGAGGGGGTTGCATACTTGTGTTTCACCTGCGTGCGTGCGTGTGTGTGTGTGTGTGTGGTGGAGGGAGGGGGTTGCATACTTGTGTTTCACCTGCAGTAGGGAAACCTTTTCATTCTCCAGCAGGCCGGGGTTTCGTAACAGGGCTGGAGGAATGTTATTCTGGCAACAGTGTGTGTGATTGGGAATGGAGAGATGAGAGACCGGGAGCAGAAAGAAAACCTTAAAGGCTTCAAAGTGCCTATAAATCATTATGTATATAAACTTGGACTGTTTTTTTTGTTGTTGTCGTTCAAAAAAAAAATAAACATAGCAATCTCTCATTGCTGTGCTCAGACTTGCTTCAGTTAAATAAATTTTGACTACAGAGTACAAGGTGGTAGTTCTTTGTGCTTGCAGGTGTCAGCAGTCTGGAAGGACTGATGTACTTTGGGTCCTATGAGGCTTGCCCTGCCTGCAGGGAGAAGGCTAGAACACATTGTTTTAATGATGTCTGTCATGGCCAGCCTGAGAAATTGAGAAGATGCTGCATAAAACGTGGGAACGTGCAGTGCTTCCTGAGACCTGGGGAGCCTGGGCCAGAGCAAGCTTGTATGCCGCCAGTGGCAGCTGTTCCTTAGATAGGGTTCATGCTCTCAGGCTTGCAGGCACCCACTCATCCTGTCCCTCATTTACCTGCCTGGCTCCCATAGGCTTATGAGCTTGTGACTCTTGAGCCAAAGTCTTTAAACATATTGGAAGGATGGAATCCCCCACCACACAGGGTGCAGAGGGAATGGATGCTTTGTGGGCTCTAAGGATAGTGTAATGGTAAGAGCAGTGGTGCCTGTAGATCTTGTACTTCCCCTTTATTTTACAGGTTGGGGAATAGGCAGAGCTTTTATTTGTCTGAGCTTACCCAGCTGGTTATTGGCAAAGCAAAGACTGGACTTGATTCCCTGTCCACAGAAAAGGGTAGAAAGTTGCTGACAATAGAGGGCTCTGTGGTCAGAGGAGAAGTTCAGAGGTCTGTGCTCAGAAAGGAGAAAGTATAAAGATGTAATGCTGGCCTTTCCTTATACATATGAGACAGAAAAGACCCCCGCTCCCGCCTCCCCCCACTTTTTTTTTTGGAGATGGAGTTCACTCTTGCCGCCCAGACTGGAGTGCAGTGGTGCATTCTCAGTTCACTGTAGCCTCCACCTCCTAGGTTCAAGTGATTCTCCTCAGCCTCAGCCTCCTGAGTAGCTGGGACTACAGGTGCCTGTCACCACGCCCAGCTAATTGTGTATGTGTTTGTGTGTGTGTGTTTTGAGACAGGGTCTCACTCTGTCGCCCAGGCTGGAGTTCAGTGGCACAATCTTGGCTCACTGCAACCTCTGCCTCCTGGGCTCGAGCGATTCTGCCTCAGCCTCCCGAGTAGCTGGGATTATGGGTGTGTGCCACCACGCCTGGCTAATTTTTGTATTTTTAGTAGAGATGGGGTTTCACCATGTTGGCCAGGCTGGTCTCAAATTCCTGACCTCAGGTGATCCACCCTCCTTGGCCTTCCAAAGTGTTGGGATTACAGGCGTGAGCCACTGTGCCCGGCTAATTTTTTGTGTTTTTAATAGAGACACAGTTTCATCATGTTGACCACGCTGGTCTTGAACTCCTTAACTTAGGTGATTCACCCACCTCCCAAAGTGCTGGGGTTACAGGCATGAGCCATCGTGCCTGGCCAAAGCTTTTGTTTTAGTAAAACATGAACTCGATTTGTTCTAAGTATAAAAGTAGTTATAGCCAAGAGCTTTAGGAAGTTATATGGCATCTGTTGATGGTTAAAAGACATGTTAGGCAGAAATCCTTGTGGTGCTAATTGATTACCTTTACACTCCCTTAAGTCTGGAAAGAACTTTAACCAAATGGCATTCTAAAGACATGTATGCTTAGATACTGCAGTTATCTGTTACATGACTGAGAACGTGGGATTAAAAAAACAACAACACACAAACGCATTCACTCAAGACAGTAGAACTAGTCCACAGCAAGCAAATAATGTTTTAGGTGTAGTAAAGTATCTGCCTTTTTGCAAAGTAACTTTTGTTGTTCAGTTGCAGTCCTGGTGTTAGCTACCCAAGCTGGCTGGACATTGTGTCATCTGAGTTTCTTTCTAATTCACTTGTTCTTGGTTGGAGTGTTGTGTAGTTAGTAAAGCTCGCAGGTGTTTCTGATACAGCCAGGATTGAGAACCACCATGTATTCCCTCATTCCCTTTTGAGATAGATTGACACTAGATATTGTGCCCCCCCAAGGGTAGATTTTTACGATGAATAACACTACTCCTCACAGTTGAGGAAGTAGGGACTGTTGTGAAAATCCTGGCTTATCAGAATGGCAACGAATACTTAGCAGTGACTGAATGCCTTGAGCTATTCGGAGAGCTTGAAAAGTTTTGACTGGGCTGGGCGTGGTGGCTCACACCTGGAATCTTAGCACTTTGGGAGGCCGAGACAGGTGGATCACCTAGAGGCCAGGAGTTCAAGACCACCTTGGTCCAACATGGTGAAACCCCATCTCTACTAAAAATACAAAAATTAGCCAGGCGTAGTGGCAGGCATCTGTAACCCCAGCTACTCAGGAGGCTGAGGCAGGAGAATCGCTTGAACCTGGGAGTTGGAGCATGCAGTGAGCTGAGATCACGCCACTGCACTCCAGCCTGGGCGACAGAGTGAGACTCCGTCTCTCTCTCTCTCTCTCTCTGTCACACACACACACACACACACACACACACACACACACACACACACAAAGTTTTGACTCATTCAATCCTTTTAACAATTCTATGAGTAAGGGACTCTTGTTACTCACATTTCTCAGATGAGGGAAACGGGCAGAGAGAGGTTAAGTCATTTGCTCCAGCTATGTCCAGTCTTCACTGTTAATTCCTAGGCTCCATTGCTTGTACTGAATGAGCTGATGCTTCCTTCATATTTGTAACTAATCAGCTCACTGAGCGGATTTTAGAAGCTCTAGCATTTCTACTGCTCCAGCATTTGCTCCGCAGTTACGTTGTTGTCACTTGGGCTACAGCATCCAGTAGACTGATGTTCAGGGCTCTCCTGCAGACTGCTGCTGCCCGTGGTAGCACAGCCCAGCTGACTTGACCTATCCCCAGAGCTCTTCTTCACCTCTACACCCCTGCCTTTGTCCTGAGTTAATAATATAACATAACAGTAAAAACAAAAATATTTTGTGGTCAGTTTTCTAGTTACTGGGTTTAATGACAACTAGCCAGTTTAGCTTATATATATTCACTATAGTATTTCCTTTAGTTCTATGTGCTATGTTTACTGTGATCATAGTAAAATTATTTTAAATACTTGATTGGGATTAGAACAGGGCAGCCTCTTATATATAACTTAATTTTTTTACTAGCAAGTTTAGAAATTTACCAGCAAGTTTATAATTTTTTCTAGCCAATGTATGAGCTTATAAACAAAACAAAAAACTCTTTAGTTATGTAAGAGAACTGAAGGGAAATTACAGTGCTATCTTCACCACTGCAAGAGGGTAGGTGCTTGTATAAGCTTTTAAAAATGGGCATGACTTGCAAGGCTATTTTAGTTGCATGGAGAAAGCCATAGATCACAATGCAGTTTCCAACCATACTGCATTGACTTAAAAAAAAATACCCTGAGAGATAAATAATTAAACAATATGGGATGCATTTCATAGAATCTTCAGGATTACATGCTTATTTTCTCACGAACACTGAGTTTATTTGAATTTTGGATTATGTATATACTGTCCCTGTGCTCCATACGAAGTTTCCATTAAGAATGTGTTCTTGCTTTAATGATGTGCACTCCTGTTTCCCTCTGCAGTGAACAGGAATTACCAAGCTTGTGCTCGTTGAGTGCTCTCTGCTGGTGGCTTTGGGTTTTAATATCAGTAACAGATCCACCAGTGAAGTGTAGACGAGAACTCAAACTGGAAAGTGAAAGGAGCCCAGCTCCCAGCCTGCGGCACCCTTCCACTGTGAGCCCAGAGTGCGATTACAGATGTCCCCTAAAGAAGTGCCCCCATCCCTGGTCCTGCATCCCTGCGGTGTGCTCAAGCCTGCAGTTCCTCCGCTGCATCGCCGTGATCAATACTTGAGCATATTTTAAAACACAGTGTACTAGAATGATGCCAGATTTATGAAGTGATTGAGCTTTTTCCCTAGGCGGGGAACAAGCTGTGGAAAATGGGAAGTTTAAAAGTCTTCTGACATCATAAAGCTGAGATTAATTACTATGATCTGATTGATATCTAATACATTTTGGTTTTTCAAACAGAGTTTGAAATAATTGGTGATATGAGCTCAAAGAAGTTTATGATCTTATCAGAGGTGACCTTAAAATTTGGGGAGTCAGAAACAGAAGTCAAAGGCACTATGCTTCTTTAAGGAAAAAAGCAATCAGAAATGCATAATAAACATAGTGACTTTGCTTCTGTGTGTCTCTCTGGCTGTTTCAGCCATCATTGGTGGCCTTTTTCTCGTATGATTTTACTGGATACATGTAAATCAAAGGCATCCTCTAACCTTTCAAGTCAATATATGATTTCTTTTTTGTCCCCCAGACAGAGCCTCGCTCTGTTGCCCAGGCCTCCTAGGTTCTCCTGCCGCAGCCTCCCAAGTAGCTGGGATTACAGGCATGTGCCACCATGCTTGGCTAATTTTTATATTTTTAGTAGAGACAGGGTTCTTGCCGTGTTGGCCAGGCTGGTCTTGAACTCCTGAGCTCAGGTGATCTCCCACCTCAGCCTCCCAAAGTGCTGGAATTATAGGTGTAAGCCACCGTGCCTGGCCAATATATATATTTTTGTAAAAATATGCTTTCATTAGGGAAAATTTCAAATATACTACAATTGTTAAGAGAATAACATACCTCCATGTACCTGTCACCCAACTTCAGCAATTCACATTTTTGGCCAATCTTGTTTCTTCTGTACCCTCGCACTATTTCCATTCCATCATTTTGAAATAAATCTTAGATATCAGATAGTTACACTGGTAAATATTTCATCATGTTCAATATATGTATTTGTCAAAAAGGAATATTAAACTAATATCCTGCCTTCTGCCTCACTTTCTAAAGAAGATACTGTGTTTTGAAAGGTGGCTTACAAAATGCTTTGTGATATTCTAAATGCTGAGGCAAAATATATGAAGTTAAATGTTTTTGAGATGAAGGCTGTCAACAGCTTTCGGAGCATAGGCAAGAAGATTGTGGGGCAAGTGTGCGCAGGAAGTGTGAGGCCCAAAGTGTCCTGCCCTGGAGAGTGAGACGGAACATCCCCAGGGAGTACCGTGCTGAACATCAAGCCTGATCTTACCCTGCTGTCACAGGAGATTAAGTGGCCAGGCTGGTTCTTCAGTCCTCATTTCTCAAAACACATACATGGATGTTTTCTATGATTATAGTTTATAGTGACCTTGTGCAGAAGCATTGAGCCAGTTTATTATTAAAACTTGGACTAGGTAAACTATAATTTGATTTCTGTACAGGCGATAACCACTGGAGATAGCAAGAGTGAATGACAGTGTGGTGACGGGCAAATCTTATTTGTTACTGTTTAGACAATCTATATATACATAGATAAACAGTCTATATATATACATAAAACAACAGTATATATATAAAAATATATAAATATATGTCTCAAAAATATATATTTTGAGACAGGATCTCACTTTATCACAAGGCTGGAGTGCAGTGGCACCATCATGTCTCACTGCAGCCTTGAACTCCCTGGGCTCAGGTGGTCCTCCTACCTTAGCCTCTGGAGTAGCTGGGACTACAGGCACGTGGCGCCATGCCTGGCTAATTTTTGTGTTTTTTATTATTATATTTTTTTAGAGATGGGATCTCACCATGTTGCCCAGGCTGGTCTTGAACTCCTGGACTCAAGCGATCTGCCTGGTTTGGCCTCCCAAAGCTCTAGGATTACAGGCGTGAGCCACTGCACCCAGCCTGTTTAGACAATATTAAAGCCATTGTTTTTCTAGTGTTAGAGTTTGTATGTTATAATTTAGTACATGCTTAATTGAAGGTATTGGTGTAACCCCAAAATATATATTTTTCACATAACTCAGATTAGCAGTGGTATTTAGTGCTTTAGTTATATCTTCCAGCAGATAACTGAATGGATCTCACTTTATTTTTATCATAATTGGTGAGAGCTGGGAATCTTATGTCTCCAGGAGATGGCTGTACAGGAACTGTGTGTGATTCGCAATGTGGAAGAGCAGGGTCTTGCTCCCTTGGGAACCCTGCAAGTAGTTGAGCCCCCTGGTCACTCAGCTTATCACTGTGGATGCTGGGCACTCCTGGGGGATGCTCTGGAGCCCCTCTCAGGGTATTGCCTTTTCGCTGGCTATGGGGTTGGAGGAGAGGGTCAGACTCCTTCCCTGCCCTCAGCTTGCCGGCTGCCCAGGCACACCCTGTGTGCAGCTTCAGCATTCCTGTGGCATTGGTCTCTGTGGTTTTTCTTCTTTTCACATAGCTTACTTTACGCCCTGTTCGCTCCACAACTCTTTTCAAAGACAGGATGGAGGTACAGGAAGGAAATAACTTAATTTGAATATTAAAATTCTGTTAATTTTAGAATGCAGTCTCTTCAGTTCTGGAATTGATTTCTTTTGGTTGCTGTTGGTCTTTGTAAGGAGCGTAACATTGCTTAAGATTTATATATAACCGAGTCATTTTCTGTCTCTGTATCATATTCCTTTAGGTAAGCTTTTTCAAAGTTACTTTGAATAGTTGATATAGATTTAGAACAAACGAGTCACCATTCTCAGGATACTTCTATTGCCTTTCTGGAATAATGCAGCTCATTGTTCTGCCAAGTATCCTCTAATCAGCCTGAAAAGTGTTTTCTTTTATTTCATCATGACATTGGGCCTTTTAATTGAGAGTGAAAATCATTAAAGGCAAATTATTTTGTGTAAATTATGGTAGATTTAGCCTTACTACATAATTTTGGAATGTTTTTATGATTGGTTGTGTATGCTCTGGCAGATGTCTTTATCATGACTTATTTTAGGTGGGTTAAGAATTCTTTTTTTTTTTGGAGACAGAGTTTCGCTCTTGTTGCCCAGGCTGGAGTGCAATGGCGCGATCTTGGCTCACTGCAACCTCCGCCTCCCTAGTTCAAGTGATTCTCCTGCCTCAGCCTCCCAAGTAGCTGGGATTACAGGCATGTGCTACCACGCCCGGCTAATTTTGTATTTTTAGTAGAGACAAGATTTCTCCTTGTTGGTCAGGCTGGTCTTGAACTCCTGACCTCAGGTGATCCGCCCGCTTCAGCCTCCCAAAGTGCTGAGATTATAGGCCTGAGCCAATGCACCTGGCTAGAATTCTTGGCATAGTACACAGTGGCATTATTTCCAAGGCTTTTTTTTTTTTTTTTTTTTTTTTTTGACAGAGCCTTGCTCTGTTGCCCAGGCTATAGTGCAGTGGTATGATCTCAGCTCACTGCAACCTCTACCTCCTGGTTTCAAGCAATTCTTCTGCCTCAGAGAATCAAACAGTTGTCCTCCCAAGTAGCTGAGATTACAGGCACCCACCACCACACCTGGCTAATTTTTTGTATTTTTAATAGAGACAGGGTTTCGCCATGTTGGCCAGGCTAGTCTTGAACGCCTGACACTCAGGCGATCCACCTGCCTGGGCCTCCCAAACTAGTGGGATTACAGGCATGAGCCGCCGTGCCCGTTTGCAAATTTTTAAAAGTAAAAAAGCAAAACAAACCCACATGTCAGTGTTTCAGTATTTACTTCAGGGGGAAATTGTATCCTAACATACCCTGCACCATAAGCTGAAATTTCAGTGCCAATTCCATTGCTTGTGTGTCCATCCAAAATAAAGACAAGTTTTTGCAGGAATGTCAGATGACTGTGGGACAGGCCTAGACAGGAACAAAACTGGAGGCTTCGCATCAAAACAAACACCCACCTAACCACATGGGTTTTGCCCTGTGAGTTGTTTGTCATCCTAGATTTTCAGCAAGAATGGGCTTTAGTACCATATTTCACATATGAGGAGGTGCTAATTTTGTTAATCATATCACATTGGTAATATTCATCACTACATTGTAATATGAAAGTTGAAAGTCTTGAACTTAAAGTTCATAAATTCATTGCCCAAATCTCTGGTTGGCTTTAAATGTCCTTTTGGAGGGGAGAAGGAAAGAGGGGCATGGTTTGAGGGTTATACTGAAATAATCTGCTTGCTGTATGATATCGAGCAGGTCTAACTAAAAAGGTAGGTGGTGGTTTCTCTTGCATGCATACAAACATGTTTCTGGCCCCAGTTGTCAAACGAGTTTTGTGTTTTCCTTGTCTAGTCTTGTTGACCTGCTATTTATTTTAGTCTTTTGATAAACAGGAAGTGTTGCTGCACTGCACTCAGGAATGTATTAAGTAACTATTAATATTAAACAAGATTGGAGGGATGAGAAGGGATTTAACTTAAAGTAGAGGGAGGATATAAGAAAATGAAATAATCCTTAAAATTTTAGAATTAAAATTTATTTGGGGCCTTTTGAAATGCTTTTTTTCCCTTGAAACCTCAAATTCTGGATTTACATTTGATGTTTCTGTTGGTGGTATATTACATTGCTTTAAGGTTGTTTAGAACAAACGTCACAATTAATGATGACATGAAGGTTAGGATTCGAGCACTAGCTTTTTTCAGACAGGTCTAAAAAGGGCTCTGCCCTAGTCTATCCCTAGCAGAGATGTTACATGTGCCTGGCTCAATTCAACGTATCAGTATATTGTGGGGAGAAAGGATGAATAAGGACAACACCACAAGTTGTGATGGAGTGTATTGTTTCTAGGCTGTTTCCCTGGTTGTTCCAATACACCATGCATTTTTTTAAAATTTATTTTTTATTTTTATTTTTTTTTGAGTCTCGCTCTTGTCCCCCAGGCTTGAGTGCAGTGGCTCAATCTCGGCTCACTGCAACCTGCTCCTTCCGGGTTCAAACAATTCTCCTGCCTCTGCCTCCCAAGTAGCTGGGATTAAGGCACCTGCCACCACGCCCGGCTAATTTTTGTATTTTTTAGTAGAGACAGGGTTTCACCATGTTGGTCAGGCTGGTCTCGAACTCCTGACCTCAGGTGATCCGCCTACCTCGGCCTCCCGAAGTGCTGGGATTACAGGCGTGAGCCACCGTGCCCGGCCAATTTATTTTTATTTTTGAGATAGAGTAGAGTCTTGTCGTGTTGCCCAGGCTGGAGTACAGTGGTGTGATCACAGCTCACTGCATCCTTGGTCTCCTAGGCTCAAGCAATCCTCCAGCCTCAGCCTCTCAGTAGCTGCGACTACAGGCATGCACCACCATGCCTGGCTGATTATGTTGCCTTTTGTGGAGACGTGGTCTCACTTTGTTGCCCAAGCTGGTCTTGAACTCCTGGGTTCAAGCAATCCTCTGGCCTCGGCCTCCCACAGTGCTGGGATTACAGGTGTGAGCCACTGTGCCCAGCCTCACTGTGCATGTTTTGACCTCCTCACCTTTGTCCTAAGATTTCTCCTGATTGAAAATAAATGACCATTTCTTCATGAAGCGTTCTTTGTCTTTAGTGTTTTCTGTATTTTCTCAATTCATGTACTGCTTGGTTGGCAGTTACAATTTCCATAACTGAGTATTGTTAGTGACCTTTTCATATACCTATGGCTTGCCTCCCAAAATTGATTTTTTTTTTTTTTTTTTTTGAGATGGAGTCTCTGTTACCCAGGCTGGAGTGCAGTGGCACCATCTTGGCTCACTGCAGCCTCCTCCTCCCAGGCTCAAGCAATTCACCTGCCTCAGCCTCCCAAGTAGCTGGGATTACAGGCATGCACCACCATGCCCAACTAATTTTTTGTATTTTAGTAGAGACAGGGCTTTACCATGTTGCCCAGGGTGGTCTCGAACTCCTGAGCTCAGACAGTCCACCCATCTCGGCCTCCCAGAGTGCTGGGATTACAGGCGTGAGCCACCACGCTTGGCCCCGAAATTAATATTTAAGTGTTGTAGAACAGGGGTTTTATTATAGATTTGGCTGTACCGCTGTTATTGCATAACACAATTATTTTCAGACTGGGTGTTTGGTTCTTAATTCACTGGTGGTGTGCACCATGCCATCCTGCCATCCCCAGCTGCTGTCAGAGTACATGGTAAATATAGAAATGTGTCCAGTCAGTAGTAGCCACGTGGACGCTCTTCTCCATATTTGACTTTTCTTGCTCTTAGAAGGCTTTTCCAGTAATCTGCGTGGGACCGTGACTTTGCTTGCTTATGGTGTTTCCAGCACCTCCACCAGACTCTCAGGGTTTGGAAAGCTGTTCTGGGTGAATGGTGTCTACAGAACTTTGAACTCTGCGATTGCAGGGGAACATGCTTATAAATGCGTGTTTAATACAGAATGTTGTAGAGGAGATTAGGTACTTTTAATTTTGTATTATGGGTTGTTTTCAAGATCTAATTATGTGTTGGTAGGAATGGCTGTTTTATTTCTACTTGTGGGAAAAAGGCTGCCTGGAGTTTGTTTAATTTTTCTGATATAGCATCATAGACTGGTAGAGCAATATAGGAACCCCAGAGACCATCCAACTCCCTCATTTCTATACAAAAGGACTTGGGTGCCCACAAAGAGGAAATGACTTGTGCAGTTTCAGGCCACTTAACCACAGAGTCATTTTATTGTCCTTTTTGTGGCTACTGATAGATAAGGCTTGCACTCACTAGATGCCCTTGTCATCAAGGCCCAGGTCACCAGCTGCACACAATTTATCTGTATGTCTTTAAAGCAGGGGGGTCCAATCTTTTGGTATCCCCGGGCCACACTGGAAGAAGTGGTGTTATCTTGGACCACACATAAAATACACTAACAATATCTGATGAGGTAAAACAAAAATTGCAAAAAAAAATCTGATATTATTTTGAGAAAGTTTATGAATATGTGTTGGGCCACATTCAAAGCCATCCTGAGGCTGGGTGCAGTGGCTCACACCTGTAATCCCAGCACTTTGGGAGGCCGAGGCAGGTGCATCACCTGAGGTTGGCAGTGCGAGACCAACCTGACCAACATGGAGAAACCCTGTCCCTACTAAAAATACAAAATTAGCCGGGGGTGGTGGCGCATGCCTGTAATCCCAGCTACTCGGGAGGCTGAGGCAGGAGAATCGCTTGAACCCAGGAGGCAGAGGTTGCAGTGAGCCAAGATTGCACCATTGCACTCTAGCCTAGGCAACAAGAGCAAAACTCTGTCTCAAAAAAAAAAAAAAAAAAAAAAAAGAAAAGCCATCCTGGGCCACACGTAGCCCATGGGGCTGCAGGTTGGACAAGCTTGCTTTCAAGCTTCACAACCTACTCTGCTCTTTTGTCCCCTCCTCCCATCTGATAAGTTTATAGTTACAAGTTTTATTGTTGTTTGAGGTAGTCCATTTCACACTTTAATTACTAGTTGTGTAATTATGTTTTGCCTGAGTTCCCATACAGCTAATTTGTTTCCATGCTTCCATGCAGGATTTTATCAGAAACTTTAAAGTATCCTAGGGAATATTACCAGTGCAGACTAGTTGTATTTGTGCTTGATGTATTCTCTGTTTTAATGCATTGTGTTAAACTTCCTTTTTCTGAGACACCATGTACCATAATTTCTTAAATAAACTGAAGGCACACGCATTACATTTCAAATGTCTCATAAGGGAATATAGGAACAGAGAACTAACCATGTATGTAAGGAATTATGAATTTTATGGAATTAATGTATAAAATCTCTTTTATGTGTATTTTATAAGGTGTCTTGGAGCCCGTACTTTAAAATTCTCCTATTTTAAATGGATGTCTGTATTTGAAACTGACCAGATGGCCTAGATAAAGTCTTGAGTCATAATATTAGGGCCTTTCAGAAAAATCTAAGTGCCAGTAGATTTTCAAACAAAATAGGTTAGCAAGGGAATAGAAATTGATCTTTGGCTTGAAATAACCAGTAACAGACTTCAGTGAATGTTTTGTGGTGTGAGGGCTATGTTTAAGAGGGAGCTCTAGTTGATTCGTATGCTAGACCACAGATTCTAGGAGGGTGGGACCCATTCATTGCGATGACCCTGCATCTTGTTCCGTGCCTGCCACATGGTAGATGCTTCGTGAATATTTGTGGAATGAATGCATACTGTGGCCTATGGGACTCACCATGGTGATAAACGGTAAAACATGCACATCTTCAAGACGTCATTTTAAGTGCTTTGGGGGGACTGGGCATAAGATAAAAGTAGGATTGAAGATGGTTGTCTTGCAGAGATACATTTCAGCCAGGAACTGAAATGTGGGTAAGATTTCCGCAAGGGAAGGGGTAGGGATGGCTTTCCAGGAGGTATAGACAAGCAGATAACAAGTTTGAGCAACAGGAAGATCCTGTGGACTTCATGGCTTGTATCTTGTCATATATGAAGGTACATCCCCTGTGTGTATGGCTCAGTCCATGCTCATATTCTTTCCTCAAAGTTGATGCACAGGGCCGGGTGCAGTCCTCAGCACTTTGGGAATCCGAGGCAGGAGGATCACTTGAGTCCAGGAGTTGGAGACCAGCCTGGGCAACACAGCGAGACCTTGTCTCTACAAAAAATTTAAAAATGTGCTGGGCGTGGTGGTGTGTACCTGTAATCTCAGCTACTTGGAAGGCTGAGGCAGGTGGGTTGCTTGAGGCCAGGAGTTCAAGGCTGCAGTGAGCTATGATAGCACCACTGTGCTCCAGCCTGGGTGACAGAGCGAGACCTTGTCTCTTAAAAAAAAAAAAAAAAAGGTTAGGCTAGGTGTGGTGGCTTACGCCTGTAATCCCAGCACTTTGGGAGGCTGAGGTGGGTGTATCATGAGGTCAAGAGATGGAAAGCATCCTGGCCAACATGGTGAGACGCCGTCTCTACAAAAAATACAAAATTAGCTGGCTGTGGTGGTGCGTGCCTATAGTCCCAGCTATTCGGGAGGCTGAGGCAGGAGAATCACTTGAACTCGGGAGGCGGAGGTTGCAGTGAACCAAGAATGCACCACTGCCCTCCAGCCTGGGTGACAGAGTGAGACTCCATCTCCAAAAAAAAAAAAAAAATTTTGATGTGTGTTCTTTGCTTACAAAGATGTCTGTGGTAATGAGACTCAGGAGCACCCTGTGATCTTATGGAAATCTTTTGAAGATACCATCATAGATCCCTCCCTTGGCCAAGAGTAGGAGTATCCTGCAAGGAGATGGGAACTCCACCTCAGACATCAGCAATCCTGAGGAGACATTGGGAACAGGCCCCTCCGTCCTTAGATCACAAGTGGCTGTGATCTAAGCTGTGCCGTGGTATGGCATCCACCCCTTAGGGGCCACACTTAGGATGTTGGGGTGCTGTGGCACTTTAACTTGGACCCCACGCAGTGTGGGGTGTGCTGGATTTAAGTACAGATGCCACGAGGTGCAGTTGGATAACTGTTTGTCCATAGCTCCAAAGAGGAAATCAGAGGTAGGTGCAAGGCCTTCATCAGGGTTCATTTATTCCTAATAATAGTCTACTCTGTTATATTCATGTAGGAGTATTTCTTCTGATGCAGTTGGGTTTCATATAGCCAGGTGTAAGGAATTAATCTTTATGTTGAAGTCATTTGGGAGCCTTTCTTTGTGAAAAATCAGGTCATTTTTGGATTAAGTAATGTGACAGGGAAGTGGGGAGCTACTTCGGGGTCAAGTTTTTGTTTAGGATTCAGAGCCATTTGGAATTTATCATGTTTCAGTGAGGCTTTTCTTTCCAGGTCAGAAAAATTCCTTTTGGTCTGAGTCAACATCTCTTGTTTGCTAGGGAGAAGTAAACAGGAGAGGGTAGATCTTTCTTCTCTTAGGCTGGATGAGTAACCTTAAAGTTCTTCCAGGTTGGTTGTTTTGGATTATTTCTTTTATAAATAGTAGAGAAATATTCAACATTTTAGTTAGTTTTTAAAATACCACCCAATATTATAGTTACCAGGCCTCAGAGGAGGTAACCTCTCCAGAGGAGAGGCAGGAGATCTCTGCCTGGAGATGTCCGTGACCCTATTTTATGTTTATGGGTTGTTTTTGTTTCCTTTTTCTTTTCCTTTTTTGAGACAGGGTCTCTCTTTGTCACCCAGGCTGGAGTGCATTGATGCGATAATAGCTTACTGCAGCCTTGACCTCCTGGGCTCAAGCGATCCTCCTACCTCAGCCTCCTGAGCAGCTGGGACTACAGGTGCAGAACACCACGCCTGACTAATTTTATTTTTAATTTTTTTGGTGGGATTGAGATTTTGCTGTGTTGCCCAGGCTGGTTTTGAACTCCTGGCCTCAAGCAACCCTCCCGCCTTGGCCTCCCAAAGTGTTCTGGGATTACAGGTGTGAGCCACCGCACCTGGCCTGGTTGTTCTTTCTACAGCTTTGAATCTAGCACTGCCTGGAGTATGGAATGGAATGCGTCTTAGATTGTTTATCTGTGATAGGCAAAGTGGTGCAAAGTGTGACTTCTTCATAGTGAAATTAGTCTAGCATATTACCTGGTGGATGATACAGCTTTCACTATTCCATTTTTTTTTCTGTTCTAAGAAGAAAAGGTTTTTATTTTAAAATTTATTTTATTTTTAAAAATAATTTCCACTTTTAATTAATTAATTAATTTATTTTTGAGATGGAGTCTCACTCTGTCACCTAGGCTGGAGTGCAGTGGTGCAATCTCGGCTCACCACAACCTCCACCTCTTAGGTTCAAGTGATTCTCCTGCCTCAGCCTCCCAAGTAGTTGGGATTACAGGTGCCTGCCACCATGCCCGGCTAATTTATTTTTGTATTTTAGTAGAGACGGGGTTTCACCATGTTGGCCAGGCTGGTCTCGAGCTCCTGACTTAAAGCGATCTGCCTGCCTTGGCCTCCCAAAGTGCTGTGATTACAGGCATGAGCCACTGCGCCCGGCCTCAGCTTTTATTTTAGATTCAGGGATACTTGTGCAGGTTTGTTAATGGGTATATTGCATGATGCTGAGGTTTGGGGTACGATTGATTCCATCACCCAGGTAGTGAGCATAGTACCCAATACCTTTTCAACCATCTCCTCACCCTCCCTTCTCCATCTAGTAGTCCCCAGTGTTTATTGTTGCCATCTTTATGTCCATGTGTACCCCCTTAAAAAAGGCCTTTTATCTTGGGTGTTGCGACAGTGTCTCCCTTCCTAATGTGTCACCTTGGCAAACTTCTTGGAAGAATCAGTGTGTCCTAAAGGGAAAATGTGGATTTCCAGGTTAGCGTCTGAGCCTAAGCTATGCTTGACTGTGACATTATGTGGTGTTGATCTCAGGCAAGTCAAGTGTCCTATTCCTTAGTCTCTTCTTCTACAAAATACAGTTGAAAACATTGATCTTGCAGGATTGTCACATGGAAAAGCAGGTGTCATGTCAGAAGTGCTCTGTAATCAGAGTGAGGGTGAAGGAATGGAATGGATTAGGAGGTGGGCGCAGCACCAGGTGCCTGCTTTCATGGTGCTGATGGTTGTGAAGCTTGCAGATACAGATTTGAGTTCTGGAGCAGAATATCCTGTAGCTACGTCCACACTGTGGTTTAGGGACTTAGGCTTGGATTATTCCATATTCACTACCTTCCCTCAGTAAAGCCTTCTGTTTTCTGTCTACCAGTTCATCAGGTAACAATACTACCCACTGTTCGTACCCTTCCACACTCTTAGATCCATCGGGACTAGAGTGAGGAGAACTGGGTTGGCCAAGGTGAGTTTTGGCTTGCCCTCTTTTTTCTGGGGTATGAGTAAGATATTTATCGGGGCTTAAGCTCACTTCTTCTGCCTAAGATTCCTGGCCAGTCACACTGGGGACCCACCTCTGCAGGTGAGGACGAAGGTATTCATATTGCAAGTTGGGTTCGTTTTCATTGCAAGGGAAGAGTGTCTGGATGTCTTCTTTCCCCACATCTGAAATGTTTCCTGGAATGTAAACTAGAATAATCACACAGCATTTCTTGAGCCAGCTCTGAGGGACAGGATAAAGGGTGAATGGGGGCGTTGATCCTGACATGGCCTGGCATGTCCACGCATTTCTTTTGGCAGCTAGGAGAGCATAGGCCTGTGTTTGTTGATTATATTCTCCTAGAAACTCTTGTGTAAGTTCTTTCCTATACCCAATAGGGGTATTATTTTTATTTTTTTCTGGGACACACTAGTTATGCAACACAGTGCTTTGTTTGTTCTATGCTAAAAAAAGCTGAAGATGGCCCCTGCCTTTGGAGACCTTATCTAGAGTAAAAAAATTACCATGCATATACAGGAAATAGGCTATTAAGTGACAAATGTGTTCTAGGTAAATATTTATTTATTTTGAGACAGAGTCTCGCCCTGTGCCCAGGCTGGAGTGCAGTGGCACCGTCTTGGCTCACTGCAGCCTTCACCTCCTGGGTTCAAGGGATTCTTCTGCCTCAGCCTCCCGAGTAGCTGGGATTACAGATGCCCATCACCACGCCCAGCTAGCTTTTTGTATTTTTAGTAGAGGTGGGGTTTCACCATGTTGGCCAGGCTGGTATCAAACTCCTGACCTCAAGTGATCCACCCGTCTTGGCCTCCCAAAGTGCTGGGATTATAGGTGTGAGCCACTGCACCTGGCCTAGGTAAATACTTCAGAGTTGGAGCACATTTCATGGAGGGGGAGTTTTTGTTTTTACTTTTTTTTAGGGGTTTGGGTGTGTTACCCAGGCTGGAGTGTGGCAATGCAATCTTAGTTCATCAGCTGCCTTGAATTTTTGGGCTCAAGTGATCCTCCTGCCTCAGTCTCCGGAATACCTGGGACTACAGGTGTGCACCGTGACACCTGGCTAATTTTTAATTGCTTTATAGAGATGGAGTCTTGCTATGTTGACCAGGCTGGTCTTGAATTCCTGGCATCGAGTGATGCTCCTGCCCTGGCTTCCTGGAGTGCTGAGGTTATGCGTGCCAGTTACTGTGTCCGGCCAAGGGGATGGTTTATAAACTGGATTTGGGAAGATACATACAATTTGGGTAGTTGGAACTCTGGGGGTGAAAGCTTTGCAGATATGTGGAAGAGAATAAACAAAAACATAAGGGTCTCTTCACTTGACCAGTATTTATTGAGCATCTTCTCTGTCTCAGACACTGTTTTGGGTGCTTGGGGTTTATCAGTGAACAGAACAATTGAACATCGAAATACGGTGAGGCAACGCTGAGGCTGGTCACAAACCGGCTTGGGATGAGCTTTGAGTGCTTGGCCAAGAACACTGGATTTTGACTTTTAGAAAGTAGTGAGTCATTGGAAATGACTCATATTACAGGACAGTCACATGATAAAGGGAATATTTTGTGAAGATAAATGTAGCAAGATGTGGCACAGGATTGAAGAGATGGGGTCTAGAAGTGAATTGGACAGTCATTTTATTGGGAACAGGAGAGGAAGAGATGGGAAAGAAAGAAATGTATTCACTAGTTATTTAAGAGGATAAATATTTAAAACTGCACGTATATATTTATTATGGAATGCCAGGAAATATAGACAAGCACTGCCAGTTGTGCATAGCAGTTCTTTTGTCTATGGCTGTAGATAATACATTCTTCAAACTAGGGATGAAACAAAGTCTTATGTAACAGTCGGTGAACAACATTGTGAATTGCTCTGTTGTGTTTAATTGATTGAATGTGTTCAACCTGTTTCCTGTTTTTACGTGTATAGCTAGTTCCCATTCTCTATTGTTATATATTAAAATATCCCATTTAATATATGCATCTTGGCTATGTATCTTCCTCCACATTTTAAATTTCTGGATCAATGGGTATATTTCATTTTAAGCATTTTGATGCGTGGTACCAAATTCTAGCTCCCTGTCCCCCCGCCTCTCCAAAAATGTGTGCAAAATACTCAGGCGCAGTGTGTGAGAATGCTGGCTTCCTGTATTCTCATGAACCCTGGGTCATTAAATTTGTTTAAAATTAATTTGGTTTCCCAATTTGTTATGAAAAACTCAAATAGTAGCTGAGAGAATCATACAAAGCACAGCTGTGTCAGTTGACCTCTGGTTGGGTTTGGCCAGTGGGAGGTTTGGTGGGAGATAGGAGGCCCCGGGATGACATAGCCCCAAAGTAGTTCCCTTCTCCCTCTCTGTTTTGGGCTGTGTCTCTGCAGCAAACAAGTCTCTCCCCAAATTCCAGCTCCTGCCCCTGAGTCCTCCATGGCTCCCACTTCCGCCACCCTGGGCTCTGGTGCTACCTCCCCTTATCCCCTCAGCCCAGGGGTAGTCATAGCTTCCTGCTACTGCTAACCTGTGTGTGGCCCCCGCCTCCACCACCATCCTGGTTTAGAGTCACGACTCTTCTTACAAATCTTTGTACCAGTTCCTTGTATTAACTTCCCTCTCTTTAAAATACTTGAGATGATTTGCATTTTCCTGTTCGCACTCCTAATAATACATATTTATTCCTGCGTGTGTGTATACAGGTGGAGCATCTGTTATCTGAAAATATGAAATGCTCCCAAATTGGAACTTTTTGAGCCCTGACATGATACCACAAGTGGAAAATTCCACACATAAGTACTTAACACAAACTTGGACTTAATACAAACTTGGTTTCGTGTAAAAAATTATTTAAAATATTGTATAAAATTACCTTCTGGTTATGTGTATAAGGCATATTTGAAACATAAATGACTTTTTTTGTTTAAATTTGGGTCCCATCTTCGAGAAATCTCATGTGCATGTAAATATTCCAAAATCTGAAAAAAATGGAAATCTGAAACACTTTTGGTCCCAAGCATTTTGGGTTAGGGGTTCTCACCTGTATGTTTATATGTATATGTACATGTGCACATGTACATATATGTGTACGTGTGTATTTTTTTGCACTATTTGCAGACATGGCACTTTAAATACTTCAGAACACAACTCCTTAGAATAAGGGTGTTTCCTTAAATATCCACAAAGCTATTATCACATGGACAATTAAGAATCATTTCCTAATATTATCTCATATTGAGCTCATATTAAAATTTCCCTCATTGTTCCCAAGATGTCTTCTACAGTGACTTCTTTTTTAAACCCAGCAAGGACCCAAACACCACTCACACCTTGAATTTGGATATTCCTCCTTAATCTTTTTGATCTAGAAAAGTCCCCAGGTTATTTTTTTAATGACATATTTTTAACGTTTTCTCTTGAAAAATTTCTAATGTACACTTTAGTGAAATGCACCACTGATACTTTAGATTCACCAGTTGTTTACATTTGCTACGTTGTTTTTCTATCTCTATAAACATAAAGATACACATTAGTAATAGTATGCATTTTTTTGTCCTGAACCATTTGAGACTAAAGTACAGATATTATAACACTTCTCACCCTTATTACTTAAGCATACATTTCCTCAAAAAATGACTGTTCGTTGTATAACTAGTACAATGATCACATTCAGAAAACTTACCAATGTATCATTCCATTACCTAACTTAATTTGACAAATTTCTTCAGTTGTCCTTTCCTTTTTCATAGTACTTTTTCTTTCCAGATGCAGTATCCACTCCAGGATCATACATTGCACTTAGATATCAGACGAAGTGGACTTTTTTTTTTTTTTCCTTTAAAGATCAGTGCAATTGCGTTGTAAAGACAAGACAAAAAACAAAGAAAAACTCATATTCTGGATTTGTCTGATTGTTTCCTTATGGTATTGTTTACCTTGGTTCTCTATCCCCTGTATTTCCTGTAAAGAAGAAGTGAGGCTATGTTTTGATTAGGTTCAATCAGGAGGATGCTGCTATCAGTAGGAATGAAGAAGGCAGGAAGTTGGTGTTAGAGGGAAGATAAGGAATATAAGCTTTATCTATTTGAAGTAAAATAGGACTCCATAAAAACATTGTCCAGTCATAAGTAATTCCCAAATGGGTATTCTTTTGTTTGTTGCATAAAAATTTCCTGGCAGGCTTTTAAAACAAGCTCCTTGGAGGATTCAGACTGCTCCCAGGGTGAGGTGCAGTGAGAGGTGGATGTTTGAAGTGGGAGTGCTGGGAGGGTTCTGGTCTAAAGATGTGGCGTTAGCAATCCCCTGCACAGAGCCTGGAGTTGAAATAACACTGAGAAAGGACTCTGACAGTGAACACTGAGATTATCTGTATGCTTATAGGAGACAAATATGTGTGTGTGTGTTCATGGTAACCATTTTAAAGATGTAATAGCTAACATCTGTTTGATTTCCGAAGTTTGGATAGAAGCACTAAACCCACGAGTTGTTGGGCTAAAACGTAGTGTATAGAAGAGGCACAAGGTGTTTCAGCTTCCTCTCTGATCTCTTCTCGCCCCTCATTCTGAATCACTGGTTCTCAAACCTCAGTGTGCATCAGAAACACCTGGAGGGCTAGTTTAAATGTATAAATAGGTGGTTGGTCCTTCCTCCAGAGACTTTTTTTTTGGTGGTGTATCCCGCTTGGGATTGGAATTTCCAGTGTATTATCAGGTGATGCTGGCCTGGACTCCCACTTGGAGAACCACCACTTTAAATCATGATGTGATTAGAACATGTAATAGAATTTTTCATGGTGTGGCTTTTCAGACTTGGTTTTAACAGCCAACACTTTTTTTCTTCTTTTCTTTTTTTTTTTTTGAGACAGGGTCTCACTCTGTCACCCAGACTGGAGTGCAGTGGCACGCCACTGCTTACTGCAGCCTTGACCTCCTGGGCTGAAGCGATCATCCCACCTCAGCTTCCCAAGTGGCTCGGACCACAGGTGCGCACTACCACACCTGGCTAATTTTTGTATTTTTAGTATAGATGGGGTTTCACCATGTTGGCCAGGCTGGTCTCAAACTCCTGACCTCAAGTGATCTGACCACCTCAGCCTCCCAAAGTGCTAGGATTACAGGTGTGAGCTACCGAACCCAGCCCTAATTTTTAAAATTTTTTGTGGAGACAGGATCTCACTGTGTTGTCCAGGCTGGTCTCTAACTCCTGGGCTCAAATGATCCTCCTGCCCCACCCTCCCAAAGTGCTGGGATTAGAGGCGTGAGCCACAACACCTGGCCCTTTTTATTAAAATACTTTATGGATCTCGTCTTTTTATTTTAATTAATTAATTTAATTGATTTTTGGGACAAGGTTTCACTTTGTTACCCCAGCTGGAGTGCAGTGGTACAATCGTGGCTCACAGCAGCCTCAACCTTCCAGGCTCAAGTGATCCTCATGCCTCAGCCTCCTGAGTAGCTGGGACTACTGGTACCTGCCACCACGTCCAGCTAAGTTTTTTTGTTTTGTTTTGTTTTCTGTATTTTATAGAGACAGGGTCTTGCCATATTGCCCAGGCTGGTCTAGGCCCTCTGAACTCAAGCAATCTGCCATGGCCTCCCAGAGTGCTGGGATTACAGGTGTGGGCCACCACGCCTGGCCTGGATCTTCTCTTTATGTACTGTATTAACAAATGAAGCTGTTGAGAAGAGGCTGGGAGGAGGGGCTGTGGAAAGAAGACAAGCAACCCTGACGCTTCAGATTGGAAACTGCCAGTGTTAGTCTGAGAAAGGACTTGGGAATAAATCAGCAGACCTGGGCTGGAGTCCTGGCTGCCAGCATTTATGAATTGTGACCTCTTGCCGGCTATTTATGCTCTCTGAGTCTCAGTTCTCTCCTCTGAAAATAGGAATTATAAGCCCTCTTTCCACATGAGATAATGCACATGAATGCATTTTTTAAAATTGTAAAATGCAGTGCAGATCTAACTGGTGGTTACTGCTGTCTCATTCTTGCCTTGGCTGTGTCCTGTGCCAGCGCTGTAGTCTGAGGCCATTCCCTTCATTTCTGTAGAATGGTGGAGGAGTTGAAGGACTTCCATGACTTTGTGTTGGCATGAAAGTCATGTCAGATCTTGGAGGTCATCGATGGGCTGATTTCTCATATTATTGAATAATGTGTGACCCTGTGAGAGATTATGTGCTAGTTCTAATAAGACTAAATGCCAGAAACTTATTTCCTTGAGGTTGGACTTCACCTGGTTTCATGCCTCCATTTTCACTTTTGATTGATGAGATAAATGAAGCTATCCACCTGTCAAGGGAGGCAGCAGGTTTGTGGTTTGCTCTGTCTTGTGTTGTGGTGCTGAGGTTTTGGCATTGGTATTGGGTGTGGTTTGGAGTGGAGAATGGGGGCCGAGCAGTGTACTTAGCATGAGATATTAGTCCCTCCCTTGTGGTGATACAGGTCATTATTTTGTTGTTGAACATCAGCTATGACATCTGACTGTCTGTCTTCTCCCTGTATTGAGAAGGCAACACAAACATTTGTATAATGTTTAGCAGTGTTCCTGTAACAAGATTGAAGATGGGTCCTATGTTTCAGTTTATTGGAAAAGATTGGCTTTTTTTTTTTTTCCTGAGACAGGGTCTGAACTTGTTGCCCAGGCTGGAGTGCAGTGGTATGATCACAGCTTACTGTATTGTCCACCTCCCGGGCTCAAGTGATCCTCCTGCTTTAGCCTCCCCAGTAGCTGGGACTATAGGCACACACCACCATGCCCAGCTAATTAAAAAACCAAAAATAACAACAAGAAAAAACTTATTTGTGAGATGGGGTCCCCCTACATTGGCCAGGCTGGTCTTGAACTCCTGGGCTCAAGCAATCCTCCTGCCTCCACCTCTCAAAAGTGCTGGGATTACAGGCGTGAGCTACTGCACCTGGCCAATCAGCATTTTTAAAAATGAAGCTGATTAAATCAGGAAAAGTCAGAATTGCATGTGTGATATCTATCTTGAAGTGCTAATGATTCATTTTTTTTTTAAGAACAGAACTTCAGAATATATTCTAAAAATGTTTGTTTTTGGCTTAAATAAATTGGAGAGTTACCCAGAGAATCTAGAGAGAAGCATAGTTCCTGCTGATCGTGCTCTTTTGTTGACTTTTTAAAATGAAGTGTTTTAGAAGTCTGAGGGGCATTTTTAAAAACAAAACAAAAAAATGAAATGTTTTCTATTTGTTATATCACTAACTAGGACTTTATTTGTCTTGTTAACTTAACTATCATGTGGCTAATCTGGTTGGTGGATGCTAAACTGTAAACTGTGTGCCATGGTTATTATTTAAAGGACTTTTCAAACTTGTTTCTCTTTAGTCTTTGTGTTTCTCAATGTGACATGTGCACATGATCAGATAGCACTACTAGGATTGTTATGAAAAAGAGCAGAGCCTTCTTTGGGAGAGGTTGCCTTTTCCAACTCTTGCTCCTGGTTCTTTTGATATTTACTTTAATATTTTTATGTAAATTGCTTATCTCGTTTGTTTTTTCTTGTTGTTTGTCATCTATTGAGTTAACATGGAAGGTTTAACCCTATTTCACTACCGTATGTGTGCTATGCCCCCACTCACAGGTAGCCATTTCTAGGATCTCTGTCTCTTTGTGTGTGTTTGTGTCTGCCTTTCTCCTCCCTCTGTCACACTTACTTTTTAGACCACTTTGTTACAAAATATGGTTACAAATTTGATTAAATATTCTAGGTTCACATTATTTTTATTATTAAAGCTACTTACAGCTGAACCATGTATGATACCTTGATCACCTTTTCTTTCCTTCACAACTTTTGTGTTTTTCCTGAAATGAGGAATGTTTTTTCCTTTGGTTGATCTTCTGTACATTTATAACTAATTAGCCTTAGCCTTAGTCAGTTGTTAAAATTGTGTCTTGCTGTGTTTAGTTGCATTGGGTACTCTTTCAGTGCCATTTTGAAGAGGTCACATTTGGGGTGTCTGGACTGGTCACTCTGCTCCAGGTTTGCAGCTGACGTCCTGGAATATGGGATCCACCTTCACCATCGTCCCGGGAGCTGTCTTCTGTGTTATGTCTCCTGTTTTCATATGCTGTGTCATTCTCATTCATGGTTTATTGCCTTATTTTGTTGGAACACATCTTCCACTTACAAAGGGGTAATGTTTTTGGAAACGTTGCATTTCTAAAAAAGGTCTTTTTTCTACCTTCATACTTTACCGGTATTTGGGCAAGAAATGGAATTCTAGGATGGGGGACTATTTCTTGTAGGAGTTTTGAAGTCACTGGTAGATGATTGTCTAGATTCCAGTATTGCTGTGACTCCTTTTCCCTCACTGTGGCCTGTGCTTTATTTTCTGGATGTTCTCCTTCCCTTCCCCCCACCAATCTTCTGTTTTTCTTCTGTGTTCTGATGTGCCTTGGTGTATGTCTGCTTTTATACATTGTGTTGGGGTCTCTATGGAACTTTTTAATGTGGAAACATATGTCATTTTGGGGAATTAAGTTGAAATTGTTTTTGGTTATTTCTCTGTTTTCCCAATTCTCTTTTTCTAGAACTCCTGTTATTCAAGTTGCTTGACTTACTTGACTGGTCTAATTTTATTATTAGCCTTTTTTATCTTCTTTGTCTTTTTTTTTTTTCCAACTTCCTAGGGGAGATATTTTCAACTTCTCTTAATTTTCCTATTGAGCTCTTAGTATTTTGTTTAGTTTTTTTTGGACAGAGTGTCTGTCACACAGGCTAGAGTGCAGTGGCCCAGTCGTAACTCACCATAGCCTTGAACTCCTGGGCTCAAGCAGTCTTTCTGCCTCAGCCTCCTGAGTAGCTGGGACTGTGGGTGCATGCCACCACACCTGACTTATTTTTATGGTTTTTTTTTTTGTACAGATGGGATCTTGCTGTGTTGCCCAGGCTGGCCTTAAACTCCTGGCCTCAAGCAGTTCACCTGCCTTGGCCTCCAAAGTGCTGGGATTACAGGAATGAACCACTGTGCCTGGCCTGTTTTTCATATTTTAATTCCAAAATACTTTTTTTAAAAAAATTCTCTCTCACCACGTTTCTTTCTTTCTTGCTTTCCTCCCTTCTCATATTCCTCTGCAACCTGAATGTACCACCATCTGACCTCTCTCAGGATACCAGTGATGGATTTTTAGTAGCATCTTTTTATACAGTCTCTGGTTCTTTCAAGTTGTGTTTACTATTTGTTTTGTTCTCTCTTCCATCCTTGGGGTGTTCTTAAAAGTCTGTCTCTCCATGGTTGGCTCTGACCTAAGGCACTAATGGTAACTTGAGAGCACTGAGTTCAGGCACGGGCGTACACTGTGAGCTTCACTGGGTGGTCCCTGGACTGGGCCAGATTCCCCCCTGCCTTTTCTCTTTAGATGGATAGAGGCCCAGGGAAAGATCTTCCCACCTCTAGCCTTGGGGGGATAAGCCCTGGCTGGCATTCTGAGAGCAAGTGGAAGCAGAGGGCTGGATTTTTCTGTAATCAGTACGTAAATATTCACTTGGCTCCTCTCATTTTCAACAAGGCACCTCTACAATTGTTCCTCCTCTAGTTTCTCAGTCCAGACCTGCTGTCTGAGCCTGCAGTGAGCCGCCAGGGGCTGGGAGGGGCAGTCACTGTGCTCTCTGGAAGCATTGGGAAGCTGGGGCTTTAATTACTACAGACTTTCAGACAGTATTGTTATTTTTCCTCCCATCTTTTACATTTATTATTATTTTAATTTTATTATTATTATTTTTTCTGAGACACGGTCTTACTGTGCCCAGGCTGGAATGCAGTGACGCAGTCATGGCTCACTGCAGCCTGAAATTCCCCAGGGTCAGGTGATCCTCCCACCTCAGCCTCCTAGGTGGCTGGGACTACAGGTATGCACTATCATGCCTGGCTTTTTTTTTTTTAATATTAAAATTGTTTTATTATCATTATTATTTTGAGACGGAGTGTTGCTGTTGCCCAGGCTGGAGTGCAGTGGCGCAATCTCAGCTCACTGCAACCTCTGCCTCCCGGGTTCAAGCGATTCTCCTGCCTCAGCCTCCTGAGTAGGTGGGATTACAGGTGCCCGCCACTATGCCCGGCTAATTGTTTTGTATTTTTAGTAGAGACTTGCTTTCACCATGTTGGCCAGGCTGGTTTCAAACTCTTGACCTCAAGTGATCCACCCACCTTGGCCTCCCAAAGTGCTAGGATTACAGGCGTAAGCCACCACACCCAGCCAAAATTGTTTTATTATTATATTTTAGAGACAAGCTCACTGTAGCCTCGAACCCCTGGGCTCAAGAGATCCTCCACCTTAGCCTCCCAAGTAGCTGGACTATGGGCACAGGTGCACACCACCACACGTTGGTGATTTTTCCAGTTTTTTTGTAGAGATGGGGCCTCACTACGTTCCCCAGACTAGTCTGGAGCTCCTGGGCTTGAGTGATCCTCCTGTCCCTGCCTCCCAAAGCACTGGGAGTATAGGCATAAACTACCGTGCCTGGCCCCTTCCCATCCTTGTTCCGGTGTTCTGACATTCTTGGTTCTCCCCATTCCAGAGCCTCTTACCGGCTCTGTTGGGGAAGTCTTGCTGCTTCTTGGCTTTCCCCACAGTTACCTTGGGGTTCCCTTTCTTGGTTCTGCAAAATGTGTCGCCTCTGGGCCATCTGCTTCTCAGCTTCCAAAAACTGTGTTTCCCTCATTTCCCTCTGTTCTCTTTGTCTTTGTGCGATTATGCTTGGAAACAACAACAACAACAACAACAACAACAACAACAACAACAACATCCCCGCGTGTATTGTGGTTTCAGTGGGCTTTCAGTAGGAAATAAAAATAAGTGTGTCTTTTTGATATGATGTTTTTACCCTTTCATTTTTATCTTTGTGTTCACAGCGTTCTGAATCACCTCTGCCATTCTTCCCTGCTGCTCACACCCTTCCCCCTGCTCAGGGTCCTCCTCTTGTGCCCTGTCCCTCTGGTCTGCTCATTCTGCTAAAACCTCCCCATGAAGACCTTTCCAAGTGAGAGTGATCTTTCCTTCCTGAATTCACAAAACATTTTTTTTTTGGTGTAGTTTTCTTTGAACACGTGGTCTACCTCTTTTTTATGACTTATATTTTGTCAGATAAATTTTATTTTATTTTTGAGATGGAGTCTCACTCTGTTGCTCAGGCTGGAGTGCAGTGGTGTGATCTCAGCTCACTGCAACCTCCGCCTCCCAGGTTCAAGTGATTCTCCTGGGACTACAGGAGAAAGAGGAGCTGGGACTACAGGCGCACGCCACCATGCCTGGCTAATTTTTATGCTTTTTGTAGAGACAGGGTTTCATCATGTCGGCCAGGCTGGTCTCTAACTCCTGACCTCAGGTGACCCACCTGCCTCAGCCTCCCAAAGTACTGGGATTATAGGTGTGAGCCACTGCGCCTGGCCTGTCAGATAAATTTTAATTTCTGATGTTGGGTGATGATTGTTTCTTTGCCTTCATGCAATGCTTTGCATGTAGTAAATACTCAAATTTTTTTTTTATCAACATAGATTTTTTTCAGTGATCTTTTTCTGGTCTTAAGTTAGACAGGATATTGACCATTGCTGTATGCCATGGTTAATGAAAAAGTAGGGTGCTATTTCTAGTTGCAGATACTTTTCTTGAAATTTGCACATGTGGGTAATATGCGGAGCCTATGCATTATACATGTCATAACTCACAAAAGCTCGCCTTAGGACTTTGCACTGTTTTCTCTTACCACATCCTGGAGTAGAGTGGGCCTCAGCATTCCTTGCAACTTGCATCTTGTAGAGTTACCTCTGCTTCCATTCTTAGTCTTAGGAAATGTTTTGTCTAGCACTAGGCAAGGTGAAGTTGATGTTCTTTATCTGAATAAGAGCAGTGATTCTTCATGTGGTTTTGTCTCCAGGTTTCTTCGGTGGGTTTGGACCTATCCTTGGGAGCCTTGCCCCATGAGGACATTCACTGCTTGATCATCTATTTGATGGATGAACTCTGCCCCTCGTTTATTGCTGTGTGTGATGGACTTTTGGTTGTCATAATACACAATTATTGTTAGTGTTTAACTCTTTTGTTATTTTAAATGGACATATCCTGAATGAGAAACATTCTTCTTCTTTTTTAGTTGAATGTTCTGTCATGTTTGTTTATTCACCCAATGACTGATACAATTATTGTAGAATTAGAATTTATTGGTAGTATAAAAAGTGGCTTATCATAACTTTTATCTTCCCCCTAAGAGACGGGGCCTCACTCTGTTGCCCAGGCTGGAGTGCAGTGATACAATCACAGCTCACTGCAGCCTTGAATTTTTGTGCTCAAGGGATCCCCCTGCCTTAGTCTCCCAATTAGCTGGGACTGCAGGTGTGGGTCACTATGCCTTGGCCTTCTAAAGTTCTGGGATTACAGGGATGAGCCATCATGCCGGACCTTATCACAATTTTTTGCTCAGCTACATTTCTGAGTGTCTATGGACTGGACAGTAGAGATTCCTACTGTTATTATTTTAAACTTTTTAATGCAAACTACTACAAAGTGGAATCAATAAGTATGCGCTAACTTTTTCTCACTGGATACTGGACTCTTCCCTTGAAAATAAAGCAAGTCCTCTGTTCATTGAAAGAGAATTATGGTATGAAAGCTGCCAGTTAAAATTTCCCAAGAGACCACTGTTCTACGGAGTTGTATTTTTCAGTGGCAAAAATATCCTTCCTGGTTTTTAAACTCTTGTGGGAGGAGGTCATTTTTATATGTTTATTTTTTATGTTTTATTTATTATTTTTTTATTTTTAATGCAGCATGCTCTGTTGGGGTTACTGTTGATCTCCTGCTCAGTTCTTTTCAAAACGTCATATCCATTCAGCACATTTTTGTGGAGTGGCATTTAATAAGTGGCAGCCTGATATTTGCCTTGGCATGATGTTATCATGATTGCTTGGCATAGCTGACTGTTGAGTCAGGACCCCTCCGGAGGCAGGAGTCAACCATTGACTCTCAAAATTAGAAAAGCCTTGATCAGTTAGTTGGAGGATTACAAGCCAAGTTTATAGAGTATTTCAAAGAGAGGGTAACATATTCTGCTGATAGACCAAATAAGATGAGGACAGACAACAGACTTTTGTGTTAAGCATCGTGGAGGCTGCTGTGGATATGATGGAAGAGGAAGCCTGATTGGAATGGGGTTATGGGAGGAAGACACACTTGAAGCAAGTATAGACAATTTTTAAAAAAAATTTGCTGTGAAGATCATCAAAGAATTGGTATAATAACCGGAAGGTAAAGTAGTGTCAACAAAAGGTTTTGTGCTGCATATGTAAAAATAATTCACAGCCTTTAAAGGCTCACGCTTGACACCTGACTCTATCTTCCATACGATTGTGGTTTTTAGGAACATTAACAGTGGGACAGGCTGGGCTCAGTGGCTCATGCCTATCATCCCAGCACTTTGGGAGGCTGAGGTGGGAGGATTGCTTGAGCCCAGGAGTTGGAGGCTGCATTGAGCTATGATTGCACCATTGTACTTCAGCTTGGATGACAGAGCGAGACTGTCTCTAAACAAAAGAAAACAGTGGGCTGGAGTTAGACTGCTGATCTGCTTTGGGGGTGTGATGGTCAGGAAAAGCTCTTGGAGAAGAGGATGCCTGAGAAGTCTTGATGGACAGACAGGGCTGGCCTGGAGGGTAAGGTGTGGTCCAGGCATTGGAGGCCTTGGGCACAGAGTGGGGGGAAAATGGTGCAGGGCCTAACAGGCTGTGAAAGGGAAAGTGCTGGGGAAAAGGTGGAAATGTAGCAAGTTCTGAAGGATGAAGTTATGAGGTTGAGAAAGTCCATAGGTGCGGATTTATTTCCAAGGGGTGGCTACAAATATTATATAAAGGCTGCAGATAATGATCTCATCTGGAGGGAGTGAACAGGATTAGGAGGCTTAAAGAATGGTTTCATAAGCCACATTTTGGAGGTTGGTGTGCTTGTGTGTGTGGAAGTATTTTAGAAACGAAAGTTGATATTTAAGTTGATTGGGTCACCCTTGAGCTTGCTTGGTGGGAAGAGGTGGGCAGGATGTGGCTATTCTAAGTGGCCAGGGGACACCTCTTTCTTATTCACCCCCAGGACATTATTTCCAATTTTCCTTGAAGAGGAAATACCATTTACCATCAGTAAATGGTTTTGGGACTTCATTCTTTGGGGACTCAACACATCTGGAGATGCCAAATTCTGGAGCTGTCTCAGTGGCAGGTGTCCCAGGGACTCCTGGATGATGTTGTAATTGGGATTCATGTGCAGTCAGAATAGGCCCCACAAATGAAGAGGATGCCAACGTGTGTGTGTGTGTGTGTGTGTGAGTGTTTGTTTTACAAACTTACTCTCTGTGTTCTAGATAAATGATTCCTTTCATAGAGGTCCAGATAGATGAGGGTGCAGAGGAACTCTGTTACTTGCAAAATGGTTTTAACGGTAATGTTTAATAACTTTGAGGATTAAGGTCTGAGTTACTTGCTGTGCTGGTTAAAAAGTGACAAGGATTGGTCATTCTGCATTTTTAAAATAAGTGTTCCGTTTCAGTGATACTTAGGCATGCTTTGTTAGAGATGGACTTGGAGAGCTTCTTAATAATATGGATTCTCCCCGCACCCCTGCTCCAGGGTCTTAGTCAGTAGATCTGGAACAGGGTCCAGGAATCTGTATTTTAACTCTTCATTAATCATTAGCCTCCTTCTTCCAATCTTTGCTTCAGGAAAGAACTGTATCAAACATCATCTTTAGGTATGAAGAATGGAGGATTGAACTTCTGGATAGCAATTGTGTTGCAGAATGAAAGCAGTAGGGAATGGTGAAACATGCAATTTAGTATATTTTCATCTGAATATGTACGTAAGAGTGATGTAGAAGTTCAGAAACACACAACTATGTTTCTTCTTCAGATCATTTGAAAGCAGAGTTTTAAGGATTTTAAAATATACGTACACCATATAGAAGTGTATAAAATTTAAAATGATGTCCTTTTTTTTCCTTCTCCTCAATCCCACTGCAGGATAACCACTGCAAATTTTGAGGGGGGTGTGTGTGTGTGTGTGTGTTTACGCATTTTAATATGTGTGTGTGTGTGTGTGTGTGTGTCATTTTGTCTCTGTAAAAAGAGGCTCAAGCCACACAGGATGTGCTTTGTTCACTACGGTCTTGTCAGCATCCTTCTGTGTCCCTATCTTTAGACCTATTTGTAAGAAACACTTGGAGCCACCAGGGTGTGCAAACTACTTTTTGCAGATAAGCAAAAATACAAATTCTTCAGACACATAATATATGCTGTTTGCTTATTAGAATATTTCTGTAGATTGCATTGGGGGTTAATAAGTATAATAAGTATTTCATATATTGGGCAATAGGAAATCTAGTATGCTTTAGAGAAATCAGTATTACTTATGCAGTACATATTGCAGGTTTGTGCAGTTCCTATCATAATAGAGTATCAGCATCAGAGCCAAAGGGAAGAGTGTGTATGAGTCACTCCATCATAAAAGGAGCAGTGACTCAATACCAAACTTAGGGTGCTGTCTGAATTTTTAATCAGTTGCAGTATTGTTGATATGAGGTTGATTCCTTTTTATGGGCAGGAAGTTATCACGGTTTAAAATGTCTAATTCCCTTTTGGTGATGCTAACTTGCTATATTCAGTGTTTCTGTTCTTTCGTATAGGATCCAAACTACTGGATACAGGTGCATCGCTTGGAACATGGAGATGGAGGAATACTAGACCTTGATGACATTCTTTGTGATGTAGCAGACGATAAAGACAGAGTGAGTTCAGGTCCTGGGGAACCTGTTCTGAATGCATTTTTTTTTTTTGAGGACTAGGGAGCGGGTGCGATTCTTTTCCTTTCTGTTTTAGACACATACTTTAAATTATGTGTGGGCCACCCACTCTAGTATATTTTCTTTTATAATAAGTATCATGAATCTTCACTGTCCTGAATACCAAGGTATAATGATTTTCTTGATACCTGGGACTTAACACTAGGTTTTGGGGTTTTAAAACTACACTTTTACAATGGAAATATCACAAAAAGATTTCTATGCCATATTCTGCCTTAATTTAACCAAACATAACATCTTTCTTCACAACTCGGGCCTGTCCTTATCATCTCCGTGTATACAACATGCAGCCATTCTGCATTCTGGTCCCAGCGTTGGCCCTGAGAAGATCCATCCCAACCGTGGCCTTGGCGGTGCACCGTGCTCCTGTGCAGTGGGCGAGTGTGTCCCAGGCAGCCTACCCTGTGCAGGGCCTGGCCCTCAGGAAGCTCAGCCTTGCTGTGCGATGGGCCATTTGTGTCCCGGGCAGCCTCTCCTGTGCAGGGCCTGGATCTCAGGAAGCTCGGCCTTTTCTCCATCAGTGCTCTGATGCTCTGTGTGTGCTTCCCCAGTCTTTACTGTGGTCTGTGAGTTTGGCTCCTGGACCTATCCACCTACTGCTCTTCAGTGTTCCCTCCCACTACCCCACTTTTTTTCTGTACTCTTGAGAGGAATGAGGAAGAGGAAGAGGAGGGGGAGGAGGAACGTTCAGCGTTTTGAGAATGCGTGACAGGATGTTCGGCTCTGGATGTAGAAGTCAGCAAATTCTTTTTTTTTTTTTTTTTTGAGATGGAGTCTTGCTCTGTTGCCCAGACTGGAATGCAGTGGCGTGATCTCGGCTGCTCACTGCAACCTCTGCCTCCTGGGTTCAAGCGATTCTCCTGCCTCAGCCTTTTGACTAGCTGGGATTATAGGCGTGCACCACCACGCCTGGCTAATTTTTGTATTTTTAGTAGAGACATGGTTTCACCATGTTGGTCAGGCTGGTCTTGAACTCCTGACCTCATGATCCGCCTGCTTTGGCCTCTCAAAGTGTTGGCATTACAGATGTGAGCCACCACACCCGGCCCTGGCCACTCCTTTTGTATTTGGCTTATAAGGAATTGCAGAAGGGCTCATAGCCACATACATAGTTACATCAGCATGGTAGTATGGAGGCAGCGGCCTGGTCGACTGTCTCCTAAAACCTCCCTGCACAGGGTATTTAACCAGCTAGGTTACATCGTGAGGTCAGAAGATGGTAAGATCACCCAGATATTCACTCTGCTTCCTACTGGGGCTCCTTCTCATTCCTGGCCCTCTCCCCACCGGCCTGCTCTTCTTTCCCTCAGCTGTGAGCTGGGTGCACACAGCTGTTGTGTCTTGTTCACACCTATATTCCTGACAGTTAGCATCATGCCTGGCTGAGAGTTGGTGCATATCTTAAATGTTTTCTTGAAATTTCAAGTAAGACAAAAAATATCAAATACCAAATAGTGTATAAATTTGGAAGATTAGATTCACTGTTGCACCTGTCATGGTGGAATTTGTCCCATGTGGCTCCTGTGGGTCAGGAATACATTGTATCAAAAAATGCAGATCCTGGCTAACAAGGTGAAACCCCGTCTCTATTAAAAATACAAAAAATTAGCCGGCTGTGGTGGCGGGTGCCTGTAGTCCCAGATACTCAGGAGGCTGAGGCAGGAGAATGGCGTGAACCTGGGAGGTGGAGCTTGCAGTGAGCTGAGATCACACCACTGCACTCCAACCTGGGCAACAGAGCTAGTCTTAAAAAAAAAAAAAAAAAAAAAAAAGCAGAAGTTTTCTGCCGACTTATGTTCTGATGCTATTTTTCTTGGTGCCGTTTCTCCTTCTTGGGCTTTTGAGTGAGCCAGGCTTAGGGTAACTCTGAAATCCTTTTCTGCAGTCCACATGAAGAGTACCATCTTTCATTTATTGTGTGGCTCAATTCCAACACTCAAGGCAACTACAGAGATTTATGAAGAATTTAAACAGGTGCTCTTTTTCCACCAGAGTATTAGAAAGCGATGAATTAACGTATCAATCTTTCAATGTCTTCCTCTTCTCCCTTCTTCTTCGTCCTTCTTTTTTTTGTTTCTTTTTTTTTTTCTTCTCCCTCTCTTTCTCAGTCTCTCTCTCTTGCTGTTACTTCCTATGTAAAAATAGCACAACTCCTTGTGAGGAAAAATTGGAAAATGCAGAAACATACAAAGGAATTAATCACCTGACATCCTGCTATTGCTGAGAGCTTATCACTGTTGTTTGAGATTTTCATCCTGACTCTTCCCTTTCTTCAGATAGATAGAAACACAGTCTTTTTCTTTTAAATAAAGAGACTTGAATAGTAGTTTTTTGTTTTGAGGTTAGCATATATATATTTCTGTGTCCATGAACCATAGCTATGCCAACATGGCTGTGTAGTCTTTTGTTTTAATTTAATTTATTTATTTAGAGACCCAGGCTGGAGTGCAGTGGTGTAATTATAGCTCACTGCAGCCTCAACCTCCCAGGTTCAAGTGATCCTCCTGCCTCAGCCTCTTATTTTTAAAAAAGTTTTATTCTAGATTCAGGGGTACATGTGCAGGTTTGTTATATAGGTAAATTGAGTGTCATAGGGGTTTGGCATACAGATTAGTCACCCCAGGTGATAAACATAGTACCCAATAGGCTAATTTTTTGATCCTCTCCCTCTTCAAGTAGGCCCTGCTGTCTGTTGTTTTCCTCTTTATGTCCACGTGAGATCATGCATTATTTGGTTTTCTCTTCCCATGTTAGTTCACTTAGCAATAATAGCCTCTAGCTCCATTCATGTTGTTGCAAAAAACATGACCTTGTTATTTTTTATGGCTGCCTAGTGTTCCATGGTATGTTTGTACCACATTTTCTTTATCCACTCTACCACTGAAAGATATTTAGGTTGATTCCATGTCTTTGCTATTGTGAATAGTGTTGTGATGAACATATGTGTGCATGTGTCTTTATGGCAGAACAGTTTATATTTCTTTGGATATATACACAGTAATGGGATTGCTGGGTTGAATGATAACCCTGTTTTAAATTCATTGGGAAATTGCCACACTGCTTTCCACAATGGCCAAACTAATTTACATTCCCACCAGCAGCGTATAAACATTCCCTTTTCTCCACACCCTTGCCAGCATCTGTTATTTTTTGACTTTTAATTTTTTTCTTCGAATTTCTCACGCGACACGGATGTATTGTTTTATTTAATAATTGCCACTCTGACTGGTGTGAGGTGGTGTCTCATTGTGGTTTTGATTTGCATTTCTCTAATGATAGTAATGTTGAACATTTTTTCATAAGCTTATTGGCCATGTGTATGTATTCTTTTGAAAAGCGTCTGTTCTTGTTCTTTGTCCACTTTGTTTTGAGATGGAGTCTCGCTCTTTTGTCCAAGCTGGAGTGAAGTGGCACAATCTCAGCTCACTGCAACCTCCATCCCCTGGGTTTAAGCGATTCTCTGGCCTCAGCCTCCCGAGTAGCTGGGATTACAGGTGCCCGCCACCATGCCCGGCTAATTTTTGTATTTTTAGTAGATATGGGTTTTGTCACGTTGGCCAGACTGGTCTCAAACTCCTGACCTCAGGTGATCCACCCTCCTTGGCCTCCCAAAGTGCTAGGATTACAGGCGTAAGCCACCACGCCTGGCCTCTTTGCCCACTTTTTAATGGGGTTGTTTTATGCTTGTTAGTTTGCTTAAGTTCTTTATAGATGCTGGATATTCAACCTTTGTTGGATGCATAATTTGCAAATATTTTCTCCCATTCTGTAGGTTGTCTGTTTACTCTGTTGATAGTTTCTTTTGCTGTGCAGAAGGTTTTTAGTTTAATTAGGTCCCATTTGTCAATTTTTGTTTTTGTTGCAATTGTTTTTGCTGTCTTCATCATGAAGTCTCGTCCAGGACCTATGGTCAGAATGGTATTTCCTAGGTTATCTTCCAGGGTTTTTATAGTTTTAGATTTTATATTTAATTCTTTAATCCATCTTGAATTGATTTTTTTTTTTTTTTTGAAATGAAGTCTCGCTCTTATCACCCAGGCTGGAGTGCAATGGCGCGATCTCAGCTCACTGCAACCTCTGCCTCCCAGGTTCAAGTGATTTTCCTGCCTCAGCCTCCTGAGTAGCTGGGATTACAGGTGCACGTCACCATGCCTGGCTAATTTTTGTATTTTTAGTAGAGATGGGATTTCACCATGTTGGCCATGCTGGTCTCGAACTCCTGACCTCAGGCAATCCACCTGCCTCGGCCTCCAAAGTACTGGGATTACAGGCGTGGGCCACCATGCCCAGCCCTTTGAATTGATTTTTATGTGTGGTGTAAGGAAGGGGTCCAGTGTCAATATTCAGCATATGGCTAGCCTGTTATCCCAGCACCATTTATTGAATGGGGTGTTCTTTCCCTGTTGCTTGTTTTTGTCAGCTTTGTCAAAGATCAGATAGATGGTTGTAGGTGTGTGGCATTATTTCTGGGCTCTCTCTTCTGTTCCATGGGTCTGTGTGTCCATTTTTGTACCAGTACCATGCTGTTTTGGTTACTGTAGCCTTGTACTGTAGTTTATAGTTGGGTAATGTGATGCCTCCAGCTTTGTTCTTTTTGCTTAGGATTGCCTTGGCTATTCAGGCTCTTTTTCAGTTCTATGTGAATTATTCTTTTTTTCCAATTCTGTGAAGATTGTCATTGGTATAGTTTGATAGGGGTAGCATTGAATCTGTAAATTGCTTTGGACAGTGTGGCCATTTTAACAATATTTGTTGTTTCAATCCAAGAGCATGGAACATTTTTCCATTTGTTTATATCATATCTGGTTTCTTTGAGCAGTGTTTTTAAATTCTCATTGTAGAGATCTTTCGTTTCTTTGGTTAGCTGTATTCCTAGGCATGTTATTCTTTTTGTGGCTATTGGGAATGGGATTGTGTTTCTGATTTGGCTCTTAGTTTGGATGTTGTTGGTGTGTAGGAATGCTACTGATTTTTATACATTGGTTTTGCATCCTGAAACTTTGCTGAAGTTGTTTATCAGATCAAGGAGCTTTTGGGCAGAGACTGTGGGGTTTTCTAGGTATAGAACCATATCATCTGCAAACAGGGAGAGTTTGACTTCCTCTCTTCCTATTTGGGTGCCACCTCACCTCTTGAGTAGTTGGGACTATAGGCATACTGCACGATGCCTGGCTAATTTATGTAAACATTTTTGTAGAGACAGGGTCTCATTGTGTTGCCAAGGCTTGTCTCAAACTCGTGGGCTCAAGTGCTCCTCCTGCCTCGACCTCCCAAAGTGCTGGGACTACAGGCATGAGCCACTGCGCTCGGCTGTGTTTTGATGTATGGATTCATGTACAGTCTCGTTGTACTTGCTGTGGACACTTAGATGACTATGGAGACAGCTGCTGTGCTCACCTGTACGCTTTTCCCTTTGGCACTCTCTGTACTCTGAGCAGCTGAGATGAGCACGCCTGTTTCTCCACCACGTTTCCTTTTTACTTTTACAGACGCAGGTTTTCCCTCGGGGTTCTGCCATCCTTCTTTACACCTTGACTTTGTGCCTTTCCATAGAGCTAGCGAGGCGTGGCTTATAACATGTTTTCTGGGATATGCCTGGCCCTGGTGCATGGCTTGGAATAACCTGTTGTGGAAGTTTGGTTGTTGCACAAGTAGGATTTATGGGGCTGTACGATCTCAATGCTTCTGAGAATGCTGAACTCAATGGACTCATTTATGCTCAGCATAATGTAGTAAGGCCTGAAGGGTTATGCAGTACCAATTACTGTTTCCATTTGTCCCCTTGCACTCCAGCTGACATTAGATGCCCTCAGAGTTTATGTTTGGAGCCAGTAGAACATCATGATGTAGATGTTCAGCACAATGATTTTTGCAGTCTTTTGAAATGTATGGAGACATATTTTTTGGTCTAGCATATGGCCTTTTTGGTGGACATTTTATGGGTACTTGAAAATAATGTATTCTGCAGTCATTGGGCTATTATAAAAATCAGTGAGGCCATCCGGGCATGCTGGCTCGTACCTGTAATCTCAGCCCTTTGGGAGGCTGAGGTGGGCAGATCACTTGAGGTCAGGAAATCAGGATGAGCCTGGCCAGCATGGCGAAATCCCATCTCTACTAAAAATACAAAAATTAGCTGGGTGTGGTGGCATGTGCCTGTAATCCCAGCTACTTGGGAGGCTGAGGCAGGAGAACTGCTTGAACCCAGGGGACGGAGGTTGCAGTGAGCTGAGATCGCCCACTGTACTCCAGCCTGGGCGACATAGCAAGACTCTGTCTCATAAATAAATAAATAAATAAATAAATAACATGTAAAAATCAGTGAGGGTAAGGTGGATGATGTTGTTTTGGATCTTTACTGAATAATGTGTTATTCAGCAACTGAAAGTCATGCACTCTTGTTTTGACACAATTAACTGTTAGATTATACACAAAACCAAGCAAAAGGCAAACTATGCTTGATCTTTTTAAATAGTGGCATATTAAAATTATACAATTCTTAGTAAACGACGTTTTAGATTTTGTATCCTTCTGCGAATTTGATAATAAAAAATATATTTTCTAGAATCTTTTATCATATTTCCTATACAAATTAAAATGTCCTTTAACCTGAGAAAAATATTTTAAACATTAATAGGTGAAATAACACTTTAGACAATTTTATATCATGTTGATTGAAATCAGTTTCCAAATAGAAAAATGCTAGAGCACCTTATACCATAGACTGAAGTAGCTTTTAAAGCCGTTTTTTATTTGTTCAGAAATACTTTAAAATATATGCATAATTGATTTAAATATTGTTGAGTGACATTCCTAGATTAAAGTGCCCATTATAAGTTGAAACTGTAAGAAATATGATTAGTAGCTTAGACTCACAACACCTAGTTTTTCATAATTCACACAGATTCACAGTCATGGCTGGACGCATTATTCAGACTGAGGGATCGTGTGATGCAGTCGGTCGCACGGCTCTTTTCCGTGGCTCTGACATTCGATCCTGATTTAATCATTCTGGAGTGTTTTCAACTATTTTTGGCAGCTGCTCCAAGTAAGGATTTTGACACTTGTTTTGCTTTTTGGTTTAAGGAAAAAAGAACAAGCATTATACCTCTCTTAAATAATAACATGTATCTAAAATAATGTCCTGTTTTGTGAATATCCCCTGGATGCATGTTGAAAACGTAGATACCTGGCCTGGGAAATAGGATCTCTGTGAAGGGTCCTGGGCATCTGCATTTTACAGTCCCCCTCCTGCTGCTATTTAGGCTCACTAAGTTACAAAACCACAGCTTTAATGGCTCTGCCTCTGTAGCAGGGAAGATGCTCTTGAAGATGCAAATTTTATACTTGGTCGTTGTGAATTTGTAACATTATTAAAAACTTATTTTTTATGGAGGGGAAGAGGCAGTATTTTAAATGATAGCAAAAGAAAATTAAAGTCAAGTACTAAATTACCCCTAATTTTCCTCATTATCCTTTAATTATTAACGTTCAGGGCACAGCACTGAGGAAGTTTTCTGTTAGTGCCTATACAGTTCTCACTTCCAGGATTTACCCAAATTTGTTCAAATGGTACTATTATATTACCCTGGCCCCTTGGAGTAGGTTTGATTTTCTAAGGTGTAGAATACTCTAGATCTCTTTGAGTGTAAAAAGGTACTTTGTTTTGTTTGTCCTTTCTCTGTGTTTCTGGAACAGTGATGTCGTGTTTACTCTTAGCATCTCAGTCTCAGTTTTCTCAATTGACATTTTGCCAAATTAGGAAAAACTGAAACAGTTTAATGTTATCTTCACCACCATTTAGAGCAGCTGTCATGCGTTTGTGTACGTGAACTTTCCTGATGGACAAGCTGTATTTTGTGTGAATCTCTGTCTGGTTTGGTCTTTGTCATTTATTATTTGAGGACCTTCCCTTCGTTCTCAACAGTGGGCCTAGGCCACTCCTGTTTATTCCCTGTGGGTAGTACAGCAAATTTAGAAATGTGGATAATTTTTCCAAATTTATCACAGAATAAAAATACTTGGGATTCAGTTCCTGCGCAGGCCAGTCACCTGAGACTGATTGTAAGGGGCGTAAACAAAGATTTCAGAGCCAGGCGCCATGGCTCAGGCCTGTAATCCCAGCACTTTGGGAGGCCAAAGCGGGTGGATCACTTGAGCCCAGAAGTTTGAGAGCAGCCTGGGCAACCTAACGAGACTGTTTCTACAAAAAATACTACAATTAGCTGAGTGTGGTGGTGCTGGCCTGTAGTCTGAGCTACTCAAAGGCTGAGGTGGGAGGATCGCATTGAGCCTGTGAGGTTGAGGCTGCAGTGAGCCATGATCACGCTGCTCTACTCAAGCTTGGGCAACAGAGTGAGACCCTGTCTCAAAAAAAAAAAAAAAAAAAAAAAAAAGATTTCAGGTGTAACTGACCGGGCATGTGGAGTCAGTAGGTGGCGGGGAAGTACACTTTTGTGTGGATGATCAACAGGGAGAAAGTCTTCCTCTTCCCCATGTTGTCATCTTTTACTATCTTTGGTGCTGAAGGTGATTCAGAGATGTAATATCAAGCACTTCCTTTGTCGTTCTTGGATGTAATTTTGCTTTGAGCAGGAATGATGTCATGTATGTTCTGTTTTGGTGGTGACCCTGTGAGATGCCTTGCACTATCTGTTTCTTGCCCTTTGTGGAGGAAGTCTTGGATGGAATGGCTGTGTAAACTCAGTTTGAAGAGTTTGCACGTTTATGCTGAAGCCAGGCATGGGGAAGGATTGTGGTGGAGATTGCTGGCTGCTAAGCCTGTTGATGTTTATCAGAGAATTTGGGATTTTCTAGGGGGTGATTTGGCCAGTTCCGTTAGAAAAATGTTGGGAAGAAAAAGAAACTTTAAAAAACTTATTGGGGATCACAGGCAGGCAACAACTCCACGTGCTGAGGAAAAGCTAACAGGGGCACATTTCCATCCTTCCCCAGCCCCCTTGCCCTGGGTATAGTCTCTAACTTACATACTGATGTTGTTTTGGTGCCTCTTATGGTAATAAAATTACTGCCCCATTAGGCATTTTATATTGATATTTTTGAAATGTGCTATAATAATTTTTGCTTTTGAAATACAAGTATGGCAGAATTTTCAGGTTAGGAACATGCTTTAATGTAAAAAGTTCATAATTTTTTATTTTTCTAATTTATTATTTTATTTGTTTATTTTTTTTGAGACAGAGTCTTGCTCTGTCGCCCGGACTGGAGTGCAGTGGCGCTGTCTCGGCTCACTGAAACCTCTGCCTCTTGGGTTCAAGCGATTCTTCTGCCTCAGCCTCCCGAGTAGCTGGGATTACAGGCGCTCACCACCACTCCCAGCTAATTTTTGTATTTTTAGTAGAGACAGGGTTTCACCATGTTGGCCAAGCTGGTCTCGAACTCTTGACCTCAACTGATCCACCCTCCTCAGCCTCCCAAAGTGCTAGGATTACAGGTGTGAGCCACCATGTCCGGCCTGGCTTTTTTTTTTCTTTTCTTTTTGAGATGGAGTTTTGCTCTTGTTTCCCAGGCTGGAGTGCAATGGTACGATCACAGTTCACTGCAACCTCCTTCCCCCAGGTTCAGATAATTCTCCTGCCTCAGCCTCCTGAGTAGCTGAAATTACAGGTGCCCACCACCATGCCTGGCTAATTTTTTTTTTGTATTTTTAGTAGAGATGGGGTTTTACCATGTTGACCAGGCTGATCTCGAACTCCTGATCTCAGTTCATCCACCCGCCTCGGCCTCCCAAAGTGCTGGGATTATAGGCGTGAGCTACTGCGCCTGGCCCTATTTTTTTTTTTTTTAAGGGAGTTCTTATTAATACATACTGAAGTTTCCTAAGGAAGTGCCTTTGGTGGATAGAATTTTCAACTATGGCCAGTTTCCTTTAACATTAAAATATACAAAATATTAAAAGCAACTTGAGTATGTAGTGAAAAGACAGAAAAGAGCCATAGGAAAATTATCGCACAAGGACCGAGGTTGTAAGTTATTATCCAGATTCTAATTTGTTAACATTTCACAGAGCTACAAGCTGTAAAAATAAGACATATTAAATGAGGGAGGGCTTCACATACTACATTTGTAACAATTGTAGTTCACACTTAAGGAATTCAAGTAAATTATGTGTTAGTGAAAAGCAGTGATACCTGAAATAACTAAGGTGTTCTTATTTCAAGTAAGTAGTATTTTAGTTATTACTAAACATGTGAAATTAATTTGAGTTCAGTGTTTTACATGCAAAAATGGGATGAGTTGCAGGGTGGGGATCCCAGAAATGTGTTTAATTTCCATTAGGATGTGGCATCATATGATTACTACCTCGAATTTTAAAATGATTGCAGAAAGGCCGGGCATGGTGGCTCACCTCTGTAATCCCAGCAGTTTGGGAGGCTGAGGCAGGTGGATCATTTGAGGTCAGGAGGTCAAGACCAGCCTGGCCAACATGGTGAAACCCTGCTTCTACTAAAAATACAAAAATTAGCCAGGTTTGGTCATGCGCGCCTGTCGTCCCAGTTACTTGAGAGGCTGAGGCATGAGAATCGTGTAGGGCCAGGAGGCGGAGGTTGTAGTGAGCCGAGATTGCCCCACTGCACTCCAGCCTGGGCGACAAAGTGAGACTCCGTCTCCAAAAAAAAAAAAAAGATTGCGGGAATCACGTGCATTAAGTTGTTAACTCCCTTAGAATGTTTAAGCCACCGGTTTACTCTGAGTTTTTTCCTTTGTGCACATGTGGCTTAATTTCCGTAAGTAAACATGAATTATGATATCTGCCTAGGGTGTTACATGGTGACCAGCGTACTGTTTTTTGCTGATCAGGTAGGTGAGTTGTTGAATTCCTTGCCTTCCTTCAGGTGAAGTGGATGTAGCCCAGGAGAACATGCTTTTAATGCAGGCATCTTAATCTTTCCATCTTGGGGAAATATACATTTTAAAGAAGCAGTGTTTTCTGAAGGCATACCTTATCATAAATCCTACTTACAGAAAACAGTATAATGAAAAACTTATGAAATGTGTTTTCTGTTGTCTTAATCAAAAGGAATAATTTAGTTATTCATAAATACATACCCTACTGTCTTCTGATGAATACTTGAGATTAAGATTAAATGGAATAAATTAAAACCTAGTTTCAATATTGAATCAAAGCTAAGTGGCCTCCCTCTCCCTCTCAAAGGTTAATAAGTTTTTCAAACCAGAGTGCGTGAATAATTTAAAAGATAGCATATGGAATAATTTCCTTTGCAAGAAAATCAGACTAATATTTTTAGGTAATTCAGTTTACTAAGCACCTAGTTTGTACCAGGCATTGGGCTTAGTGCTACTATACTCTGTGTGTGTGTGTGTGTGTGTGTGTGTGTGTGTATGTGTGTGTATATATATACATGTATATATATGTGTGTGTGTATATATGTGTGTGTGTGTGTGTGTGTGTGTGTGTGTGTGTGTGTGTGTGTGTGTGTGTATGTATCATCAAGCCAAAGTCTTATAGACATGTAACTGAAAGACCAGCAGGTGTTAAGTGATCAGGTTTACATTTGAGAAATATCCCCCTGGTGGCTGTGTGAAGAATGAATGAGGAGGCAGCATGGAAGGCAGAGGCCAGTCAGCAGGTTTTCTGGAACCAGGATTCGAATGCAGGCAGTGTGTGGCTCCTGCCAGTTTTGTGGAAGGAGGTTGAAATTGATGGCGATTGGGCTGGGTGGAGATGGTGGGGCATTCACCAAGGTAGGGACTGCTGCGAGGTTGCCAGACTAGGGATGGGAGATTACATTCAGTGTTGTCTTCTGTGAGTTTGAGTGTCTTGGAGCTGTTAGTTCGGCAGCTGGATATTTGGGACTAACCGTAGATAAATCTGTGAATCCAATATAAATCTGTGAAAAGTCAGTTTAAAACAATGTACCAAATATAATCTAACTTTAGTGCAATAATTATATACATTAGAAAAAGTTTGAGGGGTAGACCAAAAAGTGTCAGTACTGGTCATCTCTGAGGACAGTGTGTGTGGTTCACTGTTTTGTTTTCGTTTTCACTGTCCACTCCATATTCTACTTCTGCTTAATTCCAGTAGGAAAGAAGCATTAGGTTTAGTTATAAATATAGCTTAGAATAGAAACATCTTTTTTTGGACTTTAGTATGAATTGGCATAGGAACTGAATGATTTAAAGATTTTGATAACCTGGAAATGAAATAACTTGTATAAATTGACTTCATTAACTAGATGACTTTATTCATTTCCTCCTAAGTGAGCTTATTTTAGAGTGTAAAGAAGCAAATATTTAAATTTGCTGCCAAGCAGAGCAGCAAATGGCTAATTAATTCAGAAAGATGACTTCCCAACATTTAAGTGTTTTGTGGGTACTGGTTTGGCCACAGTTCATCAATTTGTGGGAGCACAGGGCCCAGATATGGTACAGGTAGAGCAGTGAGGTGTTAGTGAAAGGGAGTTCGGAGGGGGCCAGGCCTCCTGCATGAAAAGTGAGGGTCCTCACGAGCAGTAGGAGCTTTGGGGTCAGCCTGCACAGGATGGGCTGGGCCTCAGTCCTTCTAGCGAAAGCCCTCAAGACTTTGCTTATCTGGGGCCACCCAGTGAGTCAGGGGACAGAGGTTCTCACTCTTTCTGTTACACCAATCCCAGGCTGGGGCTTAATAACTTGGTGTGCCGCGCTGTGCTTTTCTGTTGCTTTGGAAGTGCCTGGCATCTCGTATGGTGGGCTGTGGAGCCACACTGCCTGCATTTGAATCCCGGCTTCACGCTGTCTTTACTTGACTTCTCTTACCTCATTTTTCCCATCTGTAAATGGGGTATAATCATAGTAACTATCTTACGAGTTTTTTGTTTGTTTGTTTTAAATTTCAGATTCAGGAGATACATGTGTAGTTATATTACATAGGTATATTGGGTGATGATGGGATTTGAGCCTCGGTGAACTCATCACCTAAACTGTGAGTGTAGTACCCGGTAAATAGTTTTGCAAGCCTTGCTTCTCTCCCCGCCTCCCACTTTTGGAGTCGCCAGTGTCCATCGTTTCCATCTTTATGACCATGTGTGCCCATTGTTTAGCTTCCACTTATGAATGAGAATACGTGGTGTTCACCTTTCTGTGTCAGTTATTTCACTTAGGGTGTTGGCTTCCAGTTCCATCTATGTGGCTGCAAAGGACATGATTTCATTATGAGGTTAAGTTTAAGATTAAGCCTTAGAATTCACATTAAGGTTTTGTGCTCGGCAAGAATAAGGTCCCAGGAAATGTTAATTGTGGTTGCCGTTGTCGGCCACCATCACCACCACCACCACCATTGTCAAATTAGGCTCTTCATTCTTTTAATAACTGCTTCTGAGGTTTTATTTTGTTTTGTTTTGTTTTTCTTCGAGACAGGCCCTTGCTCTGTCACCGAGGCTGGAGTGCAGTGATGCAATCTCTGCAACCTCTGTCTCCTGGGCTCCCACCTCAGCCGCCTGAGTAGCTTGGACTGCAGATGTGCATCACCATGCCTGGCTTTTTGTTTGTTTGCTTATTTAAGATGGGTCTTGGTCTGTCACCCAGGCTGGAGTGCAGTGACGTGATCCTAGCTCAGTGCAGCCTCCAACACCCGGGCTCAAATGAGCCTCCTGCCTCAGCCTCCCAAAAGTGCTTAGATTACAGGTGTGAGTCACTGCACCTGGCCTGAGGATTTAAAAACAAGCGAGCAAACAAACCAGGCTATCCTAGATATTTGTGTTATGAAATGAGTTTCTGTAGGTAATCAGTTTCACTTATTTTTTTATTTCTATGAATTTATAGAGAGCATGGTATATACTTGGCACCCAGAGATAGTTGTAAGAAATACATTGTTTATTTTCTGTGTGTTAGAATTTGAGGATTCTCAATACATTATTAAGGCAACCTCCACCTCCCGGGTTCAAGCAGTTCTTCTGCCCCAGCCTCCTGAGTAGCTGGGATTACAGGCGTGCACTACCACGCAAGAATTCTGAAGTTCCTTGCGTCTGAATGTGTGCTATACTGCTTGACTTAATTTCTTACAAAAGATTGTCAAGAGATACTTCTTTTCAAGGGCACAGTCGAATGATGACCGTCCACTATCAGGCATTTTGTTATCAGCACTTGTGGGTAGTGTCAACAGGGATCTCTTGGCTGCTGGGAACTTGAGGTTGAGATGACACTGCAGTTGCATTTCTGTAACAGCATCCTTTTCTTTCATCTAGCCCTCACATATTTATTGAGCATCTGTTCCATTCTAGGCAGGACTTGAGAGATTGAAGTAAATAGAGAACACTTGTCCTTAGGGATCTGTTGTAAAATGGGGAGATGAAAATGTTGGCGGGGTGCTGGTAGCTCATGCCTATAATCTCAGCACTTTGGGAGGCCAAAGTGGGAGGTCTGCTTGAGCCCAGGAGTTTGAGGGCAGCCTGGGCAACATAGTGAGACCTTGTCTTACTTAAAAAAAAAAAAAAAAAAAAAAAAAAAAAAAATATATATATATATATATATATATATATATATATATATAAAATACATACGTAAAATACATATATAAAATATAAAAATCTAATTATATACATGTATATTATATATAACATGTATAATACTATATATTTGATATATATTATATATAATAAAGGAAAATGCTAGCAAAATGTTTGCAGCTACAACAGTGGTGTTCCATGTTCTATAAGGTATGTAAAGTTTTGTATCCTTTTTTTCTTAGTGTAGCTGCATTCCACATACTTTTAAAGCAAGAAAAGTCCCATATGTAGGTGGGAATATTCAGGCTGGATAAATTAGGAGGTGTGTTCAGGTCAGCCTCCAGATGGGCTAGTTCTAACTTTCTCTCCCTCCCCAAAGAGGCAGTCTTGAATATTCTTTCTACCTTTAGTTAACACAACTAATTACTTCTCAAACTGTCGCTGTGAAGGACTAGATTTGCTTTTTTTTTCCCTCCAACCTGTGGCAGAACAATACTTTTAAAATACAATGCAAATAAATTACTGGGATAAAGTGGCTTGTGTTTTATGGGCCTTTATTTTAGCTATTATTAGAGTTAACAGATATAAAATTACTCAGTCAAGTTGCTGTGTTCTCAAAAGCTTACTCTATTTCTGTACTTCATGGAGACTGGGACCACACTTTGAGTAATATTGCATCGTATAACACTGTTAAATACAGCTGTCCTTAAATTTTCTGTGTTTATATTATTCACCAGCTGTATATTTCTGGTGTAGGCTGTTTGGTTATGTAGCTTCTTTTTTTTTTTTTATTATACTTTAAGTTTTAGGGTACATGTGCACATTGTGCAGGTTAGTTACATATGTATACATGTGCCATGCTGGTGTGCTGCACCCACTAACTCGTGATCTAGCATTAGGTATATCTCCCAATGCTATCCCTCCCCCCTCCCCCCACCCCACCACAGTCCCCAGAGTGTGATATTCCCCTTCCTGTGTCCATGTGATCTCATTGTTCAATTCCCACCTATGAGTGAGAATATGTGGTGTTTGGTTTTTTGCTCTTGCGATAGTTTACTGAGAATGATGATTTCCAATTGGTTATGTAGCTTCTTTAATGATTGGTATGTGTTTTAAAAAATAATTCCATGCCTCTTGTTACCTTGAACGTTTTCTTTCTTTATCTTTCCCCCTCCCGCTTCTCATTCCCCTTCCCCTCCCCTCATTTTTTTTTTTTTAGACGGAGTCTTACTCCATCACTCAGGCTGCAGTGCAGTGGTGTGATATTGGTTCACTGCAACCTCCACCTCCTGGGTTCAAGTGATCTCCTGCCTCATCCTCCAGAGTAGCTAGGATTACAGGCTCCCACCACCATACCTGGCTAATTTTTTTATTTTTTAGTAGAGATGGGGTTTCACCATGTGTTCCAGGCTGGTCTCGAACTCCTGACCTCAAGTGATCAGCCCGCCTCGGCCTCCCAAAGTGCTGGGATTACAGGCATGAGCTGCCACACTGGCCTGAATGTACTGTATCTTTCAATCCTTGGGTTAGGCTTGTAGGTGTCCTAAAGCATTGGGTTTTGTGGGGCTCTAGTGTTAATAGTATTATAAGTATAATTGTATTGCAGGTATTCATAGTATTCAGTACTTTCTCTAGAGACCTATTTCTCCATTTTCTCATGTTTTATTTTCTTTAAAATTTTTATTTTTATTTTTATATATTTAGATAGTACAAGTGCAGGTTCTTACATGCTCATATTGGGTAGTGGTGGAGTCTGGGCTTTTAGTGCATCCATCACCTAAATAGTGAACATTGTACACAGAAGGTAATTTTCTGTCCTCACACCTTGCACCCTCCCACCTCTTGGAGTCTCCAGTGTCTGTTATTCTGCTCTGTGTGTCTGTATGTACCCACTGTTTGGCTTCCACTTGTAAGTGAAACATGCGGTGTCTGATTTGGTGATTTCACATAGGATAATGGCCTCCAGTTCCATCCCTGTTCCTGCACAGACGACTTGTCTTATTTTCGTGACCTGTTCTCGAGCTCAACTTCAGTTCAGTGAGACCTGAGATAAAATGAAGGAAAGATGTTCCTGTTGCCTTTTGAAAGGGTATAAAAACACCCTCCCTCCTCTTTCTGTGACATGGGAGGTGGCGTTCCAGACTCCTAATTCGTAATGCTTGTGACTATTTTGTTTTGTGTTTCTCTGAGTAAAATATGTGTATTTGAGCATCCGATCACTCCATTTCTCATTCACTGGAAGAAGAGAGTTTTCAAAGAGCTTAACAAAATAGTCACACTCCGAGGGCTCCTGGTTTGAAGTAGGAGTGGTGATTTGATCCTATCCTATAGCCCTCTGTCTATTTTGGCAAGGAATGCGTTGAGAGACTTCTTTGAACCTGATGTGTGCTCTCACACCCTGCTGACTCCAGGGTGTTTTGCTACACCCTGTTTTACTCTTGACAAACTACCTCCGGCCTGTTTGACTGGTGCAGTTTTAATTTGGTGCAGTTGAGGCGTAGCTGGTTTCCCTGGTGAACCTGGAGTCCACACTGCCGGATGCCGTCTGTGCCGTCCATTGAGGGGTTACTTAGGTGGTGGAATGTGTTCCCCTATTTTCCACCTGCTTTCCATTTTTTACCCTTTACTTGAGGTTTTGCCCTTTCCTTGAGGACTGAGCAAAACAGGTTGTTTATTTACATTTTGGGTGGACTGTTTATTTGGGGATCATTTTATTCTGTTGTTAGTCTTGAAGTCTGTGCTGTTGAGGATTTTGTCTTCCTAATGGGTTGAGATGGCAGACAGAGCGAAGGGGAAACCTGCAAAGAGGTATTACTCTTTTTCTGGGACCTCTCGGAAGGATTCGGTGAAGGCGTTAAGGTTTTCAAGGTCATTGAACCTCAAGAGAGCCACTTCAGAAGTCAGCAAAAGGCAGGTTGGTACAGAAACTTCCTTAAAACACCCCTTTAATTTTTATTTTCTTGGTGGGCGGGGGGAATTGAAAGTCATGCTTACTCTTTGTGTTTACTCCTTAATATTATTTTGAAAAAGTTTCCTGATTAATTTTTGAACATTTTTGTTTTCAAAATCATACTGATATTTTCTGTGCTATCAATTCATTTGTGAATGCTTATTATTTATTAGTGTTTATGTTTATTCACTTATTGCAAGGGTTTAAATTACTGTATGCTGCAATACTAACAAGTTGTGATATTAGCAGATCCTTATTACTCGTATGGAATCTCTTACTAAAACATGTTTTTAATGGAGACCCTGATGTTACCCAAACATCTCACTAAAAAGGATTAGTTGATTTTTATGTATAACAAAATAATGGAATAAAAGCAAATTAGTGTTTCTCCAATTTCACAGTTCTGTACATTGTTCAGAATTAAAAATATTTTTTTCTGAAAAATACTTTGGGCCAGGCACAGTGGTATATGCTTGTAATCCCAGCACTTTGAATGGCCAAAGGAGGTGGATCACTTGAACCTAGAAGTTTGAGACCAGCCTGGGCAACATGGTGAAACCCCGTCTCTACAAAAAATACAAAAATAGCCAGGCATGGTGGTGCACACCTATAGGCCCAGCCACTCTGGAGGCCGAGGTGGGAGAATCACCTGAGCCTGGGGAGGTTGAGGCTGCAGTGAGCCGAGATTGCACCACTGCATTCCAGCCTTGGTGACTGAGTGAGACCCTGTCTCAATAAATAAATAAATTAAATAAATAAATAAATAAATTAAAAAAACATTTTTTAAAAAGAATTCTTTGAAGCTACTGGATATATGACTGTAAGTTTAGGCTATACAATCAATATATAGTGGATCTTTTAACAGTGTTATAAAGATTCCTTTTCTTAATGTTGATATTTTTGGAGCTAGTTTGTAATTACCAAACAGCAATAACAGATAAAAAGTAAAGATTACCCTGCACATAAAATGTGCTTTTTTTATTTTTACTTTTGGATGAGTGCCATGGGTTATGTGTGCCCTCCGGTGGTCTTTCATTAGAACGGTGATTTTCGAGCTGTGAAACCATTGAGAGTTAGTCATGGTATCTGTGTCCCCCTGCCCGGAGAAGAGTGGTGCCTTGCAGCATTACAGATAGGTGCTTCAGAACTGTTTCCCTCTTCATACAAATTCAGCTCAAATGTGTGATACTGATTCTGGCCAGTTTATGAATGATGTGTGTTTTGGGAATATCTCTTAATGGTTTATAGAATGGACACTTAATATGTCATCAATTCTACACTTATTTTGGTCCTCATATGTCTGCTAAATCTTGCAGTTTTAGTTTCTTTTCTTTTTTTTTTTTTTGAGACAGAGTCTAGATCTGTTGCCCAGGCTGGAGTGCAGTGGCATGATCACAGCTCTTGGTAGTCTCAATCTCCTGGGCTGAAGCAGTCCTCCCACCTCAGCCTCTCAAGTAGCTGAGACCACAGGCATGTGCTACTACACCCTGTTAATTTTATTTTTTTGTAGATGTGGGGGTCTCACTATGTTGCCCAGGCTGGTTGCAAACTCATGGCCTCAAGCAGTCCTCCTGCCTCAGCCTCCCAAAGTTCTGGGATTATAGGTGTGAGTCACTGTGCCTGGCCAGTTTAATCATCTTTCTTATATTTTCCTTATTGGACAACACTGAAATACTGAAAATAAATCAAGTCCAAGACATTCCAAATCTCTATTTTATATGTAACATACTTCCTTCCGCAGAAACTGCCACCATATTGGATGTTTGTTGGTAAAGAATTTTCAGCAAACCTGATTTTCTTCGATGTGATATTTTCTTCAAATTAATGTAATTTGAGTAAAGACACAGAATAAAACCTGTTTTTAAGACATTAAACTTTCTGTGTAGACTATGCAGAAAGTAATACCAGAAATGAATGAGGAAATTCAGAGACTGCCTAAAAGTATTGTTGCTGATTCTGTTGGCAGAATCTTTTCTCTTCCCTTTCGAAAAATCATAGTTTAAAACTGCTTGAACCTGAGGGTGGTGGCCTAAGTGTTGGTATTTGCCAGTTGAGAATTTAAGAATGAGTGCCTTGTATTGTCATTAAGAATTCCATAATATTGTTTATAGAAGTAGGGTGTTGACCTAGAGATCTCTGCCAAAACCTAATTTGTCTAATTAAATTCCGCCGAGCATTTCTAACTTCCTTCCCTAAACGACTTCTAATTGCGTGTCGTTCCAGTGGTAGTGATGATAATGATGATGTTCTGCCCTTGTAAACATGCCTTTAAATTATTAAGTTCTAAGCTGGCAGGTAAAATGGAATTACTTTTCATCTTAAAGATGAGATGTGGCCTTTTGGGGGATGTGTGTGGATGGGGACATTGCGGGTAGACGAAGAATCAGGTAGACTTCTTGTACAAAATTCCTGGATCATTTGTTTATTGTGGGAAGGAGCACTGCTAAGAAAGACAGACTTTTTCCCCCTCAAGCAGGAACCATCCTCTCTTCAGAGCGTTTTGTTTCCCTGCTAGGAGCCAGGATGTGACATTTAAGCAGCCATATAAATTTCAGTTTTGTGCATCACTTTGAGGTAAGGTTTCCGTAGAAAACATAAGTTTTAAAATTGTTTTGTGTGCGCTTCTTTGGGGAGGGAGATGTAGTTGGAATAAGAGTATAATACCTCTGAGATTTGTCAAGAGAATTGAGACCATGCTTTTTCCCTGCTGCTGTTGAGTTATGGAGGCGGAGGCTTGGGTGCGTTCAAGATGGGGCATCACTCGTTACCTGTGGCCTGCCTTGGTGGCTGAGGAGGGCATTGCTGCTGGCGGTGTGATGGTTGTTAACACTGCTTTACAAGCGGTGCTGAAGACCACTCTCGTCCATGATGGCCCAGCACATGAGATTCGCGGAGCCGCCAGAGCCTTAGACAAGTACCAAGCCCATCTTTGTGTGCCTGTATCCAACTGTGATGAGCGCGTGTGTGTGTGTGTGAAGTTGGTGGAGGCCCATGTGCTGAACACCAGATTAGCCTAATTAAGGTTGATGAAAACAAGAAACTAGGGAATGGGTGGGCCTCTGTAATACTGACAGAGGGAAGACCCTGTAGAAAGGTTGGTTGAAGTTGTGTAATAGTTAAGGACTATGGAAGTTATAAGGAATCTCAGGCCAAGGATGTCATTGAAGAGCACTTTAAATGCAAGAAATGAACTAATAAAACTTTGGTTCACATTCCTCAAAAAAAAAAAAAAAGTTGGGGTATTGTATTAAATGGAATAAAAAAGAGAAGCTGAAATATCATATTGGGGAGTTTTCTGAGCTCACTGGGTGAGAGGTTCAGTTTATAGCATAGATGATTGAAATTTCTGCCTCAGCAAAAGCAGAACATGGTTTTTGAAGTAAATGGTTGAAATTCATGCATCCAGATGTCTGTATGACTGGGTTCATGGACTTCAATCATCTTCTTTGACACCTAGGTTATTATTATCTATATATCTGAATCTGTATACTGACTTCTAGGTTTTGATTATGGAGAAAATAACAACCAAGATGTAGAAGTCCATCAGAATGATACAATCTGACAAAGTTGCTTAACAGCAGAAAAACAATGATGCTAACTCAGAAAGTTAGATGATTTTACAAAATTCAACAAAAAAGCTTTAAAAGCTGTAAATTAGAGATATAAATTATAGGTTACCTGTTAAAAAAGACTTCCTTTTCAAGGAAGTATTAATAGAAGACACAACTCAAAATAATACTGCCTTGATCTTGTAAGGCCTTGAGGTAATTGTGAATCCCCTTGATAGAAAAGGTAAGAAGCAAAGCAAATTGGGTGGATTTTATATTTAAGCAATCTAGAGATTTATAATATCTATTACGTGCATATACATGTGTGAAGACAACATAGTAAGGTGTGTTGTTTTATAGTTTTCTGTGTCCTACTTAAATTGGCTTGCAGTAGAATTATAGTTAAATTGATGCAGGGCAGGTAAGCCCCAAAATTGGGCTTAGACCGGGAAGGTTCTTGGCTTTGCTCAGGAAAGAATTCAAGAGTGAGGGCTGGGCACGGTGGCTCACGCCTGTAATCCCAGCACTTTGGGAGGCCGAGACAGGTGGATCACCTTAGGTCAGGAGTTCGAGACCAGCCTGGCCAACGTGGTGAAACCCTGTCTCTACTAAAAATACGAAAATTAGCTGGGCATGGTGGCAGGCGTCTGTAATCCCAGCTACTTGGGAGCCTGAGGCAGGAGAATCGCTTGAACCCGGGAGACGGAGGTTGCAGTGAGCCGAGATTGTGCCACTGCACTCCAGCCTGGGCAACAGAGAGAAACTTTGCCTCAAAAAAAAAAAAAAAAAAAAAAAAAATCAAGAGCGTGCAGGTGGTAGAAGAAAACAGCTGTATTGAGGCTGTAGTGTTACAGCTCTGTGGCTGCTCCCGCAGAGCAGGGCTACCCGCTAGGCAGTGAGCGCAGGGTGGCAGCTCAGGGGCAGTTCTACAGTCATGTTTATACCCACTTTTAATTAATGCAAATTAAGGGGCAGGTTATTCTGATCTTTCTAGAAAAAGGTGGTAACTTTCAGGTGTTGCTGTGGCAGTGTTAAACTGTCGAGCTGGTGGGGATGTCTTGTGGAGAGGTGCTTTTTATACAGTCGTTCTTTGTACAATAGACAGTGCTACTTCTTGTTAACGAAGAAATACAGATATAACCAGGATAATTTTGAGTACAGAACTGTTCATCAAAAAATATTAAAACATACCTATGTTCTGGCTAAGTGCTGTGTTAGAAAACTACTTGCTAAGAATATGTAACAAGTTGGGAATTAGAACTCTCCTCCTGTTTGTTTGTTTTTTTTTTTTTGATGCAGACTCTCGCTCTGTCTTCCATGCTGGAGTGCAGTGGCACGATCTTGGCTCACTGCAGCCTCTCCCTCCCGGGTTCAAGTGAGTCTTCAGCCTCCCACATAGCTGGGATCACAGGCATGCTTCACTATGCCTGGCTAATTTTTGTATTTTTAGTAGAGATGGGGTTTCACCATGTTGCCCAGACTGGTCTCAATTTCCTGTCTGTCTGTCTGTCTCGATATCTTTTCTTCTCTGTCTCTTGTTTGTAGTAGAGAGAATAACTTTGATTCCTAAATAGAAAACAGAATATATATGTGTGGATACTTGTATTGTGTTGATTGTCTTCATTACTAGTTTCCTAATCGTAGCAGAAAAGGTGGTGTTGGCTACTAATGTCACCCCAGCCCTAAAGGAGTAATGTGTTCTTGATAAGTTTGTGACATTGCTTTCCTGTGTAAATATGAAAATATTCTGGAACTTGATTTCTTGTTACTCTTGTGTTGTGCAAATTGTGTGTTCTGGCTTCCTTTACCAACCACAAGTAATGAGAGGTTCCAAAACTTAAATACAATTCATATTTTCGAGGATAGCTTATAATTTTTGAAATAATTAAGTTTAGCTTTATGTAACTAGGTAAAAATGTGCATATCACAGTACTCAAGATATTAGTTTAAAATGAAAAACAAAAAACACCTTAAGTTTTTGCTATCTTTAGTTTAATCTGTGGCAAATAAGCTTTCTCCCAAAATCATGCTCTCCCTAGATAGAGAGATTCCTGATTTGGATTGAAGCAGGTTCTCCTTAGTTATTTTTAAGGAAATATCATGCAGTGTGTTGAGCATTAATTCTTCCGGTGCTTCCCGGATCTCCATGAAGATTTTTTTTTTCCAGAAATGGAAGCCAAGTTTAAACTATGCTGAGATAAGGTTGGATTTAAGAATAGAATCGTTTAGATCACTGAAGCCCTAGATGTTCAAGAGAAATGAAGTACATATAGGTCAGAGAGAGGATGGAATTTATCATCCTAGAGGTATTAACAACAAAAAAGACTGCTGAATACAGTTCAATCAAGAAAGAATCAAGCAAGACAAGGTCTTTAAGTTTTACCCGTATTCCACATCCCTTACTCCAGATAGAATTTTTGCCACTTCATACTACTAAGTAAAGCAGGCAACAGATGTCAAAGTACAGGAGGATCAACATGGAACCATTGCTTATTTTGAAGAAAAAAATGTAGATCATATAGTTAGAGGATTAATACATATTTCCTGAAAGGCAACAGTTCTTCTACAAGGAGCATACTGGTTATGTGTTTTTAGAAATAGGGCCTCGCTCTGTTGCCCAGGCCAGAGCTCAGTAGTGTGATCATAGCTCACTGGAACCTCGAACTCCTGACCTCGAGCAGTCCTCCTGCCTTGGCCTCTCAAAGTGCTGGGATTACAGGCATGAGCCAATGCACTGGGCCGTTCATGTGTTTATTAATACAAAGTGGATATAATGCAGTTAAAGTTAGGAAACACGGTACATATTGAGAACTGTTAGTTACATGATTACATGATCACAGCGAGGAGCTGTTTCTGTAAGATCAGAATGAATGGAGCATGCTGCCTGGGAACCTGTAGCTGCTTGGTTAGAATGAGTGGGTGCTCAGCTGGTGGTAAATTTTTTGTTTACCTTTTTGGGTTGTGAACCAGCTGCACTGTAATTTATGTTAATTTGTGCTTTAAAAGTTTTCAGGGTTGTACTCGATCTTAATTGTGGGTGAGAAAGATGAAAATTATGCATAAATACTAATGGCAGTCGTGAAAGGGAGAGAGGTTATTCTTTTTTGAAAAAACAGAATCCTCCTCTGTCACCCAGGCTGGAGTGTAGTAGCGTCATCATGGCTCACTGCAGCCTCGAACTCCTGGGCTCGGGTGATCCTTCTGCCTCAGTCTCCCAGTAGCTGACAGGCATGCACCATCATACCTGGCTAATTTTTCACTTTTTGTACAGATGGGGTCTCCCTATGTTGCCCAGGCTGATCTTGAATGCCTGTCCTCCAGCAATCCTCACACCTTGGCCTCCAAGGTTATCCTTTTGAATAAAAATCATATGTAACTAAACCCAGTTTTTTGTGATATGTAAATCTAGAGTTATATCTTTAAAACTGTAAAGCATGTTTTTGTAATTCATGACCTACTTCTTTTTTACCTTAGGAGTGCTACTTCTGAATTCTTGCAGAAGTACAGATTGTACAGTTAATGCTGATCTTTGCGATAGATAGAACAACTTACATTAACTGTGAAAAGAATTCTCCCTGATGTGGAAATACATATAATCTTATTTTGGCAAGCATTTTACCCCTTTCAGTTTCTGCTTTTCTTGATGTTTAAATTTATCTTGTAGCCTTGTATGGTGATAGCAACTCCTTGGTATTTTTCTTGATTTTAATTTTCTTCTGCAGTTTGAAAGATTGTATTCATTGCTGTGATGCATATAAGATTTCTTAGTTTTTTTACCACTATGTTTTAATATGAAATGCCAAAGAATTTTAAAGTTTTTTTAAAATTAAGATTTCAACGTTGTGGCCTAGATGAATGTGTTACTTGAGGAAGGAGGTTTTAAATGCATCCTATTTAATGGGAAAGTTTGACTTGCGTGCATCACTTTATTTTTCCCTACCAAAATCAACATTTTATATCGTTAGAATATCTATCGATATATTTGGGTTACCTGACTCAAACCTGTTTCTTAAAAGCAGAAAGCAGTTAACTATTTCTTTATAATGCTTCTCCACTTCCATTGGAACCATGACATTGCAACAGAAATTATATTCACAGGCAAAGTCCCACAGCAACTGTCTTATGCTGTGTGTTGCAGCCTAAACGCTTATTTCTTTTGATTTGAAGGCTGTAATTCTTACTGCGAGTCTCAGTAACTTTTGCAAGAGCAGCCATTGACAGGTGCCCGCCATCTCTCTAGCCAGATGCTACCTCATCTGCCTCTGTCCGATGACTCTGGAGTTGGTCTGGTCTCAATTTAGTAAAACTTGATGGCCGCCGATGTGTTGCTGAAGTAATCAGTTGTAAAATGAGGAGGTAGAAATGTATTCTTGTCTTTTCTGGGAGGTTCAGGTACACACAACTTCAGGTTGATGATGATCCAAGTTCCTTCCCTGTTTGTGTCTTAAAAACAAGATTGAAAGCATAAACAAAACCAACAACAAAGTTCTTTGATCAAGGGAAGGGATTGCAACTGTTCACGGATGGAATTGGATTGGACCCTGAATTCTTACAGCTTGATTTGACTTTGTCATTTAGTGTAGGATTTCTTAACCATGGTTTCACTAGGTGCTTATAGATACTCTAAAACATGCACACACTCATACATCCCACCCCATAGATGCCCAGAAACCACTCAGGACTCGCTGAATCAGAATCTCCAGTGGTAGTGGGATGGGGTTGGGGCTAGTCAGGTACCCTCACTTCCTCCCGCAAAGGTCCCAAAGTGAATCCAGCCTAAACATTGCCAGGTGAAGAAACTGAAGTCTAGAGCACCAGGCGATATGAAGATAATAGAACTGTTTAGTGACAGATTTGAGAAAGAAGCCAGTGGCATTTGAGCATATGCCCTGTGCTCACCCCAGTAAGAAATCAGAAGCATAGTGGTGCAGATCACCTGCCTGAGAGCCAGCGGCGGCCTGGCGAGCCGGTGTGCACGCGCTGGCTGGTATTGGTGTCAGCTTTCGTGAAGGCGTCCCTTGTGTTTTGAGGCTTCTCAAGTTCTGAGGAAGCACCTGCAGCTGCACAGAGGTGCGTGTGCATGGAGTTGGGAGGCTAGCCGCCAAATGCTGCTCAGATTCCCAGGCCAGAGAGATGGTCTTTATACGTGATAAGAGCACGGATAAGCCACCTGCTTTGGGGTCAAAATTAAAAAGTCAATATACAAGTCTTTAACCTGGTTACTAATAAAGAATCTCTCAGCCCTGCTAACATAACCTGTGACTTTGTTCGTGTTAGCCATTTTCTGGTTATCTAACTTTGAATGACCTTTTCACTATAAATCTTTTAGACACATAGGTGTAGCTTTGTCAAAGAGTACTATATTTTTATTCTTCCTAGTAGAATTTTACTTTTATCATAGGATTGAAAGCCAAATTTTAAATACATCCTTTTGGAATATGTTTTTGTACCTATGTTAGAGGACCATGTGAGGTGTCAGATACCTTAAATTTTTTTTTAAATCACATTTTAATGCAGATACTCAGAACATCAAGTCATTAAATTATGTGAAAATCAGTATTTTGTGAGAAGGGTCCAGTTCCTTTTCATTTGTTGCAAGCAAATTATCACCTGCTTCTCTCTTACGGTGCATAATTTTGTTAGTAGGTAAGGTAATTTTTTCTGTTTTTTTTTAATGTTTTTAAAATTGTGTAAACGTAAGGAATACAAGTGCAGTTTCGTTACATGGATATATTGTGTGGTGGTGAATTCTTGGCTTTTAACCATCATTCAATATGTTGCTGTACCCATTAAGTACTTTCCCATCCTTCACCCCCTCCCATCCTCCTGAGTCTCCACCGTCTATCATTCCACACTCTGTGTCCGTGTGTATACATTATTTAGCTCCCATTTATAAGTGAGAACGTGTGGTATTTGACTTTCTGAGTTGTTTCACTTTGGATAATGGCCTCCAGTTCCATCAATATTGCTGCAAGACATGATTTCATTCTTTTTTATGGCTGAATAGTATTCTATTGTGTCTGTATACCACATTTTCTTTTATCTAGTCATCTGTTGTTGGACACTTAGGTTGATTCCCTATCTTTGCTATTGTGACTAGTGCTGAGATACATATATGAGTGCAGGTATCTTTTTGATATAATGACTTCTTTTCCTTTGGGTAGATACCTAGTAGTGGGATTGCTGGATCAAATGGTAGTTGTAATTTTAGTTCTTTGGGAAATCTCCATGCTGTTTTTCATAGAGTTTGTACTAATTTACATTCCCACCTGTTTTAATCTGTTCTGTTCACTGCTGTATCCCCATGTCCTAGAACAATGCTCATAAGCATTCAGTAAACATTTGTTGAATGAATGAATGAATGGAATGGAAATGAATTAATACCCAATCTATCTTTGCTTTGAGAAGGTCCTATTATGCAAATAAGTTTCTCTTAAAAAAAAAAATCAAACTTTTAAAAATTTTTAGTAGAGACGGGGTTTTGCTATGTTGCCCAGCCTGGTCTTGAACTCCTGGGCTCAAGCGATCTTCCCACTGCAGCATCCAAAAGTACTGTGATTATAGGCATGAGCCACTGTGCCTGGCCAAGTTTTTCTTCTTTTGCTTATCAATGAAAATTAAATATGTACCATAAGATATATCTTTGAAGATAAAAGGCTTTGGAGTGTTTTCTTCTTCCTGTGTTTGAATATATATATTGTGGGAGTCAGAATAATGCTATAGAGCCAGGTTTGGAGGAGGAGAGACGTCTGTTTTTCATCTTCCTCTCTCTGCTCTTCCTGGATTTTGAACTCTCTTGAAGCTACTCACATGGATGTGAACTGTGATAGATGACTGACTCCTAGTTCAAAACTTTGATATGATGCAGTGACTATGATTCAGTTGCACTGAGCAGGTTATATCAGGTAGAGAGCACCCACAAAATCTCATGATAGACAATACTATAATGAAAAGAGAAGGGTTCTCCAGAGGAAGGTATTTTTATGCTAGTAACCACAGAACTTTTTTGATAAGGCCAAGAAATTTACTGAGCTTTTTTGATAAGGTCAAGACATTTGCCAGAAAAGAGGCTTGTCTCGGCACATAGTCCTGGAGTCTTGATGGTTTTCATTTGTAGTTGTTGCAGATGAGGAATTATTTGTTGCTTAGCTGTTTTTTTCTTGCATTTACGAACCCGTGGTAGTTACTGTCTTGCTTATTTTTCCACCTTGACCATTTCAGGCCGCTTGAGGACAATCCGTATCCATCCTCACTCCATGCAGGAAGTTAAAGGCTGAGCAGGAGACATGCACCATTAGTGTACTGCACCTCCTCTTCCCCTAGTTTAAGAACATCCCTTCTTCTCATTCCCCTTTATGTAACTTTGGAACATTAAAGCAGCAGATGGTTTCTCCTTCAGGCTGCACGGAGGAGAATGGAGCTTAGCATGATGTGTTATCCTTAATAATGTCATCACAATATTATTTGTTTCTTGTGGAATTTAAAAATAAACATTAGCCTCAGTGGCTGATATTTATATTCTGCTTAATTTGCCATGCCTATTCAAGCTGGCTGTCAATTTTGGGGCTGGTCTTACTGGCCTGGACTAGAAAGATGAGTTTGTCCGATATCACCCCTATGTGAATGCCTTAATGCTTAGAATCATCTAGCAAATACTTTTCCAATATGGCTAGAAACAAAATCATCTTAAATCATTAGGCATTTTTCAGTGCCAAAGGCTATCAAATATCTTTTTTCCCCATTGTGTTTTTATGGTTCAGTGATGAATAGGTGACAATTTTGTAGCCTTAAATTCCTGCACTATCAGTAACACCGTGGTAAATGCCACTGCAGAGAAAGGCACCATTGATCTCCCCACCACTGCCTCTGGGATGCTTTAGACATTGACAGATGTGCTTTGTGAAACCTTGTGGAATGACACTTGGGGTTTGGTCTGTTCTTTCTTTAGAAATGAAACTTTTATTTTTGACCTATTGGCATTTCTTTAGCAGAAAGATCACTCCTACTAGCTATCTAGATTTGCTGCAGATGATTTGTTCATTTTAATGTTTGGATTTTGTTCTTGGATTTTCTAACCTATTTCTCAACTTATGTATCAATAATCTTGTTATACACTACCTGTTCTATGTTGGCCAGGCTGGAGTGCAGTGGTGTCATCTCAGCTCACTGCAACCTCCGCCTCCCGTGTTCAAGCGATTCTCCTGTCTCAGCCTACTGAGTAGCTGGGATTATAGGCATGCGCCACCACGTCGGCTAATTTTTGTATTTCTAGTAGAGACAGGGTTTCACCACGTTGGCCAGGCTGATACCAAACTTCTGGCCTCAGGTGATCCACCCGCCCTGGTCTCCCAAAGTGCTGGGATTACAAGGCATGACTCACTGTGCCCAGCCAAGTTTAGAATATATCTGAAATATTCTAAAAGGTCTGAAATGTATGTTTGTGTGTGTGTGTGTGTGTGTATATATATATATATATATATTTTTTTTTTTTTTTTTTTTAGGGGGAGGGGTAGGTGAGGTGGAAGGTTCTGTATGCAAATCAAGGTCTGGTTTCCAAATTAGGTCCTCCAAACAAGGTCAGATTGAAAACTGAAGGCTTCAGGTTTTGGAACTGTCAATCCCATGTTAGGTGTGCCTGCCCTGTCCCTCTCTTCCTGCCTGGAGGGCTGAGGGTGAGGCGAAGGAGTCCAGAAGCAGAAGTACAACACATGAGGAATCCTTTTGTGGACTCCTGGACGTTAGTAAGGGTGGACCTAAGTATCTGGCAATGTGCTCGGGGTTTTCTTGAGCAATTCCTCGAGTGCCACCTAGAGTCTAGTGGTAATACTGAATTAACTTCTAAGCTTTGTCAAGGAGCATGGAGAACTTGAGATTCTCAGACATTTTTATTCTGTATCATGAAGAAACTCAATAGTAATTGGAATCAGGATCAGTTTCTGGCTGCTTGATCAGCCATGTAATTAGTCAGCATGGTATGAATATGTACATGCCGGAGTTCAGTAATATACCTTCTATACTTAAATGGGGATTTTTCTTTGAGAATTGGCTTTTTTTTTTTTGATAAGATCTTGCTCTGTCATCCAGGCTAGAGTGCACTGGTGTAATCCTGGCTTACTGCAGCTTCCTGGGCTCAGCCATCCTCCCGCATCAGCCTTCAGCCTTCCAAGTAGCTGGGACTACAGGCATATGCCACCATGCCTGGCTAATTTAATTTAATTTTTTTTTTGGTAGAGTCAGGGTCTCACTTGGTTGTCAAGCTGATCTCAAACTCCTGGCTTCAAGTAAGCCCCTTGCCTTGGCCTCCCGTGGTGCTAGAATTATAGGTGTGAACGCCTGGCCTAGAATCTAATCTTTTCTTTTCTTTTCTTTTTGTTCTGTTCTGTTCTGTTCTGTTCTGTTCTGTTCTGTTCTGTTCTGTTCTGTTCTGTTCTGTTCTTTAATTGAGACGAAGTCTCAAAAAGCCCAGGCTGGAGTGCAGTGGCGCCGTCTTGGCTCACTGCAACCTCCGCCTCCTGGGTTCAAGTGATTCTTCTGCTTCAGCCTCCTGAGTAGCTGGAACTATAGGCACGTGCCACCATGCCAGGCTAATTTCTGTATTTTTAGTAGAGGTGGGGTTTCACCATATTGGCCAGGCTGGTCTGGAACCCCTGACCTCGTGATCCGCCTGCCTCGCCATCCCAAAGTGTTGGGATTACAGGTGTGAGCACCGTGCCAGGCCCAGAATTTCTTTTTTTTAAAAATTTTTAAAATTTTTTTGTGATGTAGTTTTGCTCTTGTTGCCCAGGCTGGAGTGCAACGGCACAATCTCAGCTCACTGCAACCTCTACCTCCCAGGTTCAAGTGATTCTCCTACCTCAGCCTCCTGAGGAGCTGGGATTACAGGCATGTGCCACCACGCCTGGCTATTTTTTTTTGTTTGTTTTTTTCAGCAGATACAGGGCTTCTCCATGTTGGTCAGGCTGGTCTCGAACTCCCGACCTCAGGTGATCCACCTGCCTCGGCCTCCCAAAGTGCTGGGATTACAGGCATGAGGTGCGCCCAGCCTTAGAATTTCTTTTTTAGTATGATTATCCCCTAGCTTATTTGAATTACTATTTTAATAAACACGTTCTGGAAATCTTAATTATTAATAACTTTGATTGTATTAGGCATGAAAAGTTAGGCAGATTTTTTTTATTTTAAAAAAAACTTTGTAATTGTGGTTTTACTTATATTGCCTCTATTCAGTAGGATCCCCCTCCCTCTCCCCCTCTCTTTCCCTCCCTGTCTCTGTCTCTCCCTCTCTCTTCACACACACCACACACATGCACACCAGGAAGCAGTTCTGTACTGTCTACAAATTCTCTGTAAGCCATCATAGAAGAGAAGTGAATCAGAGAAGGGGATTCAACATTCTACATGCTAAGACCTGTCCGGCACACACCTCTTCACAGCCTTGTCTGAAGTGACAGACTGTAGCAATTGCTAATTTGACTAAGAAAAAGGTTTCTGGGCCAGGCATGGTGGCTCAGGTCTGTAATCTCAGCACTTTGGGAGGCCAAAGTGGGCAGATTACCTAAGGTCAGGAGTTCGAGACCAGCCTGGCCAACATGGTGAAACCCTGTCTCTACTAAAAATACAAAAATTAGCTGGGTGTGGTGGCACATGCCTGTAATCCCAGCTACCCAGGAGGCTGAGGCAGGAGAATCTCTGGAACCCGGGAGGCAGAGGCTGCTGTGAGCTGAGATACCACCGCACTCCAGCCCGGGCAACACAGGGAGACACCTTCTCAAAAAAGGCCAGGTGCAGTGGCTTACGCCTATAATCCCAGCACTTTGGGAGGCTGAGGTGGGCGGATCACAAGGTCAGGATTTTGAGACCAGCCTGACCAACATGGTGAAACCCCACCTCTACTAAAAATACAAAAATGAGCCGGGCCTGGGGGTGCACACCTGTAATCCCAGCTACTTGGTAGGCTGAGGCAGGAGAATCGCTTGAACCTGGGAGGTGGAGGTTGCAGTGAGCCGAGATCACGCTACTGCACTCCAGCCTGGGCAACAGTTCGAGACTCTGTCTCAAAAGAAAAAAGAAAAAGGTTTTCGATTGCCTTTGCTATTGATTCAGACAGTGACATAACCAAATATATTAAAAAGAACTCCCACCTCTGGTCTCTTTGGTCTCGGCGGCAGAAGCGAGATGAGGAAGGGAGTGTCATCCTTAGGGAAACATCGCAGCTGGACACACTCCCTGTGCTGCTGCGGCCCTGAGGCCCCAACCTGCTAAGCCAAGAGAAGGCAGAACTGGAGTGCCAAGGCGAAAAGACGAAGCAACACCAGGGCTGGTTGAATGAGGCGCCTAAACATTGTACACTACAGATTCAGGCCTGGGCTCCGTGAAGGACAGCACCCAGACCCAAGGGCCAGCTACTGCACCTCATCTTCAGAATTTCAGTGATTGGTCATGGAATACATGTTCTGTTTTTTTTTTTCTTTTAAAGAATTCTTTGGGAATAACAAAAACTGAGGGGGAAATGAAAAGTTTTGTGGATGAATAGAAGAATGACACAGCTTCTTTAAAATGTTTGACACTTCTGGAACCTCTGAAGCATAAACAGGGTGCCACCCCACTGTGTTCAGTGGGCCTGTCAGCTCCATCTTCGTCTAAAATCAGATGCTTGGAAGTAGAGAAGGAACTTTTTTTAAAAATTTTTTATTTTTGTGGATACGTATTAGGTGTGTATATTTATGGGGCATAAGAAATATTTCGGTACAGGCATGTGATGACTAATAACCACATGAGATTAAGTGGGATATCTACCCCAAGCATTTATCCTTCGTGTTACAAAGCTCTGTTGCCCAGGCTGGAGTGCAATGGTGCGATCTCCTCTCACTGCAATCTCCGCCTCCCGAGTTCAAGCAATTCTCCTGCCTCAGCCTCCCGAGTAGCTAAGATTACAGGCATGCACTACTACGCCTGGCTATTTTTTTTGTATTTTTAGTAGAGATGGGGCTTTGCCATGTTGCCCGGGCTGGTCTTGAACTCCTGAGCTCAGGCAATCTACCCGCCCTGGCCCTCCCAAAGTGCTAGGATTACAGGCATGAGCCTCTGCACCTGGCCTCTTTTAGTTATTTTAAATGTACAATGAAATTATTGTTGCCTATAGTCACCCTGCTCTGCTAGGAAATATTAGTTCTTATTCATTCTTTCTAACTGTATTTTTGTACTCATTAACTCCACTCCCCTGCTCCCAGCCCCACACCCTTCCCAGCCTCTGGTAACCATCATCTACTCTCTATTTCCATGATTTCAGTTGTTTTAATTTTTAGCTCCCACAAATGAGTGAGAACATGCAATGTTTGTCTTTCTGTGCCTGGCTTGTTTCACTTAAGATGATGATCTTCAGTTTGATTCTTTTTTTTTTTTTTTCTGAGACAGTTTCTCACTGTCACCCAGGCTGGAGTGCAGTGGCACTATCTCACCTCACTGCAACATTGGTCTCCCAGGTTCAAGGGATTCTCTTGCCCCAGCCTCCCGAGTAGCTGGAATTACAGGCATCTAATACCACGCTGGGCTAATTTTTGTATTTTTAGTAGAGATGGGGTTTCACCATGTTGGCCAGGCTGGTCTCAAACTCCTGGTTCAAGTGATCCTCTCACCTCTGCCTCCCAAAGTGCTGGGATTACAGGTGCGAGCCATCGCACCTGGCTGATCTCATTCTTTTTTATGGCTGAATAGTACTCCATTGTGTGTATGTACCAGATTTTCTTTATTCATTCATCTGTTGATGGAAACTTAGTTTGCTTCCAAATCTTGGCTATTGTGAATAGTGCTGCAATGAACATAGGAGTGCAGATACCTCTTTGATGTACTGATTTCCTTTCTTTAGGTTATATACCCAGCAGTGTGATTGCTGGATCATGTGATAGCTCTATTTTTAGTTTTTAAGGAACCTCCAAATGGTTTTCTATTGTGGTTGTACTAATTTACATTCCTACCAACAGTGTATGAGGTTTTCTTTTTCTCCACATCCTTGCCAGCCTTTGTTATTACCTGTCTTTTGGGTAAAAGCCATTTTAACTGTGGTGAGATGATATCTCATTGTAGTTTTGATTTGCATTTTTCTGATGATGGGTGATGTTGGGGAAAGGGAACATTTTGAGAATGAGGAATACTGATGAAAGGGCCAGAAGTTCATTTTAGGCACTCCGAGATGTCAGCCGAGCAGTTGTCTTAAGTAGCTCCCTGCCCAGTAGTAGCCTTCACGGTTAGGCCTGCAGGTCAAAGGAGCAGAATTTAACCATCTCCCCAGGGTGCTTACATGCAGGATCTGGCTGCAGGACCTTCTTTCCAGTGGGGCTTTCAAGGTAGAAATCTGCCTCTTTCTTGGACTGCTGCACTACTCCATGATTGGGAACCTTTATCTAACATTGATTGGATAAAATGCCCCACCTTCCACACTGAAGGGCTTGTCTCAAAGTCAGAGCCTCTTATCTCATTTACTGTCTGGGCGGTCCCTCCTTTGACAGCTGTTTTGCCCAACATTTGATAACAATTCTGATCTTTGTGATTCTTTAATTATAGACCATTGAATCTGGATGAAGGCCAGATGATGGATGGACCATAGCCAGGCCCAATTTTTGCTGCAGATGAATAAATAGGTCATGTTCATTCTTGCTTCTTCCCCCTTTATTCTATGCAATAAAACATCCGGCTCTACTAATAGCTCTAACTTGCTTTTTCTAACCTCCGTAGAAAATAGATTTGCCCGTTTTTCCCCTCCCAGGTTGCTTTGTATTGATTAACCCATCAGGCCATCAGAGTGGTGGTTAGCCAATTCATGTTCTTTCATCAAATTTGGGGAAAAGGACCCTAATCAGGCATGATCAATACAAAAGTTTGACATTTGCACTGTATAAATGTCCCGAGGTACTTTATTTGTACATTTCTTTTAGCATTTTTGAAACTCTGTATTGTTTCATAATAAACTGTTCCTTTATTAATTATAGATGAGTTAGCTTTGTCAGCACATTGGGTACAAGAAATGCATCGTTTTGTTCCTTGTTTCTCAAGTAGAGTGATTATAGCTTCAATTAAAAATGACTTTTTTAAAAAACTGAGATTCCCATGATGCTCTGAAGGGCTATGTTATGTCAAAAGCTGAAAACCGCTCTGTTACACAGAATCCTCAAACTATCTCCACCAGTCCCATTAGTCATAATCTGAGTGTTTCTGCCCCATGTAAAAAGTGAATTTAATGTGCAAAAGAAAAGAATGTTGTCAATTCTATTTTTAAAAAAGTAACATTTATTTACATTACTATTTCATTATGTCAGTAGATTCAGCTTCTCAGTGGTAGTATTGAGTATTAGGGATAAATTGGCACACAACCAAAAAAAATTTAAAAAATTATAATGAAACACAATATTTCTGTGTGATGTTTTAAAATAATTTTCCAGTCTGGAAACAGCCAAGCATAGCTTCTGTTTTGTGCCTTAGTTCCTTGCATTCTTGCTGTGCAGGAATTGCTATCCTATTTGGTACTGATGGAATCTGGTGTTGGCAACTTCAGCCAAAAGGATGCCTAGTGGTTGCTGAACTTACACTTTCTAACCCTGAGAATTGTCCATTCACACATGCGTTGGTGTGCATTCAGGTCAGTGAGCGGATGACAGATACACTTTATTCTGAAATGCATGGCTATTTGCCCGGTTTTGCTGTGCATTTCAGCATCCGTGTGATGAGGGCTGCTGTGTACATGGCCATGCCCTCCGAGGCTCCCTTAAACCCAGGTGTGTAGTGCAGCCCCGTGCACAGTGACATACATCTGTGTAAGCTCCTTTGAAAATACCCCTGTGTTAAAGATGTTCTTTATGTACTAAAATTTTATTCTAACTTTTAAATTGCCCCTTTTTAGAGAAAAATAAGCATAGATAATGTAAGTATTTATCTAGATATTATTTGTTGTTACCTAAACTTCTGTCCTGAGATAAGCTTTAATTAAAATCAAGGAAATGTTTAGAAATTGTAGTTTCAAATTATAAAATTATCTTCTCCCAATAATTGGAGTTGGGAGAGAAATACACACAATGGAGGGAGAGGCAGGGGAAAAATTGCATGTAATATGTAGCTATGTTTGGCTAGTATTTTAGGTTACAGTTTACATTGTGTTTTCTTAGAGTTATTGATGTTATGGGTTATTTCAACAATAGAGGGGAAGATTTGGGGAAAACATATGCATTTTAAATTAATATGTTTTCTGCCTTCCACAAAGTTAAATAAATTCTGAGAGATTTCTGAGTACTTTTTGGTAAATTCATTTTATGAAAATGAAGATGCTAATTCTAGTTTGTGGCTAATGTAAATAACCTTTGAATGGATTATTTCTAGGGAAGAAAATGCATGCGCGGAAGCAAAAAGTACCTACCATTGAAGGCCCTTGGGTTTGTGTTTTATAACCTAGATGGCCTGGCTTAGTAAAACAGGTTCTAACTAGGTACCTAACTTGCACTACAGGAAGAAGAGAAGTAAGGCTTTACTGAGTCAGGTGGTATGAATTAGAAATTAATAGTATTATCCTGAGTGGAGCTTGGTGGCTTTTTCAGTGGAGTCATTTTCACCATCCTTTTACATTAAAAATGTAAATTGATTCACAGTGGGGGGAAAATAAAAAGTGATCTAGATGTGTACCTTAAGGAAAAGAATTCATACACCTTTATTCATGTATGCTATTATGTCTTCATTTACATGTTATTATGTATCATCTAGCATTATCCTATGAACCATTAAGAAATGGCCTCTGGGTGCTACAATGTGAGTGGCACTTCCTTTAAAATACCCCAGCCAAAAATAAAAAAAGTGAAGCAATGAAACAGTTTTGGCGAAGATTAATAATTACTACAGCTGAGTGAGTGATACATAGGAGTTCAATAAATTATCCTCTCTACTTTTTTGCAAGTGTGGCAAATTAGATCATTAAAAAAACTAAAAAGTTTTTGTAATTAACATTTTTAAATGTTGGGAACAAAACCCTTAGAAATAATTTTATTCTTGCTCTGTTATTTAGTGGAGGAAACTCAGGGCAGATGACATGTGTTGGTTTGTCCTGTGTGTCAAGGCTCCTTGGAGGCAGAGCCTCTTGGGAGGTGCAGGTTTCCTGGTTCCTCACTTTGTGCTGGGTGTGCCTTTCAGGATCTGATTCCTGAGGGTGTGTACCAAGCCAGTACTGTGTGTGCGCTTGCATTGCCTTACTCTTCACTAAGAACATGGAATTTGTAGGTAAATTCTAAGCAGTGAAATTGTAGAAACTAAAACACTTTGAAAATAATATATATAAATTTAGCATGTCTTCTGTGACATGCACAATTATAAATGCTGTACTTATTTTAACACACGTGGTGAACTCTGTGAATGGGCTCTGGTGTTTTGTCCATTTTATAGGTGAGGAAATTGAGGCTCAGAATGCACCAGGATTAAGTTGTTATTTCTCAGCTGCAGTTCAGCCATTTGTGCTCTGCTTTTCGAGGAGACGTCTCCTTTGCTAGCTGCTCCCTGGAGCTTTAGAGGGAGCTGGAGCCTGGCAGGCAGGAGGGGGGACATGGCCCTTGTTTGCTTCCTGTTCCTGTCTGCATTGCCCAGCAATAGTCATTAATTGGCAGTTCCTTCTCGTTTTTAGATTTTTTCCCCCTGTCCACATCTTTAGGCCCCCTTAACAGAATCAGCACCGAGGTCCTTCTGCTAAGCTCCTCATGCCTCAGCCTCAGCCTCAGCCCCAGCCCCCAGCATCTTCTCCTCGGAGGGTGGGTACCGTCTGCCCCTGGTGCCGCCTTCAAGCTTCAGGTTCTCATAACCGAATTTCCTCAGTTCCGCGGGTGGTAGGTGTGCTGCAGTTACCTGTTTACCCTCTTCCTTATATTAAGGATTTGTTTTGTGATTTGTTTTCCTTACTCGATCCTGACCTTATTTTTGGCATTTATTAAATGATATTCAGAATTCAGCAAATTGAATTTATTCTAAGGAATATTGTAATTTAAAATAGTATCTAGTTATTAGTACTAGTACTTATTTTTACATCTTTACCAAAAGGTATAAAACACATTTTTAAAAAAACATTTGAATAAATCCACTTATGTTGTGGATTCTTTTTTTTTTTTTTGAGACGGAGTCTTGATCTGTCGCCCAGGCTGGAGTGCAGTGGCGCAATCTCGGCTCACTGGAAGCTCCGCCTCCCAGGTTCAGGCCATTCTCCTGCCTCAGCCTCCCAAGTAGCTGGGACTACAGGTGCCTGCAACCACGCCCGGCTAATTTTTTGTATTTTCAGTAGAGACAGGGTTTCACTGTGTTAGCTAGGACAGTCTCGATCTCCTGACCTCGTGATCCGCCCACCTCGGCCTCCCAAAGTGCTGGGATTATAGGCGTGAGCCACCGCGCCTGGCTGTTGATCTCTTAAAAAGCTGAGAAGTGGCTAGGTGTGGTGGCTCGTGCCTGTAATCCCAGCACTTTGGGAGGCCCAGGCAGGCGGATCACCTGAGGTCAGGAATTTGAGACCAGCTTGGCCAACATGGCGAAACCACGTCTCTACTAAAAATACAAAAATTAGCCAGGCGTGGTGGCGTGTGCCTGTAATCCCAGCTACTCGGGAGGCTGAGACAGGAGAATCACTTGAACCCAGGAGGCGGAGGTTGCAGTGAGCCAAGATCGTGCCACTGTACTCCAGTCTGGGCAACAGAACAAGACTCCGTCTCAAAACAAACAAACAAACAAACAAACAAAACAAAACTGAGAAGCAGAAAGGTGACAGTGATGTGTTAATTACTAAAATCATGTGGCTTTGGGGAAGGACACAGATCCAATGAGAATAAATGGTTATCAGGTGATTGTCAAATAGATCGAAGTAGACTTTTTTTTTGGACAATAATTATTTCATCACCAGATGAATTTCAGGCCAATACAAACATCATTGTCTCAGTTCCTACCTTTCTCTCCCATTTCACCCTGAAATTTAAGGAACTATGAAATGTTTGAAAGTGTGCATGTTCTCGATCTGGCTTTTCTGACTTTTTTTTTTTTGGTAGAGGTGGGATCTCCTCTGTTGCCCAGGCTGATCTCAAACTTATGGCCTCAATCAGCCCTCCCAGAGGTGCTGGAATTACGGACATGAGCCATCGTGCCCAGCTGTGATCTGGCTTTTCTTATTTATGCAATTGCCAAGGCTAGAACAGACCTGGGCCTTATTTGATAAGTTTAGGGTCAAAGTTTGCATCAGATCGTAATTCTACACAGAGTAAAAAGTAGAAAATGTGACAGCTTGTCTCTTCTCTCCCTTAGGCACAGTGTTGAATGTTTATTAGAAGGCTGTTTCCTCACAACATGTTTACATCAAGATGCATGCATGCCTTAGCTTGATGCTTTTGCAATTTTTATGTAGCATCTGTTCCCAAATACAAGAGCGCTAACAAGGCCTTAATACAGATAGCAGTGAGGACAGCAGGGAGTTGCCCCTGTCGGTTTCTGACTTCTCCTGCGGCCCTGAGTTATTATTCATAATGTAAATTCTCTCTCAGTTCCCAGCATGTACATAATTAATGGAAAAGACTATCCAAGGAAGTTCAGCAGCCACAAGTAGGTCACCATTACCAGATGTTTAATTATTGTCATTAGGAAGCTTTTGGAAATACCTGATGAGCTTTCTAAAAGCATAACAATAAGCAAATCCTTTTGGATTTTGATGGATTGGTTCTTTTGTATTGAATGATGATTAAGGTTATTACAGGCACAGCACTCTCGCCTTCTTCCGAACATCTTTATCAAAAGTAATAATTATGCTACCCTCGATATGAAATGCACGTCACTCTCCTTTCATATGTTCTCTGATTTCAACTGTGCCAAGTTTTAATTAATGTACTTCAATAGTACGAAAACTTGAGCATCTATAATTACATCTTTAGTAGCAATATTTAAAACCTTTACTGACAATATATTTATCATAGAACACTTCCTGGAATTAAGGTCAGTTTATGTGGAACTGACATGCATTTCAGATAGGTTTTTTTTTATCTTGAAGGTTAAAAGTAGAATACAATATAGGAGAAGCTAAGAGAAGCCCATTAACATTACAATTTTTGTGGTTTATGGGGGGCAGTGGTGTTAAGTAAGTTTAACAAAGGCAGGGAATTTTAAAAATTACTCTTTACTTTTTTCTTCAACATCAAATTTGTATACCATAAAAAATTTTGACATTTTGCTAGTATGTGAGTGAGCCATTCCCAAGTCATCCTTTTCAAATGTTGTTTGTTTTTGAGTTCACGTTGAAGAACACGATTAAAAAAATTCTTTTGGTTTTTTAATTCAGTTCAGAACTGAATTTAAAAATCAGAAATCTCAGTGTCTCCTGCTCTTTGCTGCTTTCCTTCATGGCATCTGTTGTTACTCTTAGACTTCATTCATTCCCATTTTGTGGCTTGTTTGTGGAATTTAAAGTTCTTAAAAGCCCAATTTCCTGGTCTCCAGTTACTTTTAAGATGGACCCATTGGCTCCCCCTTGTGTCTACTCTTTGTATTGTCATCCTCCAGGCTCTTGGTTAAACAGCTTGTAAGGTAACTTTATTACTGCTCTTGAGGAAGGGACAATGGCTATATTCGTCAGCGTTCTCATCCCCTTATTTACTCTCCTCTGCATTCTGCCCTCTTCTGCGGGGTTGGTAGAGAATAGCTTGGGAAGAGCCATAAAATGGAAGGTCTTGAAAGCCAGACATCAGAGTGGAGTTTTGGAGTATGAATCGTGTGCTGGTAATTTATGCTCCTCCCCATTCTGCACTTTTCTCCAGGGTTGGTTGTGATGTCATGAACTTCTCTCCATCTCACACACACCCACAGTCATGTATGATCAGGAGTAACACAGGCTAGGGCAGTGCTTATTGTGTGTTATACATAAAACACACAAATCAATGTGAACTAATATTCTAGAACAATTTATAGACAAACAGGTGCATTGTGAAAAAAGCTAAATGGGGGCCTTAGAAGAGAAACTCATATATACCTTTATGTTGCATACAATTCGAACTCCACTTTGTAATGATTTGATAGGGTGTTAAGTTTATTTTTCCTTTGAACAAACCTCGTCTTCAAATTGTAACTATAACACAGGTAGGATTGCAGAGCAAGTGTGTTAAGGCACATAAAAGTCACTTGATACTAGATAAAGGGAGTAGCTGTTTCCTTAACAGGTTCAAATTGCAACTATTACTGTAAAAGTTGTTGACGTGCTCAGCAAATGGTGGGTGGAAATGTTGGACTCAGAAAAAGGATTTGTCCTGGGCACGTCCGTTTTCGTAACAAGAATATAAGGTAATTTTTAAGTGCTAATTTAATGGTTCTTACTGTAAGGCAACGGGAGTGTAGATGGGGAAAGCTGGTAACAGGTGTGTGCAGTCACGGAGCGATGGCAATGTCAGAAAAGGTGGGGGTCAAAATTGTTTTGGACATTGATCGGAATTAAGGAAAGCATAGATGTGGAAAGGTGCAGTGTGTGTCCATATCACGGCAGAGTGTCTGCGGGAGAGTGACTTGGGAGGAGCTGTAGGATGGAAGATCTTGAAAGCTCCACATTAGAGGTGAACTTGGAGCATCTTGTGATTGCAGGGCAAATGGGTTGTGGGAAATGGAGAAGTAAGAAGTAGATTGTGATTGGTTTTTGTGTTCAATGTGATATAACTTAGCAATGCAGGAGTTTTTGTGGAACCTGGAACTCTATTTTTGTTTTTCATCTGTTGAACTTGTGCCATTCTGTAGAGAGTTATAGATATTTTTCCATAGAAAGGCAGGCAGTGCAGCTTGGATTCTAGAGCAGAGAGTTTGGATTCTGTTGGCTTGAGTTCGAAGTTCAGCCCTGCTGTTTATTGGCTGTGTGACCTTGGGCAAGTTACTTAACCTTTTAGCACGTCTGTAAAATCATGATAACAATTGTACCGATTGCATGGGATGTTGTGATGGTGAAAACATTGTTATATGATATCACCTTATACATGTTAGCTATTATTCTTGCCATTTTTTTGTATTTGCAAATTCTTTCCCAGGAGCCAGTAGTGGAATAATGTTTACAGTAGTTCTTTGAACTTTTTTTTTTTTTTTTACAGTTTTACTGGCACCAAATGTGTTTATCTACACCTAGTCCCCATTAGAACCATGCAATTACATTCATGTTTGTATAAAGGTTGTCAGTTTAATATTCAAGCAATTAATAAAGACAAGGTGTGAGTTTTTCTGTTAATGCACCTCTGTCTTAATGTGAAGCAACGTATAAGCATGCATCTTACCATAATTGGTGTGCATGTCTGTGTACATGGGCACAAACATTTCTCTTTCAGCCCTGTAATCACATCTCCAAGTAATCTAAGTCAAAAAGAGCAAAATCTAAGCCAGTGGACATGCTGAGGCTATCTCAGGGTCTTCTGGAATGATCAAGGCCAGAAATCCCATCTTCATATACATTTTTTTTTTTTTTTTTTGGAGTCGAGGTCTTGCTATGTTGCCCAGGCTAGAGTGCGGTGGCTATTCACAGGTGCGAACATAGCTCACTGCATCCTTGAGCTCCTGGGCTCAAGTGATCCTCCTGCCTCAGCCTCTTGTGTAGCTGGGACCACAGGTGCACCACCACACCTGGCAGTTTCAAATGCATTTTTATATAAAAGTGTGATGTTGGTCTGAGTCTTTTCCTCTTTACCTTGCAAACCTGGATTCATCATCATGGTTCATGTGGTATCTCGTGCTATACATGCTGGTTTTGTGTTCCTTGTGGGAGCATTTTTTTCTTTTTTCTTCAGAGAAGAGAAAGTTTGTCAAAACAAGGGCAAAGGTGAAGATGTATGGCTTTTCAAGTGCTTAAACGTGATGAACCTGTTTTTGTTGAGGGACTGAGGAAAGAGTATTATTGGATGTGAGGGAAGAAGCCAGTGGGATTCTTCCTTGCTGTCTAAGAGAGCATGATGTGAGTCAGGGGCTCTAGAAGGACATCACATGTTGCACATTTTAGTATCAGAAACAGGCTGTTTTCCTCAATGGGTTCTACTCTCAGATATTATCTTTTTTTAATGTTCGAACGTAATTTGCTTCCCCCCTAAAGAATACAGTCCTTGTAACAGCCCAAAATACCATTTTTCTGATTACTATCACTTATATAAGACCCTCCAAACCTTTCTCATCCTTGAAAGTGATCCATGCTAACACATAACACACTTTGTTCTCTTAAGCATGTGTGTTTTTTTGTTGTTGTTGTTGTTTTTTGCGAGTCTGTGCCCCCTCCCTTCCTTTAGAGCTCTAAGGTTTGTCATTAAAATGAGCACTTCCGTTTAAATGTCCTCCGGGCTCATCCATTTGCCTTAGCTACTCATTGTTTATTTGAAATGCAAATTTTTATATAACAGCCAAAATCTAACCCACTTACGCACTGTTAACTTTATATGTAAGCTCCTTCTTATAACTAAAGAATTCACATGGTGGTTAGTTATGGTTGCAGTCTGCCTTGCACTAACGTATTTTCATTTTCTAGAATGTATATGCATGCCTGTCTTTTCCTCATGGAGTCTTCTAGGGAAATCCTCAGCACACTGCGAGAGGGCAGTCATTTCCTTGTTAGGTGTGAGTGAGATGTGATCCATTCCCCAAACAGCGTGCATTTCAGTAAGGGCATTGTTTTTATGTGAGGCCGATCCATCCGTATCTATGCTATTGTCTGTTACTTGAAGAATATTGACTGTCTTGGAGTCGTATTTCTATCACATCTCTACCCTGCTGGCTTCACCATCTAAGTGGTCCTTCAGCAAACTTCTCAAACTAGACGCATTCCCTGTTTTCTGGGTTCTGGTGGTTAGCTTGGGAAGAAAGTGAAATGTGACTTGCCTAAGAAAGTAAGACCCCTCTCCCCATCACACCCATATGTGAAAGCTTCTTGGGCCATTATTCTTTTCATCTCAGCCAATAGCCTCTGTCCTTGCTCCTTGACATACTTCTTGATGACTGGTAGTGGACCAGCAAAGTAGTTAACCTGTCCCAAAATCACACACGAAGAGAGGCTAGTGTTTACAGAATTTCAGCCAGCGAGCCTGGTGCAGTGGCGTATGCTTCTTGTCCCAGCTGCTTAGAAGGCTGAGGTGGGAGAATCACTTGAGCCCAGGAGTTCAGATGTAGCACGGGAAGCATAGTGAGACCCTGTCTCTAACAACAGCAAATTCCAGCCAGCTTGCTTGGGAGCTCAGTGAGAACCCGGAGGAAAAAATGCTGGCCGTGTGGGTCAGATGCTGCGACTGACAGTGGGGATTGCTTGTTAAGCAAGAACAGATACTGTGCCTGCTTCTTGGAACTTCTTAGGGGCCAGTCATTAAGCAATGAAGTGACTGCACTCTGAAGTATAAAATTTGCCAGGAGGGTGATTGTATGGTACAACTGGAATAAGGGAATTTCACTTACAGCTTTCTTAGGAAAAAATAATTGTGTCGAAATCCAAAGCATGAGCAGAAGATAAGTGGCCAAATTGTCCACTTTGTTCTACCAAAAACAGAAAATTCCTTGTTATCCATGATGAAATGGGTCTAAGTAACTAATATGATACAGTTTTTGCAAAGCTCGGGTCTCTTACCAGCATACTGTATTAACGTCGCTTACAAAAAAACAACCAGCATGGCCTGGCCTTTGTTGATCTGTCAGCAGTGCTTATGGTTTTTGTCTTCACTGCAAGCCCCTCTTCAGGGACTGCGGTTGGCTGTAGAAAATGCAGTCCTTGGCTTCATTGTCCACACTTCCTGCCCAGAGCAGTAGTCTCTGTCTAGGGGACACCCACGTCTGGCTGGTGGGCAGGGAAGGGGCTTCACCAATTCCTGGTGTAAATCCGTTTCCCACTTTCTCTTCTTTATGTGCAGGCTTCTTCCTCTGCACAGAGAAAGCCTGTGACATGCCCTTTAGTGGGGAGTATCAAAGGGTTGTGAGTGCTCAGTATGTGAGAGAAAGACTAGTCTTAAGAGGACGTGTGTGTCATTCTTAGAACAACAAAAAGAAGACATGGAAAGTATTTGACTAATTGATTTTTGCCATTTGGAGCAAAAATCTAATTTTTGTCAAAGTGATGCTGGGACCATGTAATTTTGTGAAAGTGAAGCTGGAACACATAATTCCTCACACACTCAGCCTTGTGCGGGCGGCTGTGATTCCTTCGCCACCATGAAGTGAAGTGCATCCAAAGTGTGAGCCAGTGTACTGCCTTTTTTTTTTTTTTTTTTTTTTTTTTTTTTTTTTTTTTGAGACAGAGTTTCGTTCTTGTTGCCCAGTCTGGAGTGCAATGGCACAATCTCGGCTCACCACAACCTCTGCCTCCTGGGTTCAAGCGATTTTCCTGCCTCAGCCTCCCGAGTAGCTGGGATTACAGGCATATGCCACCATGCCAGGCTAATTTTGTATTTTTAGTAGGGACGAGATTTCTCCATGTTGGTCAGGCTGGTCTTGAACTCCTGACCTCAGGTGATCCGGCCACCTCGGCCTCCCAAAGTGCTGGGATTACAGGCGTGAGCCGCTGTGCCCGGCTGGACTGTGTTTCTTTTTGCACTTTTTGGTTTTTCATTTTAGTGTTCTTTTGTGCTTTCTGACCTAAGTGCTGGCAATGTGTACCTTCATGTGTGAATTGATTATGAAGACAATTTCTAAGAGCAATCCTCAAGACTCAGTTTTTGTCTGGCTTTCTGTAATCATTGAAGCAACTTAAAAAAAAATGTCCACTTCATCTTTAGAGTTCTCCCCCTGCCCAGGCACACAGGTCTCACTGCACACCCTATTCGTCACCCCACAAGATGCATGTGCTGTCTTTGGCTTAGCAGTTCACATGCAAATACAAATACAGTCACGTGCAGCATAAAAGCATTTCAGTCAGTGATGGACCACATAAACCACAATGGTCCCGTCAGATTATAATGGAACTGAGAAGTTCCTATTGTCTAGTGACGTCGTAGTGTCGACCTGCAGTGCAGTCCTTAGGTGTCTTTGGTGATGCTGCTGTGAAGAAACCTACTGTGCTGTGGTTGTATAAACGTCTAGCACATACAGTTGTGCACGGTGCATGGTGCTTGATCATGACAATCTTTGACTCTGTTACTGGCTTATGTATTTACTGTACTTTTTATTGTTATTTTAGAGAGTCATCCTTCTTTAAAAAAAAGCCCGTTGTAAAACAGCTTCAGGCAGGGCCTTCAGGAGGTTTCCAGAAGATGGCAGCTCCATGTGTGCTGTCACCTCTGAAGCCCTTCCAGTGGGACAGAGGTGCTGGTGGAAGACAGTGATGTTGATGATCCTGACCCTGTGTAGGTCTAGGCTAATGTGTGTGTGTGTGTGTCTTAGTTTTTCCCAACAATGTTTACAAAGTAAAAAACCATAATTTAAAAATGGAAAAAAGTTTATAGGATAAGGATAGAAAGGAAATATTTTTGTACAGTTGTCCAATGTGTGTGTGTTTAAGCCAAGTGTTATTATGAGTCAAAAAGTTGAAAAAATTAAAAGTATATAAAGTAAAAAAGTTACAGTAATCTAAGTTTAATTTATTGTGGAAGAAAGAATCTTTAGAAAATGTAGTGTAGCCTAAGCATGCAGTGTTTCTAAAGTTTACAGTGGTGTACACTCATGCCTTTGGCCTCGACACTCACTCACCACTCACTCACTCACCCAGGGCAACTTCCAGTCCCGCAAGCTCCATTCATGGTGAGTGCCCTGCATGGGCATACCATCATTCACCCTTTATACCATATGTTTGACTGTACCTTGTCTATGTTTGGATGCACAAATACTTACCATTGTGTTCCAGTTGCCTACAGTATTCAAGACAATAACACGTTGTACAGGTTTGTAGCCTAGGAGCAAGAGGCTATGCCATGTAGCCTAGGTGTGTAGGAGGCTCTACCCTCTAGGTCTGTGTAAGTGCACTCTAGCCTGATGGCACAACTATGAAATCCCTGAATCACACATTTCTGTTTTACCTTAATTAATTATGGAGATAAGGCCTTGCTGTGTTTCCCAGGCCGATCTCAAACTCCTGAGCTCAAATAATCCTCCTTCCTTGGCTCCCGAAGTGCTGAGATTACAGGTGTGAGTCCTGTGCCCAAGCCATGCGTCTCTCAGAATGAGTGTGCCCCTGTTAAGCGATGCATGTCTCTGTATGCTCATGTCATGCCTGGCCTTTACTGGCTACTTGTACAGTCATCTGTCAGCTGTGACTTTTGGGGCTATAAATCCATCAAAGTTCAGGAATCTCCCAAACTTGGTTCATTTAATGCTTAGCAGACGTAGCTCCACAGCCATATTTAAAACTGATGATGATGGTGTCCCTTGTTTGGAGGATTCATTTGTAAGTGACCATAATGAGTTTATCCTGGCCATTCCCCAGAGAACAGCAGGACTCCTGGTTCATCTAGGATGTGTGAAGTGACTGGCCCTCTGAGATTGCTGGGCTTCCTTAAAAATGTCACATACAAGGACATAGATTTTCACATTGTGTAGTATTGTTTATATCAGGGGTCCCCAACCCGCAGACCACTGTGTGGTACTGGTCCATGGCCCATTAGGAGCCAGGCTGCACAGCAGGAGGTGAGCAGCAGGGGAGGGAGCATTACTGACTGAGCTCCGCCGCCTGTCAGGTCAGCATCGGTGTTAGCGGAACTGTGTGTGAGGGATCTAGGTTGCACGCCCCTTTTGAGAATCTAACTAATGCCTGATGATCTGAGGCGGAGGCCAGATGGTTTCATCCTGAAACCATCCTCCCAAGCCCCCATTTGTGGAAAAATTGTCTTACATGAAACTGGTCCTTGTTGCCAAAAAAAAGTTGGGGGCCACTGGTTTAGATCTTGCAGTATTGTGAAGTAATTTTTGGTCTTCTGAGAGACTCCAAGCAGCACACCAGCATGAAAAGATGAGCCATTCACGGCAGCTCTTGGCATTGGTTTTAAGATGAAATACATCAATATTAAAAATAACTATAAAACATTCATGAAAGTTTTTGGAGTTTCTTTGAAGAATGTCTTTGAAGCTGACTTAACATTATTGCATTTATTACAGTTGCTCTGCAGTTCAACTGGGCTTTATAGGTTTGCATCTGGGGTTCACATATGCATTTTAAGACGAGGTTTGAGTCTGTTTGTATAAATCAAATGCAGTCCTCAGACTCATGTGCAGGCCGCATGGCGATCCCGGGATGAAGTAGATATTTCTATTTATAAACAGATTCCTGAGTACTTCAGATATTATTTGTATGTTGGACTCCTGTCTAGAATTGGCACATATCTACATGTACAGAGAAGAATAATGAAATGTCAGGGGTCTCACTGCACCCTCCTCTTTGATCCCATTCTCTGAGGTTTTAATTTGGGCCCAGGAAGCAGCACTTAAATATCCCTACTCCAGCTGCTAGCTTCAAACAATACAAAGCTAGGCTTCCAAATATATTTATCATTTCTTGGTTGAATATTTGCAAAAACTGACCTACCCTACGATTTCTCTCAAATAGGCCTTAGCAACTACAAATATGGATGAGAAGATAGAAAGGGAAGCTTTATGTTTGCTTGCATTTTAGCTAAAAGATAATTAGAAGTGCAATTTAAGTTATGATAATGGAAAAAAAGAGCTACACGTTAAGTGTGGTGCATTGACTGCATCGAGAAAAGGTGCAGTCTAAAGCCCAGCAAAGCTTAAAAGAGAAAAACTAGAAAAAAAGAACTTTTTGGAATATAAACTGTGACAGATTTTTTGTATTTTCTGTGGGCTTGAAAAGTCCTTAACGTTTTCGTTGTTACTGCCCTGGTACTATTTATGTGTTAGAATACAGAACAACTTTAAATTTGTGGAGTCTTATCAGTAGGACTGCTGGCTTTGCGAAACCCGTGCAAAACGGACACTTTGAAGTGACCTTCCCTGTTTAACTCATCCGCTCCTCCCTTCAGTGAGTACATACTACTGTGTGCGGTGTGCTCTTCCAGATGCTGGGATGCAGTAGTGAATGGAGACAAAGCCCCTGTCCTCATGGGCTTAGACTCCAGCTTATGACTTGTTGTTTATAATAAATAATGAACATTGTGAGGTTATTCACAGGAAGGGATGAATAATGGATGGATCTTCAAAACGTGATTCTGGTTAACTACAGACATCCTGAAGTTCCAGGTATAAAAAGCCTTCTTTAAAGCATACTATAGCAGTCAGAATGAATGAGTAGTTAATAAAGCTCTTTGCTGAAATAAAAGCAAATATGTTCACACTTCCAAAAAATAAATACCCAAGTGGGAGTTGTATGGTTCTGATGTCAAACATGTTATGAGACCATCAGAGGTATATGGAAATTTGGGGAGGAAGACAGTAATTATATAAAAGTGCATGCAAGCCTGGGCAATATAGGGAGACCCTGTCAGCCTGCAAAAAAATAATGATAATAAAAAATCGTAGCTGAAGGTGGTGGCATATACCTGTGGGTCCCAGCTGCTTGGGAGGCTAAGGTAGAATCACTAAGGAGAATCACTTGGGGCAGGGAAGTGGTGGCTGCAGTGAGCTATGATTGTGCTATTGCACTCCAGCCTGGGCGACAGAACGAGACCTTGTCTCACGCACACGAAAAGCAATTACTGAATTAGAGATGTGATGTGGGAAACGCTCCCATCTAAGTAATGACCAAGAATATTCCGTGATAGAGATGAAGTCTTAGCAGGACTTCCCTCTCAGGTTATTAGTGGTGATGATCCTGCTTTGTTTTATTACCTTATTACTATTATGCTCTCTGAGGTATGAAGTGATATTAATCTGTTTGCAGTGAGAAATAACACTTTATAGCATTGCTATCATTTAAACATATTAAAATATGTTGTAATGCAGAAAAACACCCTGGGGAGAGAGGTGAAAACTTAGGAGTTTAATTTGAAATGCAGTTGGGAAATTATTTGGACAGCAGAGAAAGCTTTAGGGCAAAATTTCAGTAATAAAGTATATTATTTTCTAAATTATTCATCAGGGAGTTGAGTTTGTTTTTCATGTACCTGGACTTAATCACGATTACAAAAAAATGCTTAGCTAATTGTAGTCATTCATCTATACTAATCCAAAAACAAAAATGAGGAGTTATTGATGGTTTTTATTTAGGTAAAACAATTTATTTGACTGTGAGTGGTTACATATGATAACCATATATTCAGTTATTTCTAACTTGCCTGTTTTGTGAAGAATGCTATTTTGTGACTGTTCCTGCGTCTCGCTATGTTTTGGGGGTTCTGGCCTAGTTCCTACAACATATACTCTTATCCCGGTTCTGTGTTGTCCTGGTGATTCTCCCAAGAGCTAATCAGTTAAAGAGATTTTCTTTTCCATTTTGGATTTTAGCTTGGAGTTTTACTCTTAGTAGTAAAATGGTATCTAAAAATAAAACGGGGAAGAATTAGAACATGTCAGATATAGTAACACGTTTTAATAATTTGCTCTAAAAATCTGCTCATCAGCTGATAACCTTTCGTTTGTCCACATGTCTGCTTTTTAAAACGCTTGGTTTCTTAATATCCCAGTGAGAACAGGCACCTGCAGAGATACTTAGTTGCTCCCAGCCGCAGCTGCAGAGCGACTTCTAGATTCTGCGTATCTTGGTTTATTTCATGCTGTTTTCTTTAAGCCATACTGTCTGCTGGTCAGATGGTAAGAGATACCTGTTTTGGAAAATTTGGTAAATAATCCAGGGTTACAAGTAAATTTAGCATAATGTAGAGGCTTTATTTTGCTCATTTAAAATATGTAGTCTTGGCCAGGCACAGTGGATCACACCTGTAATCCCAGCACTTTGGGAGGCTGAGGCAGGTGGATCACTTGACGTCAGGAGTTCGAGACCAGCCTGGTCAACACGATGAAACCCCGTCTCTACTAATAATACAAAAATTAGTTGGGCGTGGTGGTATGCGCCTGTAATTCCAGCTACTGGGGAGGCTGAGGCATGAGAATCTCTTGAACCTGGGAGGTAGAGGTTACAGTGAGCCGAGATCATATCACTGCACTCCAGTCTGGGTGACAGAGTGAAACTGTGTCTCCAAAAAATAAAATAAAATAAATCAAAATAAAATAAAAATAAAATAAAATAAAATAAAATAAAAATAGTGTTGGCTGGGTGTGATGGCTCATGCCTGTAATTCCAGCACTTTGGAAGGCCAAGGCGAGAGGATCATTTGAGGCCAGGAGTTTGAGACCAGCCTGGGCAACATAGTGAGACCCCATCACTACAAAATATAAAAAATTAGCTGGGTGTGGTGGCACTCGCCTGTAGTCCCAGCTATTCAGGAGGCTGATGCAGAAGGATTGCTTGAGCCCAGGAGTTCAAGGCTGAAGTGGGCCAGGATCTCATCATTGCACTCCAGCCTGGGCGACAGAGTAAGACCCTATTTCTAAAATAAATAAATAAAACATGTAGTTTTACCTCTATTCAGCAATTAGATTCCTTACAACTCATAAACTGTATGAGAAATTGAATTCCACTGTTTTTGTCACTGAGAATGCTCTTGTCCTAGCAGACCTGTGTGTGCTAAATTAAGGTCTGATCTCCATCAGTCACTAAGATGTGGCCAAACATAAAGGCTTTTCATAGTTGTTATACCCCGTAAGTGATGACCCTGAGAAATGAGAGTGAGACTGTCAAGGTACATCTTTTGTCCTTATTCCCTAGATTAGTTCTTGAAATAAGCCACCAGTTAAGAATTTTGGGATTTCCTGTGCACTGGCAGTGGTTGAAGGGTTTAACATGCCTGAAACCTTGAGCACAAATCCCTCCTGCAGCTGCCCTGGGCCATGTCAGCCGGCACCAGCCATGCTGTGGCACCAGAGAATAAGCCTGCACTTAATGTCATAGCATTTCAGAGAACTGTCGGAGCGTGGGGCTGGCCCTTGGGATTTAGCTGCTGCTTGTATGAAGCAGTTTTAAAATATTAAGCTTAGAAAAGTCCCACTGAGCTGGGTAAAGACTTTGTGTCCTTTGGGTCCCTCTCTATGTTTTATCAGTTTTCAGCTGCAGGGCAGATGTCTCCCCTGGGCTGCAGTCTTAGGCACTAAGATGTGTTGCTGGCAGATTTGACTCTAGAAGCCCCAAAGGGCAGGCAGGGATAAATAGTTTTGAATTTTGTTTCTAGTCTCTTCTGTGTTGTATTGGTTTCAGAGTTCAGTATCCAGTCACAGTGGACAGTTTTGTAGTATTTTGCAGCCTAAAAAATTTATGCAAGCAGTAAATTAAAAATCTGAAAAACACACGCATACACATGTGTGCACACGAAGGCACATACACATCCCTCCATGGAGTCTTCCACTCTTGTGTGTTTTGTAATTCTCTTTATTTTTATTTGTTTACTTGGAGACAGGGTCTCGCTCTGTTGCCCAGGGTAGAGTGCAGTGGTGCAATCATAGCTCAGTGCAGCCTCCACCTGCTGGGCTCAAGCAAGCCTCCCACCTCAGCCTCCCAAGTAGCTGGGACTACAGGTGCGCACCACCATGCCCAGTTAATTTTCTAATTTTTTGGTAGAGATGGAGTCTCACTATGTTGCCCAGGCCAACCTTTAACTCCTGGTCTCAGGTGATCCTCCCCAGTTGTACCTCTCAGACTGATTATAGGTGTGAGCCGCCACACCTGACCTATAATTTTATTTTAGATTTACATGAGAAGTGATGCTGTTTTAAAGTGTAATGCTCTGAATTAAAGGAATTCTCTATGGTAATATATTTATACATAACAAAGCACTAACAATTACAGAAGGCCTTGATGCCTGTTCTATTATTCGTTTTATGTTTCTGTGAGTAATTGATGCTTTGATGTATTTTGGCCATAGAGGCACTATTGTAATGCATGTAGACTGACTTTCACTGGACAGAGGTTTGCTGAGCTGGTTCTGTTCATGTGCTATGGCTGGAGACATGAGGCAGAGGACACAGAGGCCCTGCCCTGATGGCACTCACACTGTAAACTTGAGGCAATGAGGACGCACAGTTAGGAGCTGAAGTTGTACCACAGAACACATAAAGGGAGAGTTAGACACAAGACGAGGGGGCTCCAGGTGAGCCAGTGAGAGCCGTGGGGCCTTCTGTCCCTCCAGCCAGCAGACGCTGAGTGACTGCAGGACCCAGCCGATTCCAGGTTCCCGAGCAAGCTGCCTTCTGTGCTTGTGATTTTTATGTTGTGGGGGGATTGATGGTGCCGCCTCAGGTGGAGATCAGTGTGACGGAGTCCACAGGGCAGGATAGAACACTGGATGTGTGCAGTAGGGTCTTAGGCCAAGTCCACTTTCTCTGATGGGGGAGCATTTCAGCAAAGGCCCTTCTGGGCATATGAAGGTTTCCCAGTCAGTTATCAGGGCAATGGGAAGCCACAGAGCTGGGGGTCTGCTGGAGAGTGATCAGGCTTGAGCGTTAATAAGGTCATCTGGCTGCACTGTAGGTGATGGAGCCAGGTAAGAGGCCCTGTAGTCTAGGCAGGAGGTGTGGGTAGCTCTGACCAGCAGTGGAAAGAGGGCAAAGTGGCCAGATTTGAGAGATGCTATTTAGGGAGGTGGATTGGAAGGGCTCTCGTGGGGGTCATGGGGAGGGGGCCGTCTAGGTAGCTGTCCTCAGGGTTTATCATGGGTACCACAGAGAAGGGAAGACATTTGGGCAGTCACTTAGCAAATTTGGGGCATGCCGAGTGGGGGTGCCATGTGGCATTCAAATTGCAGTTTGTGCAGGTAATCAAACTAGGGGCTTAGGAGAGGCCTGGGGAGGAGAAATGGACCTGGAAGTTCTCCGCCAGGTGGAGTGACTCAGGGTCTCAGGAAGAGCAGGCTGGTGAGGCAGAGCCAGGGTGTGGGGCAGAGTGAGTGGAAGGCCGTGAGAGGCAGGGCCAGATGGGGCTGGGTGGATCAAGGAAGAGGAGGGTCAAGGGCGGGCTTTCATTTGAGAGGGTGTAGAAAGCAAAAGAATGTTTTTAGAAAGATTCATGACAGCTGGGCCCTTTGACGTGGTAGTTGGAAGGATTGAGTGGAGAGAGGGAGGTGGAGAGTACAGAAGCAGCAAGGGATGACAGAGGGTGCGAGGCAGGGCAGGAGGCTCAGGAAGGCAGGGACTGTGTGCATGGGGGCCATGAGCCTTGGGTGGGCGGGGATCCCATGTACCCAGGTATGGGCCCAGGGTGGACAGGGGCCGTGCTTACAGGGCGAGGGGCCCCAGGTGAGTGGATACTGCCCGCAGGGGTGATGTGCCCCCGGTGGGCTCTGGGCAGTGTCCCAGTGCTACCCCTCGGCCCTGGGACCTTAGGTGTTCATTACCATTTAGTCTTGTTTACAGCCTGGGAGTTTCTAGTCAAGCACAGCTGGTGGGGAGGCTCCGTGCCTCTTCTCCTCTGCCACCTCCACCCTTGTGCCCTCCTCCACGCTCCCTTCTGGATGCCTCATGCACCTGTATTTCACGTGCAGGACAGGGTTCCATGGTCTGTCAGCCACCACCTACTGAGCTGTTCCCACGAGGCGCATGCCTCCCAGCCAGTGGGTCATCAGCCCATTTCACGAATGGGGGCAGGCTCAGGACTGATGAACTGCGGCACAGCTCACCCAGCCATGCGTGGTGCTCCGCCATGTGGAGAACTATGTTGCCTCCCCTGCGGAGGCCATCGGTGAGGGGGTGCTGGGCCATGAGGACTTGGGTGGGCTGGGGCTGTGTGCAGAATGGCCTCCTGTTTCTTACACGCCAAGGCTTCCTCCAGGCCCTGAGATTTTTCATGCAGTGCCTTTTACTAGTATGTAATCTTCCAGTAAAGACCACTGTTCAGTCAAAGACCAGAATGCAGGGCTCAAATACTTTCAGGTTCCGCCATTGCAGACGTTAGCCCAGGTAGGACTGTGCCTTTCTGCTGAAGAAGCAAAGATAGGCCAAGCCCCAGTCCCTCCTCCAGGCTTCCCCGGCAGCTCAGGGTGCGGGCAGGTGCCGGGAGGGAGAACCTGGTTAATTTTAATTGGCTTACATTTTTGGCCTCTGTGATTTCCTTGTTGGCCTCCTTGGGTGTGTGTTTAATTCAAGTAAGAGTTCATTATCGGAGTTCTTTTAATTATAAAATAAAGTGTGTTCGTGGTAAGGAGGTCACATCATAGAAAGCTGTAGGGAAGAAACTGGAAGTGCCTTTCATCTCCTCCCCCACCTAACTCCCCAGAATTAATCACAAATACTTTTGTGTGTATATTGTTCTGGAAATTGTAAATGTTTAAACAAATCTACTAAGGTATACTCTTCTGAAATTTTCCTTTGAAAATTTAGTTTATAATTTGGATTTATTTCTTGATGAGCACATGCTAAACTCATTCCACCCTTTTTTGATGAAAATTATTACATGTTTATTAATATATCACATTCCCTCCCTCCCTGTCCCTTTTTTCCCCCATAAAACACAATACTGCAGTGAATTTGTTTGAATACATCCCACAGAATATATAGCTGGCAATGGCATTGCTGGGTAAAAGGGAGTGTGCATTTAAAGTTTGGATAGGTGTTGTCAAATTGTGTTCCCTAAAAGTGCTTTTTTTTTTTTTTTTTTTTTTTTTTTTGAGATGGAGTCTCACTCTGTTGTCCAAGCTGGAGTACAGTGGCGCTTTCTTGGCTCACCACAGCCTCCACCTCCCGGTTTCAAGCAAACTCGTGCTTCAGCCCCCTGAGTAGCTGGGACTATAGGCGCATGCCACCATGCCCAGCTAATTTTTGTATTTTTAGTATAGAGAGGGTTTCACCATGTTAGACAGGCCCCCTGAGTAGCTGGGACTATAGGTGCATGCCACCACGCCCAGCTAATTTTTGTATTTTTAGTAGAGACAGGGTTTCACCATGTTAGACAGGCTGATTTCAAACTCCTGACCTCAGGTGATCTGCCTGCCTTGGCCTCCCAAAGTACTGGTATTACAGGTGTGAGCCACGGTGCCCAGCCAAAAATGCCTTTTAAAAGGTGCATATGATTTTCAGTTCCAGCTTCACTGAGTATTAGAATCTTTTAAAGAACGTTTCAGGGTGCCCAGACCCTTTGCTCTTGTAGGATTCACGCCTGCAGCCTCCAGGCCCAGGGATGGGGCAGGTGTGCTGTGCAGTTGCTGTGGGCCTCACTGTGTCATGGTGCACTCCACCCTCATTGCTGTAGCCTCGCTTGTTCTTTCTTCAGTTGTACAAGAGGAAGACTGAGACTGCTAGTCAGAGGGATTGGTATTTTCTTCTGTTCTGAATATAGAATCTTGGGAGGTTTTATGGAGAGAAATTAAGGGCATGTCTGTCTTTTATCTATGTTTGTATGTAACATGGTGTTTAATGAATATAACCCATGTGCTAGGTGCTTCACATAAATGGATTCTCATAACACTCTGCGAGGTATCTGCTCTTTTACTGTGTGTGTGTGGTGTGTGTGTGTGTGTGTGTCTTACTCTGTTACCGAGGCTGGAGTGCAGTGTTGCAATTATAGCTCACTGCAGCCTTGATCTCCTGGCCTCAAGCAGTTCTCCCACCTCAGCCTCCCAAGTAGCTGGGACTACAGGTACAAGCATGTACCACCAGCTAATTTTTTATTCTTTAAATGTTTTGTAGAAATGGGGTATTGCTCTGTTGCCCGGGCTGGTCTTGAGCTCCTGGCCTCTAGCAGTCCTCCTGCTTTGGCCTCGCAAAGTGGTGGCATTAGAGGTGTGAGGTACAGTGCCCAGTCTGTTTTCCGTGTTTTGTAATTTAATAAGATGTGAGCCTCAAGACCATTAGTGAGTGGTAAAGCTGAGATTTGATTCTCATCCTCCACCACACTAACGGGGATGTGCCCTAGGGCATGAAATGCTTCATTCCTGTTTGTTTAAAAACGTGTTTTTTTTCCTTGTGTTTTCCTATGTATTTTATTTTTTTTTTACTTTTATTTTTATTTTTTTGAGACAGAGTCTTGCTCTTTTGCTCACAGCAACCTTTGCCTCCTGTGTTCAAGGGATTCTCCTACCTCAGCCTCCCGAGTAGCTGGGATTACAGTCACGTGCCACCATGCCTGGCTAATTTTTGTATTTTTAGTAGAGATGGGGTTTCACCATGTTGGTCAGGCTGGTCTTGAACTCCTGACCTCAGGTGATCCATCTGCCTAGGCCTCCCAAAGTGCTGGGATTACAGGTGTGAGCCACTGCACCCAGGTGTAATTTGGTATCATCTTTATACATCTTCATGCCTACTCATATCTTCTTTCATAGATTAGAATGAATTTGAGAACAGAGGAAATTTTAGACATTATGCTAATGGCATGAGGATCCTAGGCCTAGTTAGAAGTCATCTTTGAAATAACTTCATAGAGCCGTATTTCATATTTCTCTTCTAAGAATTGTGAAAGAACTTAATTTTATTTCCCCAGAGAGAGAACTATAAATCATACGTATATAGTAACAAAGACAAAGAATGTTTGTGGAGGATTGAACTCAATTTAGAACTGATTTACACATCAGAGCAAGCCTGCTGAAAGCATAAGATTTTTACGTGGTTTTGCCAGACAGGTTGAAGGGACTATATTAAGGATAAATAGTTGAGCTGTTTTGTGGTATTTTTATTTCAAAATACCCAGAAATGGAAAGCAGTACTTTTCTTGTTTGGGTGTGATTCATGGACTGTCCAGCAGAGGGCACTGCCAGTTTGTGAGTGAGCATCCTTGCTGGCAGCTGAGTGAGCCTGCGCCTGCACTTCCCAGAGGAAATGGGTCTGAGTGTGATGTGGAAATAGTTACATTTTATTTTAGAATGTTGTCATGAAAGTTATCATAGGTGTCATAATAGCATTTGTAAGGTGTCACAGAAGATATTGCTGTTTCCTGCTACCTAGATGTACTGAACATTTTGCAGTTAGCTACTTAGCATGGTTTAGCTAATTGGGGACTGTTACTGACACATGGCTGGATCCCTACTTTGCCTCTCCTCCTTGAATTTGAGTTATATAAAGGAAATCTCAGTACTTAGGAATTTAGGGGAAAATGTTTAATTTTTGATGTGTAACCAAGAAGAAAGCATGGCAGTTTCTTATTGGTGGCTTCATGACTTACTGTGAATTTTTAATTTTTCTGAAATCTCAGGTATTTCTTTCCTTGCTGTGAATCCTGGGAAATGATTGCATTTGAAGTGGAGAATCACACAGCCTCCTTTAGTCCACTCTCCACAATGTCCAAATTATCTTTTGGTTATTCTTTTGTCTACCAGACTATCACAGCCATTATATTCTGTGGACTGAATTGTCAGTTTTCTCCACTGTAAGAATGGCGGGTGCACAGTCCGTGTGTCTTGTTTATGTGTACACTTGCAGATACAGAGTTGTTTTTGCCTCAGCTTTTCCTATGTAAAAGTTTTAAGTACTGTGTAAACATGCTTGTATACCTGGCTTTTGAATATATTTCACGCCTGCAAACTTAATTATTTGATGTGCATGGAAGTTGTAGAAGAGATCACTTGGTTTTTCTCTTAGGTTCACTTCTGTTTTTGTTTCTCTTGCTCCTTCAACTCACTGATGACAGGTGCTTTCCAAACTGCCGGCCTGATGCAGAGGTGCTGATTCCCCATTTGCTCTGCCCTTCTTTAGGGCTGCTGTACCGGCAGTGCCCACTGGGGGGCAGCGTGATTGCACACCAGCCTGCAAGGGTCTCCTTGGCTTTCTTTTCAGTTGGCAGGTGTGGGGGGCATTTTTGAGAACAAAGCACATTATTACTGAACGCTGAAACCCCCAGTGACAAAGCATTGTAGTGAATTCAAATGCACGATCCGGGAAATTCTCGGAGCCTCTGCGACTGGTCTCTCCAGCAGGGCCTGATACACAGGATCACTTGTAATTAAAACTAACACTTGTGGATGGGGGTGAGCTCTCACGTTAATGGACGTTTCTCATTGTACAACATTCAAAATATGTGGCAGGCCTTTGATAAGGAGTCTTTTTTCTTTCATCCCTTGAATAGTTATGAGGTGTGGAAATAAGAGGAGTTAGTTGGGAAAAAGCTTGCATGCTGGCTTTGTCGTTGTTTTTGAAAAGAATGGAAAATACTTGCAAATAAAGGCACATGGATTATTTTATCCATCTTGCACAAAACTGGGCTCATAGCACCTGATGGAGTCCTGGCTAACAGGTTTATTTTACTTATTGATTTCTGGAAATAAAGCAGGCACTAAACCGGACCACTTAACTATTTAAATCCTTGCAATAGGGTATAATTGTACTTTCAGATTTGTTTTTATATCAGTTGTGCAACATGTCTCAGGCAGTCATCTTGATTTTAAGTTCCTTTCTTTTAAGTTCATGCCTTATTCTCAACTTTCTTGCTCCGTAACAGAGCTGTGAATGGATAAGACTCGGTAGGCATTTGCCTAAAAGGTTTTGATGCTAGGAGGAACTGCACAATTCCTTTGCCCTTCTTGGTTTTCCTGTTTCGTGCTTATTTTTTATAAGCCGTGCATTGCTGTCGTGTGCAGCTGTGCACCCTCCTGCTGCCCGTCACGGCATCGGGTCTTTCCTGTGGGCCTCCTCGCCCTGCCCCACCTTTTCTCCAGGCATGAATCCTCCCCTAGAGCGCATGCAGTCAAATTAACGTGGAGACAGAGCCCATTATGAAGGAAATCAATTTATTCTAATTGGGTGACAACATTAGGCTTGACGGGAACTAGCACACCATCGTAAGCATCATGGTTACTTTGACTCTTCGTGAGGTGACTTAGGTGCAGTGTGATTTTCGTTTTCCATGCCTCCACCCCGCAGAAGCACCTGTGCGGTAACTGTCTGGGTTCATGTGTCCTGTGCTTCCAAAGCCTCTCGCCAGCGGCCTTTGTGGTGGGGTGGAGGGACTGGACAGGGGGCACCCAGTGAATTAACGCCAGAGAGTGTCTGGCCTCAGAAGGGCCAGCGAGCAAAGGGGTGTTAGCCCCGAGCCCGGATGGAGGAGGCAGCAGTGTGGGTTTGGATGACAGAGGGAAAGTAGAGATTTGGGAAGAAGAGGGTGGAAACAGGGTGGGTCTCCGTGGATTGCAGGGGAGGGTTTGTCTGCAGGTGTACAGGGAGTGCTGGCCCTGGTTTGGTTTAAACTGATGAGGGCCCTGGGCACATGCAAATGCGTAAATCTATCCTTCAGGCAAGGGATGAAAAACCGTTGAAGAGTTTTGGCTTCTTCTTCTTCCTTCTTCCTTCCGTCTTCCTTCCTTCTTCCTTCTTCCTTCCTTCCTTCTTCCTTCCTTTCTTCTTTCTTTCTTTCTTCTTCTTCTTTTTTTTTTAATAGAAGAAAAGTTACTTAAGAAAAGTTATCCTTGCGTAAAAAAAAATTCTGTGGAGGGAATATGGGGTGGGAGGTGTCCAGGCTCTGTTCTCATTGACCTGGGATTAAAGACCCAGTCTGCCCACACACTGTCAGCTTTACAACCTTAAGTAGTTCCAGAACCTTCCCAGACTTTGTCTATTAATCTGGGTAATATCAACTCACACAGCAAATGTGAGGAGAAAGTTCTACTGTATTTATAGAAGTCCAGCTCAGTTCTGGGACATACCGGTAGGTGCTCACTTGTTCTTTTCTCTTCCTACATCATCCTTTAAGATTGAATGAATAGCAAAGAAGAAAAACTAAAACAAGTATCTCATCGAGTGTTTTCTACATACCAGTTGACCAACCTCAAGGAATGGACCATTTAGCAGACTTGGTTGGTGTGTTCAGAGTCATAGGCATATAAATTTGAGTCGTACTGGGTGCTGTTCTGAGTGCTTTACTATCTCCCTTAGTTCTGTAGCAACCCTGTCACATTGAGACCCCTTACCACTACCGTCATTGTCGTACCCCTGTGGTCCCTCAGGATAGGCAGGAAAGTTAAGAAACTTTCCCATGTGGGGAAAAGGAGCTGAGCCCCAAATGCACACTCTCTGGCTCTAGGGCCCAAGCCCTCAGCCTTATGCCTGGCATCTCTCGCTCAGACAGGTAACCACAAGCTGACTTATTGCCCAATACTTTCTGGCTACCCCTATTTGAAATCCTATGCCTTTAGCATTTATCTGCAAATAGAATCAGAAGACCGGCAACATGGTGGGCTGAGAGCACCCATGGGGAGAAGCCTTGAATTCATCCATGGAGCTTGAACACGTCGCTGCATTTCTCCAGTTCTCCTCCTCCTTTGAAAATGTCTTAAATATGTATTTTTCTATAACCTCATGTTAGAAGTGAATCTCCGGTTTTGAGCAGTGTTTTCAGTGGAGCCATCGTGATGCCATCTGGGTGTGCTCTGAAACACAGTGACTATTTGGGGACCCAGTGTAGGCCGCCATTCTTCAGGTGGACGCTAGACATGAAGCACCACTGTGCCCTGGACTCCTGCTTCGCCTGTGGTGATGCCATCATGGCTGTCCCCTCACCTCATTCATGTTCAGATTCCCCCTGTTTGCTTTTTGATGCCTTTTGTTCCCAGCACTCCAGCTTCAATCTTAACTAGAAATCACCCAACAAACTGAAAAAGCTCCCAGTTCTGGAAATGGTACTTTGCAGCTTTCATTCTGCCCGTAATACATTTGAAAGCACCAAGTTTAGGGTCTCAGCAAAAAGCCAAAGCTGTCTCCATGTTTCATTTGAAGGTACTTTTGTTTTCAGTTGTTTCTTTGTGCATGTAAGAGCATTTTTTGCCCTGTTTTTGTTTCTTTCCTTCTTATTGAATGGAACAATTCTTTAAAACCTTGTACCTATCCTGCTTTCAGTTTCTTCTGTTTATTTAAAGCCTGAGTATTTCTTGTTTAGTTATAACAGCAGTAGTACATGCTAATGGGAAAGAAAATGGAGAAGTGTGTAAACTGGAAAATAAATAAAAATGTCCTGAATACCACATTCCTTCCCTCCCCTGGAGGGAAAACATTATCTTTTTTTTCCCGCATCCTTCCAGAAATTTTCTGCACATATATGAGCATTTTAAGCACACCCACACGCACAAATGGTTTCCCGCTATACGTACTGTTCTGCCAGTATATCTTGGATAAGTTTCCGCATCAGCAAATGTAGATTGACTTCATCTGTTAACAGCTCCTTAGTAATTAGGGGATAATTTCTCACAACTCCCCTATTTTTTCTGGGTTTCCAAACAAGCCGCCTTGGATCTATTCCCAGGGTTCTCCCCAAATAGTGCTCTTCCAGTTCTGCTTCCTTTAGGAAGGAGTTTCATCTTCTAGTGTCATCTATTCCTGCCATTGTGTAGCTTCCTGGGTCTGTTACTGATTACCTTTTGAATAAGAAAGGGACAGGTCAGAGGACTCAGGCTGGAACTAGACAGGTCAATGTAGTTGAGTATGGAATAGGGGTTAAAATGGACGCTAATGGCCTTCTACTTAAAACTCTCAAAACTAGAGAAAGGAAAAGTGAAGCCACAGTGAAATGTCACCTCCCTCTTGTTAGAATAGCTGTTATCCAGAAGACCCCACAAAATGACCAGTATTGTGAGGATGTGGAGAAAAAGGAACCCTCATACACTGTTGGTGGGAATGTAAATTAATACAGACATTATGGAAAACAGCATGGAAGTTCTTCAAAAACCTAAAAATAGAACTTACCATATGGTCCAGCAATCCTACTTCTGGGTGTTTACCTGAAAGATTTGAAATCAATATGTCGAAGAGATGTCTCCACACCCGTGTTTGTTGCAGCGCCGTTCACTGTAGCTAAGATACGGCACCAGCCTACGTTGGACGGATGGATAAATGGTCTGTATACACAGTGCAGTACTAGTCAGTCATAAAACAGGAAGAACTTCTGTCATCTGTGACAACGTGTATGGAACTAGAGAACATTGTGTTAGGTGAAATAAGCCAAACACAGAAAGACAAATACTGCCTGTTTTCACGGATACGCAGAATCTGAAACCATTAAACTCACAGAAGCAAAGAGGAATGGGGGTTAGAGGTTGGGAGGTTAGCGGTTGGGAGGGGGGTTGGGGAGATCGTAACCAAAGGGCACAAAGCCTGGGTTACATAGGAGGCATAGGTTTGATTTATTTCTTATTCTTTTTTTTGGAGCTCTGTTACATGGTGTAGTGAATGTAGCTAATAATTGAGTTCCGTACATTTTAATACTGCTGAGAGTAAATTTCATATGTTCTCATCATAAAAAATGTTGAATATTTGAGGGGATGGAAATGTTAGTTAACTTGATTTATTCATTCCACATTGTATTAAACAATAACATCACTTTTGTACCTCAATGATAACTTGTCAATATACAAGAGAAATTTAAGAAATCTCAAATCTTGAGCCTCCAAGTCAGGCGAGCCCCTGGGGGTGAAAGCCCCGCTCTGTTGTTTGGCCTGCAGGTTGGCCTCCCTTCTTAGCCTCTGCGCAGCCTCCTCGGTTCCTCCCCGAGCCACCTGTGGCCACTGGAGCTCTGTTAAGCCAACGGGAAGTAAAGACACTCCAACCATGCATTAGAAAAATCACAATCGGAATGATAATTGATTCCTTCTGTTTGAATCTATTGGAGTGTTACAGATGCTTTGATGAAGGTAAGACTTGCTGGGTTTATCCTCTAGAGCTGTACGCTACTAATGCTTTGTATTTATGTATAATCAGTATAATAAGCTTTTGACTGCATAAGATTCTTATTTTCAAAATATACATTTTTAGCTACCCCATTTCTAATTTCTCTCAAAAGCAGCATTTCTGATTTGTATCTACCTGGTACAGATGCCAGAGGAGCTGGTGTTGGCAGTATTATCTGTGTTTACCTACATCGAACTGTTCATACCTTCTTCTGAGATACTGTTCTTCTCTGGTCTGTCTTTTGCCAGCCCCTTAAAACCAAAGTTAATTCCTTTGTCCTACATGGGACTGATTTGCTTAGGAGAAAAGTGATGCCCCACTGTCCCCTGGCTAATGGCGTGTGAAGGTTGTGGTGGCCTCCTTAGCGCAGAGGATGGGGCTGGATTCTGGGAGTACTTCTTAGGATTAGGGATGGGGGTGATCTAGGGAATGGAATTGCTGAAGTCAGCAGGGAGTCCACTGCTGAGGTCCTCTTTTTGAGACACGGTCTTGCTTTGTAGCCCAGGCTGGAGTGTAGTGGCGCAATCTCGGCTCACTGCAATCTCCGCCTCTTGGGTCCAAGCAATTCTGGTGCCTCAGCCTCTCAAGTAGCTGGGATTACAGGTGCCTGCCACCACACCTGGCTAATTTTTGTATTTTTAGTAGAGATGGAATTTCGCCATGTTGGCCAGGCTGATCTCAAAAGCCTCCCCCTTCCAAAGTGCTGGGATTACAGGCGTGAGCCACTCTGCCTGGCCTCAGGCTAATATTTCTAATTAAACATCAATACGAGAGACCTAAAAATGGACAACTTTGTCACTTAAAAAACCCAAAACATCCACCTATTAAGACCTCAGCGGCGGCTGGACATGGTGCTCACACCTGTAATCCCAGTACTTTGGGAGGCCAAGGCAGGTGGATCACTTGAGGCGAGGAGTTTGAGACCAGCTTGGGCAACATGGTAAGACCTCGTTTTTACAGAAAATAAAAAATTTAACCAGATATAGTGGCATGTGCATATAGTCTCAGCTACTCAGGAGGTTGGAGGATTGCTTGAGTGCAGGAGGTTGAGGCTGTAGTAAGCCAAGATTGTGCCACTGCACTTCAGCCTGGGTGACAGAACATTATATATTTGCCTGATTATTTCAAGCCAAAAACCAGCCTTTGTGTTATGAAATTAGAGCAATTTAGGATTTGTTTTCTGCATTTTGGCAATTCCTGTGATGCTGTAGGCATCAGTTACCTGGGCAGGCAGTAGGTAAGGAAGTGGGGTCAGGTCCTTTACCAGCACTTATAGAAATGAGAAACGAGGCTCTCATACCACCTCTTAATCACTGCCCCCTCCTAAGGGTAAGGGCTGATGACTTGGCCTTGAGAATGTTTTTGCTACACCCACCCCTTCTCTCTCATGTTACTTCAATCAATGTACTTGCCTTGACGTCACGGACCTTTTCGGGCCGTATGTGATTGTGTTTTTGTACCACATTTCGAGGGGAAAATGTTGGATTGATGGTTGAAGGGCAGGAGAGGAGGGGCTGAGTGGGTACACCCCGAAAGGTAATCACATGGGCATTTTGCCTCAGTGATCACTTCTGCTAATTATGATGACTTGTGGATTTGGGATACTGGAAAAGAAAAATCTAGGCTGGGCACAGTAGCTCATGCCTGTAATCCCACCACTTTGGGAGACTGATGTAGGCGGATCACTTGGGGCCTGGAGTTTGAGAGCAGCCTGGGCAACATAGCAAGACCCATCTCTACAAAAAAATTAAACAGTTATCCAGGCGTGGTGGCATGCACCTGTAGCCCCAGCCACTTGGGAAGCTGAAGTGGCAGGGTTGCATGAGCCCAGGAGTTTGAGGCTGTAGTGAAATATGATTGCGCCACTGCACTCCAGCCTGGAGACCCCTTGTTTCAATAAATAAATAAATAAATAAATAAATAAATAAATAAATCTGTTTACAGAAATCACTATGTGTGTTTGCTCCTCCTAGCACAGCCTTGGAGGATAAGATGCCAGGTGCAGTGGCTCATGCCTGTAATCCCAGCACTTTGGGAGGCCAAGGTGGGAGGATCGCTTGAGCTCAGGAGTTTGAGACACCAACATGGTGAAACGCTGACTCCACAAAAAATACAAAAATTAGCCAGGCATGGTGGCTTGTGCATGTAGTCCCCAGTTACTCCAGGAGGTTGAGGTGGGAGGATCACTTGAGCCCAGGAAGCGGAGGTTGCAGTGAGCTGAGATTGTGCCACTGCACTCCAGCCTGTGTAATAGAGGAAGACCCTGTCTCCGGAAGAAAAAAAAAAAAAAAAAGAGAGAGAGGGAGGATAAGGGTGGACTAGGATGCTCTGGTCGGGACTTGTGGCCATAGTTGGTCATGGGTGTTTGGAGGTTGGGAACCTGGATGTGAAAAGCTGCATTCCTGCAGGAGGAGTCTCTGCCACATCTGGGCAGGGTGTTTTGACCATTGTTTAAACTTCCTTGAAATCAGGCAAGGCCTGGTCGTGGATGCAGAAGGGAATCTGTTTTTCCAGTTTTGGTGATCAAGGGTCCAGCTCCATGCCGAGTAAGTGCAGGCCCACAAGGAGTTGAAATGCTTTACGTTTCTAAACTCCAGGAGTACCATTGCTATGTCGGTGATTTTAGATCACTTTCTCCATTTCCTCTCTCCCTCCCTCTTCTAGTTTGATAGGCCCTAAGTTTAGGCAGCCTGTGTAGGGGCTACACGTTTTCATCAGTAATACAGGCCGTGTTTCGCTGACCACAGTTGGGGACAGCTGCATGTATTCTTTGTGTGTTTTGTTTTGTTATACATTAGATACTTAGATAAATATCTACATATATGAAATATACTTAATATCTATGCATATTCTATCTGTAATATTTGCTTATTGAATAAATTAACACTGTAGACCACTGACCTACAGAAAATGACAGATTATCCCAAAAACAGTCTTAAAATCTCCTAATAAAAGCTGCGGGTCTTGAATATTTTAGTGTTTATTGTTTTAAATAAGTCACTAAACAAAGGGTTATGACAACCAGATGAAGTGTTTTATCTCAAACATTTTAGCCACTGGGTGGTCTCTTTTTAATGGGTCTCAAATAATGCAGTGCAATATTAATTTTGATCAGTCTGTGTACATACATATGAAACTTGCAACTGAGGCCCTCTTTGTAGGTTTTCGTCTAGCAGATTGGAAGTGATCTTTCTTGAGTTTTCATTTAGCCACACTCTGAGCAGCAAAACCTATTCCCAAATCTGGATTCATTGACCTTAACGTGTGTATGTGTGTGTGTGTGCACATGCACACACATACACGTGTAGATTGAGGAAATACCCCCCTTTGTGCCTTTGGATCACTACTTTTGTACATGCAGAGCGAAAGACTTCCTTTTGTTTCTTGTCAAGGGCTATAAAGAGAGATCACATTAGTATAACCTTTGCCTCCTAAGGTGTAGATGAGTGAGTTGTGGTTGGAATTTAATTTTAACAGGTTTTATTGAACTGCTAAAAGATATTGAAAATGTTTAATATGAGAGTCCGGGGCAGTAAATCACACACAGGCTTGTTAAAATAGATGTCCACAGTGTATGGGCAGATGGAGCCTGTGTTTCTGCCCAGGGACCTTTCATTACCGCACCAATTGGGTACATTATTCTCACCTCATAACTCTGCAATATTAGATGGCTGATAGAGATCGTGGTGAAGGAAGAATTTAACACCCCTCTTTCCCCATTTTGGGGGAGGGCTTAAAGACCTATTCTTTTACCCATTTATAGGCCATTTGGCTTTTCACAGGGATTTTAAAAAATCATATTTGAAGGATGTAGGGAATTTTCATGTCACCTGCAACATTGGCTGGTGTCGTGAACCACTCCTCTCTGTAATGCGTGGAATTTTTGTTTGTTTCTTGTTCGTCATTTTTCTCTCCACTTTCTTTTTTCATTTTTAAATTTTTGGTTGTTTTCCAGTTTTTCACTGCCTCACTCTCTAAAATTATATTGCTCCAAACACAGGTGTATCTGCCTCTCTGTCCATCCTGGTCAGGCCCATCAGTGCTGCGCAGTGTGGCTGTCAAAGCTTTTTGCTTTCTGGCCTCTGTCTCTCAGGCGTGATGAAGCCACTCACTCCAGGGCAGGGCTGCCTTATCTCCCCAACGGCTAAGGCCAAGTGCAGCTCTGTTATTGGAGCACAGCCACACCCACTCGTTTCTGTACCGACTGCAGCTGCTTCTCACTGGGACAGCATTGAGCATTGGCGATTCTTGGGACAGAGGATATATTGCCTGCAAAGCCTAAAATCCATACTCTGTGGCCCTTTACAGAAGCATGTGCTGAGCCTTCACCTAAATTGTAGCAGGAATTCAATAAATGTTGACTGAATGGACGTATTAGAGATTTCCCAATCAGGTTTTACTTAATATGTACACAGAGTCACTGGTCCCTGGCATTTGACTACTTGAATACTCTGTAGTAAAGACACAGCAGAGTATGTGCTTGAGCTTATTTCTTGTGGATGGATCATCCCATCCCGTTATTACTAAATGAAAATCTTGTCTAAGCTCCTGTGCAGTATCTCTCAACAGGAAAAGGGAATAATTTGGGGAGAGAAGTTGCCAGAGTTTGGAAAGTATTCCCACGTAGCATGGGTGAACATCCTGCATTTATTGTGAATTGGTTCCTTCATCATGGCTGTGCAAATCCCAGGAGAGTGGGGCAGATTAGGGCACAACGTGTAAACTCAGCACCTCTTCTGCCTGGGCTTTAGAGCAGAAAGCAGACTCTGTCCACCAAGAGGGCTTGCAGCAACTTTGGACTCTTCATGAAGCTGATGAGGCAACCTGTGTGTACCCACCTCTGCCCATCATTTCTTCCTGGAATCAGTAATCTTCCCACATAACACTTTAAACTATTTCAGTCAGAGGGCTTATGTATGGTCTGTTAGTTTTGAAGGGACGTCATAACAAAGTACCAAGAACTGGATGGCTTGACACACAGAAACTCATTGTCTCACAGTTCTGGAGGCTGGAATTCTGGCATCAAGGCTTTGGCAGGGTCACACCCCCCTCCCCAAAGGCTCTAGAGAAGAACCTGCTCCATGCCTGTTCCTGGCTTCGGAAGCCCAGGTGTTCCTGGCCTTGCAGGTGCATCAGTCCAGCCCTGCACCTTCACCTGGCCTTCTCCCTGTGTGTCTGCACAGCATCTTCCCTTTGCGTCTTGTCTGCCTCTGTGTTCACACTTCCCCTTTTTATAAGGACGTTAGTCATCTCGGATTAGGGCTCACCCTAATGACCTCATTTTAACTTAATTAATCCAATAAAGATCCGATCTCCAAGTAAGGTCACATTCTGACATACTGGAGTTTAGGACTTCACATATTTTTTTGTCGGGAGAGGGGAACACAATTCAGTTCATAATAGATGGGCAGCTGGGCACGGTGGCTCATGCCTGTAATCCCAGCACTTCGGGAGGTCATGGCAGGAGAATTGCTTGAGCTCAGGAGTTCAAGCCTGAGCAACAAAGTGAGATCCCATCTCTGTTTAAAACAAAAATTGAAAATTATCTTGTTGTGGTGGCACATGCCTGTGGTCCCAGCTACTTGGGAGGCTAAGGCAGGAGGATCCCCTGAGCCAAGGAGGTCAAGGCTGCAGGGCTGCAGTGAGCTGTGTTTGTGCCACTGCACTCTAACCTCAGTGATAGAATAAGACCCCATCTCCAAAAAAAAAAAAAAGATGGGTATCTCAGATCAATATAATTCAAAAGAATATTTGGCTTTGAAAGTGGAGTCTTATAAAAATATAGCCAGGCGAAGATGACGTGTCATCCTCTGAGCCTAGAAAGTCTGGAACACGATCGCCTGGGCTTATGCATGTGCCTAGGTGTGGGTCGTGGTGGTTATGACATTTCACTTTGGATGTGCACATTCCATCACTCATATCTTTGGCTGCAGTTAGAAGGAAGGGAGTGTTTTTTGAAAGCTTGCCCTGAAATTATAGTATGTGCAACTGTGTTAGATTTGAGTGTCATAACCATGTTCTTCTTGTGTGTTTTGTCAGTTCCTTGGCTAATTTTCAGATGTTTGCATCCAAATATGAGTTAGGGCTCTCAAAGCAGTCAGCATTTTCTTCTTTATTTTACATTTTAGTCATAACAGATATAATATATGCCCTGTGAGTGGTTTCAGAGATTATGTAATGCCAAAATGTAGAGTTATGAGTTAATCACAGAATAATGTCCAATTACATTGTTTGTTCTCTTTGTCTTCCTTTCCATCCCTTGGCCTCCCCAAAAAGAAAGTGAAAAAGAACAAGCTGTATTCCCACACAGAGAGGGGATGAGAGTCAGAAAGAAAGAAAGAGAGAGAGAGAAACAGATAAGACACTTCACACACAGAGAGGAGGGGGGAGAGAGAAAGTGTACACACACAGGGACAGTGAGTGACTTGAAAAGGGCTGCTAGTGTACCTTCCATTCCACTCCATGAACGCGTGAGAGAATGAGCATTAAATGGAGGTGTGAGTCTGCTCTTCTCTTGGTCCCAACTCCTGGCTGTCCAGGGTCAGCATCTTGCTGCATTGAATGTAATTCCAATGTTTACAGGTCCTCCTTTCTTTTTGGGGAAGAGGGAGTGGTCTTTTATGACCCTTGAACACAAGCCAGCTACTTCATCTTTGAGGGGACCAAAACAATAGCAATCTGTTTACTACTGGGCAGTTTGAAGATATTTTGAGATAGAATATTGATTAGGCAAGGTCTCGGCATCTCTTTTGAGTTAGACTTAAGAACCTGTCCCCACATTAAGATGGGGCTCTGGTGAAGTTGACTTGTTTTTGTTTTTGTTTTGAGGTGGAGTTTCGCTCTTATTGCTCAGTCTGGAGTGCAATGGTGTGATCTCGGCTCACCTCAATCTCCGCTTCCCCAGTTCAAGCTATTCTCCTGCCTCAGCCTCCCAAGTAGCTGGGATTACAGGCATGCGCCATCACGCCTGGCTAATTTTTATTTTTAGTAGAGACAGGGTTTCTCCATGTTAGTCAGGCTGGTCTCAAACTCCCGACCTCAGGTGATCCACCTGCCTCAGCCTCCCAAAGTGCTGGGATTACAGGCGTGAGCCACCGCGCCTGGCCTTGAAGTTGACTTTTCATCTTACTTTGAATCCCTTCAATTCCTTTGTTTTCAAGTCGAAAACCCTCCACTCAGGCCTCATTAACAGGAAATGACCGAGCTTGTACTTTTCTAGCTACGTTGTGTCAACTTGAGTGCATGGACTAAAACCACCTGTGTGTGGAGTCCCCAAGCCCACCACCAGCGCAGGCACCTGCTGTGCTTCTGCACCTGGAGATGGGCTTTCCCTGAGTTGGGTCTCACCAGCAGCCCAGATTTACACCAAGAAATTTGCCAGGTTCATAGTTGGTGCTCAGTAAGTGTATTGTTTAAGCTCCTTTCTGATTTCACAAAGTAATTGCTGCCGACTGTACTCATAGGAGTTCCAGGAGCCTCCATGAGAACTGTAAAGTCTTAACTTGCTTAGAAAGCACATTTTAAAGCTTTTCCTGCTGCAGTCAGAACCTGAAAGAATAGGCTGTGGCCTCAGAATCTACAGGCACACTCAGTTTTTGACTCTGTCTTATAGATCCTTGACAACATTGGGGACTGTTAACATGGTTTTTATGCCCCCAAATCAGTTATATGGAAGAAGGTCCCTGTGGAAGCTGAGCAGTTGAGCTTGTCCAGGGCTGAGGGCTCCGTGAGAGGTCACCTTTCTTAGCTCTTGTATGTCTTTGCAGCCCAGGGCTCAGAGCTGTTGACATGTGCTTGTTGAGGTCTGGTGACCCATACCCCTGGCCTGAGCCCTGAGAAGCCGGTTCCCCAGCAGTGTGACCTGGGTTGCATGGGAGGCTTTCTCAGAGCTTGTCTGGGGCCTTGTCTTGCTGCAGTGGGACGTGGGCCCTGGAGGACGCAGCCCCGACAGCCCTCACCTGGTTGACATCAGAGCGGGCTGAGCAGCTGGCACTGTGGGGTTTCTTGGGGATCTGCGTTGCAGAGGGGCCTGTGCAGGGCACAGTGTCAGCCTCCTGTCCTCTCCACCATCATCCTCCTGTCTGTAGGGAGGCCCAGAGGAGCCAGTTGAATGAAGGCCTGTCCTCCTCCTGGTGGCTTCTGGGCTCAGTGCCTGACATTGGGTCTTACTGGCTACATCAGCCGCTGAGTGCACCAAGGATCTGTGACATCTCAGAGGCCTCACCCGACCCTGAAGTGACACGGCTCACTGTTTCTGCTCTGGGTACATGAACAGGGACTGTTTATTCTGATTCTGTGGCTTTGAGCAGAAATCGATTTGTCTGAAAAGACTGCCCTTAGTCACAACAGATCCTTTTCGTTGTGGTTTTTTTTACCTAGTTTTCTTTCAATAAGTTCTTTCCTCACAGCTGTGGGATGAGGGTCAAAACATCATGCTTGATAGGTCAAAGCTGCTGCTTCTATTCCAACTGCTACCTTCCCAGCAGAAAGGGCCGTTTAACTTGTTACACACCTTTTCCTGCTTAGAACAAGGTCACAGATATTAGCGTGGGAGACGCATGCAGTCATGAAACGCAGTTCTTCACTGAAGGATTCTAGAGTCTCCTTGGCAGATAATGGGAAACATCAACAAAAAACCATGTGGAATAGGAGCCGTGTGCACACAATCACGTGTTGTTCCTAGAGACCAGGCAGCTGGTGCCTGGGACCAGCAGAGCAAGGACAGCTGCATGCGCGCTGACTTTTTTTTTTTTTTTTGAGACGGAGTCTTGCTCTGTGGCCCAGGCTGGAGTGCAGTGGTAGATCTCAGCTCACTGCAACCTCTGCCTCCCAGATTCAAGTGATTCTCCTGCCTCAGCCTCCCAAGTAGGTGGGACTACAGGTGCGCGCCACCATGCTTGGCTAATTTTTTGTATTTTTAGTAGAGTCAGGGTTTCACCGTGTTAGCCAGGATGGTTTCGATCTCCTGACCTCGTGATCCGCCCCACTTCGTCCTCCCAAAGTGCTGGGATTACAGGCATGAGCCCCTGCACCTGGCCCTGCACTGACATTGTTAAACAGGTCTGTCTGGAGTGGGTGGAGCTGGGGTTTAGGGGGTTCAAGAGTGGATTGGTTTGTTACTTTTGCTGAGATGTACCTAGTTAAAGCTTTTTCAACTCTTCTTGGTTAACTATAGGAAGTCTCTCTTAGTCTTCCTTTCAGTCACTTGTTTTATTAAGACAGTAAAACACTCTGATCCAGAGGTTTTAAATAGAGATGCTTTGTTTTCAATTAAAGTTGAAGATTTAAGTTATTTAAAACTGAACGTAATTATTGAAGGGAAGGAGAGTTTGAGGGCCTATTCAAAGATTCGTAGAAAATTCCCATTTTGGTGTAGTAGTACCATTAAATAATGCATATCTAATGTGCATAAATACTTGTCTGCAGAAATCATGTCTGCTATAAATAGGTGTCAGACATGGAGAAATGCAGGTCCTTCATGGGTGGGAACAGCCTTCGGTGGTGTTCCTGGGCTTCTCTTGTATGTGTTAATGACACAGCCGTGAAAGTATCATTTTTCACTTTCGACTGTCGAAGCCCAGCTTATATTCCCATATGCTTTTGTGTGTCTTTGTAGAGCACTCTTAGGGTGGATTTTTGCAATTTCATCACTTTTCTTACTCTGCCTTCAGGGGCCAGAAACACTGAAGTTTCACATGTGACCTGTACACTCTTACAGCTCTTATACATGGCTGAGGGGCCAGGAGAGGAAAACACCACAGTCCATTTGTCAGGAAAAAAAGACACACATGGGGAAAAAGGTCCTGAAAAGACCCACTTTACACTCTTCATAGTGATTACTTCAGGAGGATTATAAGAAATAATATTAATATGGAATATGGCCTGTGTACTAAAAAAAAAAAAAAAAAAGAAAAAAAGAAAACCAACTCAGGCAATGTAAGTCATTGAACAGTTTGATTCCTGTAGACACCTCTATTACTGTTCGGCCTTAGATTTTCTCCTAACAAAATTATCTTGTTTTCCCAAAAGCTTCTTGTTTTTGTGAAGAAACTGAAAATGACTGGCTGAAGTTTGTCCAAGAAATTCATTCAACCGTAATTTATTCAGTGTTTCCATGTAGCCTGATGGGGCCTAACTGGAATTGATAATCTTGCTTACAAATACAAACTCATTTTTATCACTGAAATGACTTTCTCCCCCAACCATCAAGGAGGGAATAACTTCTCTTGTGACAAATATTTTTGAACCTGTGCTTTTCTAACAATTGAAATGGCCAGCTTTTTAGATGAAAGTTCTAATGTATTATTTTTAGAAATTTCAGAGAAGGAAACAAATAATTTGCTTATCTGATGTCCCTTTGTATGTTAATTTATGGTATCTTGAGGCTTTGAGTTTTAATTTAAACCAGCTTCAGTCTGAAAATTCAGAATTAATATTTATATCAAATACATGCAAAATGTATAAATCTGAACAAATTCGTTTCTTCAGAATAAATGATGATCTTGGACTTATGTTCCTGGAATGTTTTCCAAATTGAGTTTTATAATTATCTTTTTTTCTGCATATTTCTAATAGATGTGTAATATTGCCCTGTTTAAGGAATTCTATTCTTTAACAAGGAATGTTGTCAGATGTAATATAAGCTTGATTTAAGTAAAATAATGTAATCGATGGCAGGTATAGGAATGGCCACCTTTATGAGTGCTGGTTCTTCTACTGAATTTTAAGATATGTGAAAACTAAATAATGATTAAATAAATGATTGATAGTCACGTATTGATTGATAACTCTTTTTCTTCAACTTACATGGACTGTTACAACCTCTGAGCACCATGGTTTGGGAATTTACTTTATCAAAATACATTTTATGTGAAATAATGTTTGGATACACAATCTTTTTTCAGTTTTGGTACTATGAAGTTGGTTTAATAAGAAAAGAATCTGACATTTAAAAAATTGTAAAATCTGCACATGATGTAATTGCATTTGTGTTTATTGAAGTAGTTTGTTATAAAAACTTGTAGAGAACAATAACAATATCCATGCTCCTTTAGAAAGTGTAGTGTGTAAATAATCAGTGTAGTGATTTTTTTAAAAGGTGTCAAGGTAGCAGTGCTCTTTCTTTCAGTTTGTGCAGTAAACTGTGGGGTTTGGGTTCTGTCTTAGGGGTTTCCAGGCGTGTTCTTGAAATGCTAGGAATGTACAAATACGTCATGTTCCAGTGTTAAAAGTTGGAAACTAGGCCGGGCGCGGTGGCTTGCCTGTACAACCGGCACCTTGGGAGGCCGAGCGTGGGTGGATCACTTGAGGTCAGGAGTTTGAGACCAGCCTGGCCAATGTGGCAAAACCCTGTCTCTACTAAAAATACAAAAATTAGCCGGGCGTGGTGGCACATACCTGTAATCCCAGCTAATCAGAAGGCTGAAACACGAGAGCCACTTAAACCTGGGAGGTGGAGTTTCAGTGAGCCTGGGTGACAGAGACTCTTCCCTCCCCTCAAAGAAACCCCCAAAACAACAACAAAAAAAACCCCCAAAAAAACAAAAACAAAAAACAAACAACAAAAAAAGTGGAAACTACTGATTCTTTCATGTGTCCTGCCAGATGAAATCTTTTTCTGCGCAAACCTTAGACTAGAGCTGGCATCTCCTGCCATCTCTGTTCAAAGGTTTCTCCAATGTACTGTTACTGGGGAAGGTTGGGTTTTCACCCTGGCCCACTCTGGTAAATGTGTACCATTTTTGTATGTGGCAATTGCACTTGTACACCAGGCTTAGTTAAGTGCCAGGGAAGTTGTAGATGCTTCACTTGTGTAATAATGAAAGAACACATGTAGCAAAATGTGGCAAGATGTATTTTTTTGTGCATATGTGGTTTTTCTTTTTTCTTTATTGGCCTATTCTAAGGAATGGGTGCTTGTTTCTCCTGCAGTTTTCATAAAAAATGAGAGCTGGTTCATTGTTAGTGATTCAACTTTTTGACTAAGAAATTTCCCACTTCTTTTTCAAGCTTTTGAATCCGTTTAATTAAAGAGCATCCTGAAATTGCAAGGTGAGCTTTTTATCTATTTATCTGTGAGAGGTTTAAGCTGATGCTTTGTAAGTAGAACAGAAATGCAGAAACAAATTGGATTTCAAGGTTGATGTAATGCTCCATCCCAATTTCCAGTTACTGTTTTGTTCATCAAACAGCCTCGTCGTTTCCTTTGATTGTCTTTTTAATAAGAAATGGGCATGCATTCCAAATTAAAAGATAAATTTATGCTAATGTTGACTTCAGCTCTTTTATGTATTAAGGTTTTGTGAAATGTTTTGTTTGCAAAATGGGTCCTCCTGTTTCAGATGGGGGAATGAGGAAGAGAGACACTTCCTACATCACAAAAAACCTCTTGGTTTCCAGGAATGGTGAATTTGGACCTTATAAATGGGATCTGGGATCACAAATGGGCGTGGGTTTCACTGCTTTGGCTACCAGTGGAGGAGTAGGAGTCATATCTTGGTTGTCAGGGAGGTGGGTGATGTCTTCTGAATAAATTGGTGGCATTTGGGAGCAAGAACACAGAATAACCAAGGGGAGGTGAGATTATACCACATGCCAGTGGTTGATGATCTGGGCATATATGGCATGGGTGATTATTTGAACAATATCTATATTTTATGCTTATTTTTAACTCCATGAGAGTGGGGTCTCTGAGGAGGAGGTGGTGGTGGTGTGTGTGTTCTTTATATCCCAGGTGCCTGGCCTCAAGGTATTTGTTGAGTGAATGCATGAAGGGATGAACCTTCATAAGGGTTCATTCTGCTATTATATTATGCAGAAACAGAGAGAGGTAAGCTTATTTTATACAATATCAGGGAGAAGGCTGGAGAGCCAGTGTCAGGAACAGTTTCCTGAAGTCAGAGCTCTCAAACATTGAGGTTGGCTGCCTGTGGAGGAAGGGAGTTCAGGTAAAGGGTGAGCAGTAGAAATATTGTAGAGGACATTCAAAGATTTTTAACTGGTAGTTAAACCAGATGATCCTAAAATGCTATTTATATTCTGAGACTCCATTAAATATTTGAGCACCTACTGTTTCCATAACAATGTGAGCATCACAGCAGACAGATTCAGCAGTGTGAGAAACGAGATGACTACCCATGCTGGAGTATTCCAATCTCATGGTGGTGGTGGTAAAATAAAAATTAAAAAAGAAAAAAGTTGGCAAATAACATTATAATTCTATACAATAAAATGCAGGATATTTAAGCTATTTATTCATTCAATAAATATTTGAATGCCAATAAACTTCATAAGTGTCAGCATCACCATTGTAGTTGAAGAGAGAACAACACAATTTTTTAGGAGAAGGTGGAGTTGAGCTACACCGTAAAGACTTTATGGGACTGTGGGCCGGGCATGATGGCTCACATCTGTAATCCCAGCACTTTGGGAGGCTGAGGCGGACAGATCACTTGAGGTCAGCAGTTCGAGACCAGCCTGGCCAACACGTGAAACCCCGTCTCTACCAAAAATACAAAATTTAGCCAGGCGTGGTGGTGCATGCCTGTAATTTCAGCTACTTGGGAAGGTGAGGCACAAGAATTGCTTGAACCCAGGAGGTGGAAGTTGCAGTGAGCCAAGATCATGCCACTGTACTCCAGCCTGGGTGACAGACTGAGACTCTGTCTCAAAAAAAAAAAGAAAAAAAAAAAAGGCTTTATGGGACTATATTGGTGAACTCTAGAGCATCCAGTGAGGGGCTGTGGGATGAGTGAAAGCTAATTTCTAAGAATCACGAGGTGTGCTCTGAGGACAAAGAGGAAACCTTAGGGAAGTGGCACCAAGTGAAACCAGAAAGGAGACTGGGATCATATTGTGGTTGACCTTAAATATTACCTTAGTGTTGAGGAGTCACCTGTGTAACTGAGGAGAGAGGAGGAGGTGTGCATGACTCCAGCAGGTTGGAAAAAGCCAGTGCCTCTGCCAGACAGGAATGTGGAACGGGTGGAAAGTGGTGTGATCTTAGATGTGTAGAGTGTGATATTTTGGAAATCCTATTGGAAACAGTCAGTCAGGAAGGATGTCCTAGCTAAGAAGACATTTGAAGTTTTGAAAGTGGCTCATCTATTTCCTGATTGATACATACCATTAGTTCAGTTTGGGTCTATTATTTTTTGGGTCCAGTTTTTTTTTTAAAATGAATTGATAGGCATGTTTACCAGAGTGCTATTACTTTGTTTTTGGAGATGTCACTTTCTCATTTTTACCTGAATTGTGACTTACTTTGCCACTGTTGTGGAAGCGTTCTTACATTCTGACTTCACAGTACAAGATGTCACTTGATGTCACCAAGAGTTAAGAAAAGCTATTTTAAGTATGCTGGAAAAGGAATCTATTTCAGTGTTTGCGGGAGTCACTATTTTGAAGCAAACTAAGAATTTCTAAGGAGCTTGGAGACTTGCACATCTTCTGATATTGGGAGGTCTTAGGTTAAAAGACTTTTTTATTTGGATTCATTAATTGAGTGTAGGTCATTGTTAATGGAAAATCGTTGAACACTTAATAAATACAGCTATGTTTAAAGTTCTTAAAAATTTAAATACAGATTAGGAAGCCCAAATTTCAGAGGAACTGGTAGAGGATTTGTGCTTTGTTTTTAATGTTTTAAACAGCCCTGTGGTTATAGTTTAGAAAGGTCATAGTTTTGACGGTCCTCTATTAAAAGAAAGTGATTTTTCCATCAGAATACAGTTGAGTGCCACAGTGTATAGAGAAGCCATAGCTAATACTTTAAAATGTTTTACTTTTAAAATTTCAAAACAAACTGTAGGTTTTAAAAGTTTTCTCTCTCACAGTTTTAACCCAATCTGAGAAATAAAAAAGTAAAAAAAAATAAATGTATAATTTTGATCTCTCTAGGCTGAGCCCCTAGAGTGTAGCCCTTTATTCCTTGAAGGAGGCATCCCTTTAGTGAGTTTAAATTTATGAAGCCAGTCCCATGAAGGCTGCCTACTCATGTCTCCCTTGCCTTCAGTCTGTGTGTGCTTTGCTTTTAATTTGAGAAATAATCACTTGGTTGTGGTCTTGTGGACCAAATACTGTGTTATCTATAGACAAATTGAAATGTACTTTAAACATTATTTTATTATTTTTGACAAAAATTATACATATTTATGGCATACGGTGTGATATTTAAGTGATGTGTAATGGTCAAATTAGGGTAAGTAGTATATCAGTCACTTCAAACATTTTTCATTTCTTTGTATTGGGAACATTAAAAATTTTCTCTTCCAGCCATTTGAAAATACACAATACATTAGTATTTGTTTTCACCCTACAGGGCCTTAGACCACTAGAACTTAATTCTTCCTATCTAGCTGTAATTTTGTGTCTGTTAACCAATCTCTTCCTACCTTCCCCTTCCCAGTCTCTGGTAAGCACTGGCTTACTCTCTACTTCTATGAGATCAACTTTTTATTTTTATTTATTTATTTATTTTTTGAGACAGAGTCTTGCTCTGTCGCCCAGGCTGGAGTGTAATGGTGCGTGATCTCGGCTCACTGCAGCCTCCACCTCCCGTGTTCAAGTGATTCTCCTCCCTCAGCCTCCTGAGTAGCTGGGATTACAGGTGTCTGCCACCATGCCTGGCTAATTTTTTTGTATTTTTAGTAAAGATGGGGTTCACCTTGTTGGCCAGGCTGGTTTTGAACTCCTGACCTCAAGAGATCCCCGCCTTGGCCTCCTAAAGTGCTACGATTACATGTGTGAGCCACCGCCCCCGGCCAAGATCAACTTTTTAATTTAGTTATTTTTTTTTTTTTTTTTTTGAGACAGGTGCTCTGTTGCCCAAGCTGGAGTGCAGTGGTGTGATCTTGGTTCATTGCAGCCTCCACCTCCCATGCTCATATGTTTCTTCCACCTCAGTGTCCTGAGTAGCTGAGACCATAGACCCATGCCACCATACCTGGCTTTTGTTTTTTTGGTAGAGATGGTTCTCCCTGTGTTGCCCAGGTTGGTCCCAAACTCCTGGGCTGAAGCAGTCCTCCTTCCTTGGTCTCCCAAAAAGTGCTGGGATTACAGGCATGAGCCACCACAGCCAGCCAGATCAACTTTTTTAGCTTCCATGTACAAGTGAGAACATGCTGTATTTATCTTTCTGTACCTAACTTATTTCACTTCACATAACGTCCTCCAGGGTCATTCATGTTGCCTGAATAGTATTCAATTGTGTGTATAGACCACGTTTTCTTTACCTGTTCATCAGTTGCTGGACACTTAGATTGATTCCAATATTTTGTCTATTGTGAATAAGGCCGCAGTGAACATGGGAACGCAGATATTTCGTTGATGTGCTGATTTCTTTTCCATTGGGTGTATATGCAGCAGTGGGGTTGCTGGATGTATGATTGTTCTGCTTTTTTTAATTTTTTTTTAATTTTTTTTGAGAGAGTCTCACCCTGTCACCCAGGCTGGAGTGCAGTAGCACGATCTTAGCTCACTGCAAAGTCCACCTCCTGGGTTCAAACAATTCTTGTGCCTCAGCCTCCCAAGTAGCTGGGAGTACAGGTATGTGCTACCATACCTGGCTAATTTTTGTATTTTTAGTAGAGACAGGTTTACCATGTTGGCCAGGCTGGTCTCGAACTCCTGGCCTCAGGTGATCCACCCGCCTCTGCCTCCTAAAGTGCTAGAATTACAGGCTTTTTATTTTTTGAAGAAACTTCATTCTGTTTTCTATAATTGCTGTACTAATTTGCATTCCCACCAGGGGTGCACAAGAAGAGTTCTCCTTTCTCCACATCCTCACCAGCATCTGTTATTTTTTGTCTTTTTGGTAACAGCTATTCTAACTGGGGTGAGATGACATCACAGTGTGGTTTTGATTTGCGTTTTTCTTATGAATAATGATGTTGAACATATTTTCATATGTTTCTTGGCCATTTGTATGTCTTCTTTTGAGAACTCTCTATTTAGATCATTTTCTCATTTTTAAATTGGATTATTTGGTTTTTGTCTGTTGCGTTTCTTATATATCGTATATTTTACTCCCTTGGTGGATGAATAGTTTGCACATATTTTCTCCCATTCTGTAGTTGTCGCTTCACTTTTTTCATTGCTTCTGTTGCTGTGCAGAAGCTTTTAGTCTGATATAATTTTATTTGTCTATTTTTGCTTTTGTTGCATGAGTTCTCAGCCATAAAATCTTTGCCCAGACCAATGTCGGGAAGCCTTTTTCCTGTGTTTGTTTGTAGTAGTTTCAGAGTTTTGGCCTTACATTTAAGTCTTTAATCCATTAGAGATGATTTTTATATATGGAGAGACATAGGGGTCTACTTCCACTCTGCTGCCCATGGTTACACTGTTTCCTCAGTGGTGTTTGTTGAAGAGACTGTATGTATGTTCTTTTTGCCTTTGTTGAAAATCAGTTGGCTACATGTATGTGGATTTATTTCTGTTCTTTTGGTCCATGTGTCTGTTTTTATGTCACTCCCATGCTGATGCTGTTTTGGTTACTGTAGCTTTGTTTTTTGTTTCTGTTTTTGTTTTTTTGTTTGTTTTTGTTTTTAGTAGACGGAGCCTCACTCTGCCACCCAGGCTGCCCAGGCTGGAGTGAAGTGGCGCCATCTCGGCTCACTGCAATTTCCGCCTCCCAGGTTCAGGCCATTCTCCTGCCTCAGCCTCCCAAGTAGCTGGGACTACAGGCACCCGCCACAACGCCTGGCTAAGTTTTTTTTGTATTTTTAGTAGAGACGTGGTTTCACTGTGTTAGCCAGGATGGTCTTGATCTCCTGACCTTGTGATCCACCCGTCTTGGCCTCCCGAAGTGCTGGGATTACAGGCATGAGCCACCGTGCCCGGCCTGCTTTGCGTTTTTTAAAGTCAGGTAGTGGGATGCCTCTAGCTTCGTTTATTTTGTTTAGTGTCACTTTGGCTATTTGAGGTCTTTTGTGGTTTCATATAAATTTTAGGATTTTTTTTCCATTTCTGTGAAGAATGTCCTTGGTGTCTAGATAAGGATGCATTCGATCTGTAGATCACTTTGGGCAATAGGAAATGTACTTAATTTTTATTTAGAAAGTTAAGCAAAAATATCAACCAGTATTAAAAATGTTTTAAATATGTGTTAGACATTTAGACATCTTTAAAATCTTTTAAATATATGTAGACATTTATATTTAAAACATTTAAAAATACATGTCTATGTTTAGTTATGTTTATGCCTGCATGATTTAAAGAAAGAAATGATCTGGGTCCAATGAGATAACTTGTTAATAAACTGTTTATCATTCATAATCAGCCTTGTTACCCTAGAATAGGACACTTATTTTAATGTCTGACTTGGTTTCTTTTAAATTTATGGCTTTTATTTCTTTTTTTCCCTTAATCTTCTGACTACTCATTGTTAGAGAACTTCTTGATATTTTCAATTAGTTTCCAGAGCTTCTGCTCTGGTTAGCTGTTTTTTTAGCGCCAACTCTGAAATAATTTCCCAGGTTCCTGGTCCTTCCTCTGAGAGATTTAGTCCTTCATCCCATGTAGCGGAGCAAAAGGAGAGAGGTCATTGGCCTCACATTACTTTTCTATGTTGGTTGACTTAATATTATTACTTTTCCCAAGAAGGAATACATTTTTACAGTAGGAAAACTTTTTTTTTCTTTTCTTGAATTTAGCTGTTTGCCTTTGAAAGCTAGATCAAGCATACAAACACATGTATGTATGAGTATACATGTTCTCATGTTTCCCTGTTTATAAACTTTTCCTATAAGGATAGCCTAGGTAGTACATTCTTAATGTTTGCTATAGTTTTATATCTTGAATAAGTTAGTTCAGGAAAAGATTTGCTGACAATAGATGATAAATTCGTAGCTTGTGATGCAACATCATTTTAAAAAGCAAGTTTAAAAATTAAAGTTATTAGAAAAAGATGCAAAATGGTTTCTCCACATTCACCCTAGTTGGTTTCTCCCATAAACTGAGAATCTTGGAAGCTGATCTCCGGAGAATGTGGACGAGAAAACTATGTTTTAAACCTTTTTTTTATTCTACAGGAAATGAATTTGTTTGCCCTTTTTCCTGTGGTGCCATTGTGTCTGAATTTTCTTTCTGTTCTTATAATAGGCAGAATGAATAAGAAAGCCACACATTTGCGAATCCTCTGGATGCTGTGTGGGGCTATGCTGTGAGGTTGAATAATTATGATTAATTGTAAGCTGGACCATGTGCATTTCAGAGAGTGGGTAGTAATTAAGTAAGAGTTAATGATTTTACCATTGGGCTACTGGTATGTATTTATGATACATAGCTCTATTATTCCTACAAGATATACTTCGTAATTGCACAGATGTTGTTGAACTCCAATTTCAAGCCATAAAAGTGTTTTGGGGCTGCTTTCTTTTTATATATCTTTGTAATTCACTAGCAAGCCCTAAGAAAGGTGATACTAAAAGCTGAATCAAAAAGAAAGCAGGTGGTCAGTGTGTGTGTATGTGCACACAGGTTAATCAGGAGGGGAATTTGCTTTTTTGATTTGTTGTTCACTTTGCTATGTTTTAAATGTATTTTTATAAAAGTGCAAAGATACACTTATTTTAATGCTTTAAAATAACTTGAAATGATTGAGCAATCGTAGGCTAGTTCTGAGCATGCCTTTAAATTCAGGAAAAAAGGGTTACTTTGTATGTTGGACTTTAGGTAGAAATATTTATTAATATTTGTACTGTTTGTAGCTTTGGTTGATTTATGGTCACCTATGTAGGTTTAGGTTTTGTACACTGTGGATAATTATATATGTTAACTTTTTAAAAGATTAATTTTTATTGAAGATACAGAGAAACAGTAACTAGCATTATTTATTTGATTGGCTGTTCAACTTACTTTATCACCTCTTCAGCTGTTTTCCAGTCCACAATTGCTCAATTATTTCACAGGCAAGTAAGTTATACCTTCATATTTTCCCAAAATGAGAATAATGATATCCATCTTGCAGCATTGCTATGATGACTAGCAACAGTGGTTTTTATTCATTGTGTCTGGTACTATATACCAGCATTAAGAAGCTTTCTGCAGCCATTAGCTCATAAAACCTCACTATAGCCCTCTAGGGTAAGAATTGTTGCCCCAGTTTTCCAGATAAGGAAATTAATCATCAAGGTTCACATGGCTTTGCCAAAGTTGGGTGAAATTCCTAAGGAGCTGAGCTAGGACTGTGCATGTAGAGCACCAGACATTGTGCCTCTCACACGATTGTCATCTTACACGTCCATATCGATCCTTTGGAAAAAGTAGGTAAAGAGCTACTTTTTATTTTTTCTTTTTCCTAAGTGTTTTTTAACCTTCCGTTGTATTAGGCTTTAAAAACAAAATGGTTGTCCTCTTCCTAAAGAATAATTTCTCTCTGATAGGGAAAATGTGTGTATATTTCAATATTTTGGTGGTATATTTGGAATAGGATTTGTTAAAATTGTTTTTAATTATTATTATTTTTCATATTAAACACAGCTTTCAAACACTTAGGCATAAACATACAATTAAATACACACATTTCTAGCCTATGGTTATGTTTCTGTATAGGTTATATACTGCATGAACAGATGCATACTACATTTCAGTGTCTTTATTAGAAATGTATCACAGCTGGGCACGGTGGCTCACGCCTGTAATCCGAGCACTTTGGGAGGCCGAGGCGGGCGGATCACGAGGTGAGGGGATCGAGACCATCCTGGCTAACACGGTGAAACCCCGTCTCTACTAAAAATACAAAAAATCAGCTGGGCGTGGTGGCGGGTGCCTGTAGTCCCAGCTACTCGGGGCGGGGGGGTAGGGGGGGCGCTGAGGCAGGGGAATGGTGTGAACCTGGGAGGCGGAGCTTGCAGTGAACCGAGATTGCGCCACTGCACTCCAGCCTGGGCGACAGAGCAAGACTCCGCCTCAAAAAAAAAAAAAAAAAAAAGAAAGAAATGTATCACATTTATTTCCCATCTTCATGTACGTGGATGAAAATAAATTCAGCAGTTTTTAGCTCTCTCCCGTCCCCATTTCATTATGGAAAATTGCGTACGGGGCCTTAGGAGTCAACAGGATTTTTGTGGTTGGTTCAAGATCCAGATTTTTTCCTAGACAGCCTATAATTGTATTCCGATTTGCCTTATGAGAAGTCTAGAAGGAAGGGATTCTAAAATAGTATTAATCTTGTGATTTGTCAAGTTAATTTTTCTGGTCATATTTGAAATTAAATTTAAAAGGCATCAGAAAATCCCGAAATTACTCCTGCATGTGTCTTTTCCTTGCCTTCCTTGGTGTATGCTCTGCGTTCCTTTTGATGGTTTGGTTTTGATCTGTTCTGCCTTCCAGTTCGGATAGTACATGGTTAGGTAATGCCTAACCAAGGGTTAGTAAACTAAGTCAGCTAAAATGTTTCTAAAATGTCATACTAAAGGTACAAAGTTGTGATGGAAAACATTTATTTATATGTATGTTACCTTATGTTGTAGAAGTAGCTAGTAAACAGAGAATACCTTTGAAAGCTATAATTAATTTTACCAGCCATCACAGTTTTCCTTTATCCGAGCACTGAAGCATTAATACATGTAAGAATAAACTGGCCCTTATTCTGCCTCACTCAAGGTGCATGATTTTCATCTATTTTTGGGACTGAGTTTGGAATGCATCGTTAACATAGACCGGTTTCAACTCTGCTAAACTGTTCAAAGACTAGAATATTTTCAGCAACTAGGTATTTTTTAAAAAGGAAAAGAAAGCAACTTACTTTTTCTGTCATTGCATGAATGTATTTCCCTGGGAGCTGCTTACTTTCTAAAATCATTAAGAGCTGAAAATTTCAAACTCCCCCCCACCTCTCCCCATCACCACACACCACCCTTTACAGACATAAATAGGTCTTGTATATTTTCAGTAATCAAAAGCTGTGGGTACTTCTAATTGTTCTATTGCATATCAAACTTTATAAAACTTAGAGTATACCTACTAGTTAATCATACATACACAATGTTTAGCAGTTTAATTTTGCTCAGAAACAATAAAGATTATAAACTGAAATAAAACAAAATGCTGTCAGCAACCACATTATATATATATTTCAAAAAAGGAAACTCCTAATCTGTCTAGCGTATTCTAGGAACTCCATATTTCACCCACGATCATACTGGCTCCTGAGAATTTTCCTCACACTGATTCTTGGTTACAGGCATGCTTATTTTTCCTTCTTTGATTAACTCAGGTCCACACGTAACCCTTTTTGGGTTACTGGGTCATCTTCCTAACTGCTCTAAGCCTAGATTTCTGTTTAATATTAGAGTATTCTGTTCCCATAATGTCCGACCAATTCTTGATGAGTACTGGCATTTTTAAATTTTTTAAACAGTGACAGAATGTAGTGACAGTTTTTCTTTGTATGTATCAGAGCATTTCTTATGATAATAGCTGTATCGGTGGCCTCCTAATCAAGAGCATTCAGCAACTTTCACGTTCCCTGGATGGTTTGCTAGGTACCTGGATTATTGATTGGAACTTCAGGAGAGTTTAATGACTCTCATCCTTCTTGCCACATGCCCTAGCCGATATATTTAATATTACTTCCAGTCGTTGCCAATAGAATGCACTTTAAATAGTGTAGGAATATACTACCAGAGATTAGAGTAGATGTGGATGAATCTATCATGAATAACCAGAGCTTCAATAAAAGGCCCCTTTGGTATAAAATTCTGAACTTTGAAACAGTTGGCCTCCGCCTAAGTTTTGGTATATTTCCACTAGCTAGAAATTTCACTACTCTTAATAAAAATAATTCTGCAGAAGGTTTCCCAGCCTTTCTGACGGTAATGTCAAATGATTTTTCTCGTCTCATAGTTTATTGCCTAGCACTTTGTAACATTCTGCTAATTTCTGCTGGTTTTAAAAACACGATCAAGAGAGTGAAGTAAGAGGCTGGGCGCACTTTGGGAGGTTGAAGTGGGAGAATTGCTTGAGGCCAGGAGTTTGAGACCAGCCTGCACAACAGGTTTTTTGTTTTGTCTCGACAAAACAAAAGATAAAAATAACAGGACATGGTGGCTAGATAGCCCTAGCTACTATGGAGGCTGAGACGGGAGGATCACTGGAGTCCAGGAGTTCAGGAATACAGCGAGCTATGATTGTGCCCCTGCACTCCAGTCTGGGTGACAAAGGGAGACCTTGTCTCTAAACAAACAAAAAGAGGGAAGTAAGTACTCAAGACCTCGATCTCTTCTTACGCTCCTTAACCAACTGGCTCTGTATCTCAGGAGTGTGGTATACTTCTAAGAGCAGGTTTCAGTATCCACACAGTCTTGACAGTATTGAGATTGGTGGTGTTTGCCTTGCATTGTTTGAAATTTCCATTTTTACAAAACCTGCCCTACAGACTTTCTCATGCTAAATTATTGGAGCTTATATTTATCTACTGGTGATAATTTTGGCCTGCTTTTGACAGAGGAATCTTATTTTAATGTTGTGTGAATATTAATTAATTTTAGACTCATAATTAATTGACAAAAATAACTGAGTTGAAAATGTACCTGGGGATTCTAAATTTTAAATAGAATTGTTAGTTTTAAAGATGTCTATGCCATTGCTTTAGAGGAAATACTGACTTGAGTCCAAAATTAGTCGAATTATGAATGACTTATTCATTCCTGGAATCTTAGGATTGTAAAGATTTTTTAAATGTTCTGGGCCTTTTGATGCATCTGTTAACAGGGGTTATCTAGTCAGTTGAGAGAAAATCTGAAGATGCCCAAGGTCCTCATATTGGTTGGTGCAGTATTTGCGTATCACCTATTTCTACTCTCCTGTAGACTGTAGATGATCTCTAGATTACTTGTAATACCTAATACAATATAAATGCTATGTAAATTGTTGCTATACCCTGTTAGTTTTAAAAATTTGTAGGCTGGGTGCGGTGGCTCATGCCTGTAATCCTAGCACTTTGGGAGGCCAAGGCGGGTGGATCACCTGAGGTCAGGAGTTCGAGACCAGCTTGGCCAACATGGAGAAAGCCCATCTCTACTAAAAATACAAAATTAGGCGAGCGTGGTGGCAGGCACCTGTAATCCCAGCTACTCGGGAGGCTGAAGCAGGAGAACTGCTTGAACCTGGGAGGTGGAGGTTGCAGTGAGCCAAGATCGGGCCATTGCACTCCAGCCTGGGTGACAGAGTGAGATTCCGTCTCAAAAAAAAAAAAAAAAAAGTATTCTTTTTTACTGTATTCTTTTGTTCTGAATATTTTCAATCTGAGATTGGTTGAATTCATAGATGCAGAATGCATGGATACAGAGAGCTGATTGTGGTGGTGCCTAAGAACTAGATGGCTCTAGGAAGGTTTTTTGTCCTTTTTAAATATATGTAATGGAGAATACAATGATTTCCATCTTTCCCAACGTTTGTATTATCTCTTACGCTATATACGTTGTCAAGAATCTATGGGTGCGGGTAGTAATTGTGGAAGAGCGAGGCAGAAATCATGGAGAAACGGTTGTGGGTGGCTGTCAGTCTATTTTAATTCTAGTATGTTTTACCAGCATGGAATTCAGAAGAACTGAAATCCCCTGCTCTGATGGCTGCAGCATCCTGTGCTGGGACCGTGCAGCATTGAGAGGCTTGACACATGTCAGTATGTGGAAGAGTTTGGAGAGCAGCCAGCAAGAGGAGTGAGCCCCTAAGAACAAACAAGACTCTTCCTCAGGATTACTCAGGGCTGGCTGCATGATTTGCAGGACACAGTGCAGAATGAAAGTGCAGGGCACTTTGTTCAAAAATTAAGAATTTCAAGACATTGACAACAGAGCTTCAAAATAAATAAATAAATACATAAATGGGAGATCTGTGCTGATGCCAGGGTGGGTGGTATCCACAAAGCCTGCTCTGATCTGATGTTAGGTGAAAGAAAAGCACCTAAATGTTTCTCACAAAGCTTTGGTTCTTAATTCTAATATGAGACAACAGAATGGCGTGGGAGTTGACTTAGCCCTAAACATTCTAGATCTTTAAAGTTTTCGTTGGTCCTTCCACAGACTGCAGACTGAGCTCACAGGAGTGTGTCCATGATGCAAACAGAAGTATCTTATAGGTGCCAAAGGATGGACTTACCTTTTCCTGCCTTTTACCAACATATTTGCAACAGAAAAAGGATCATGTGAACAGATATCACCTAGGGTAGCTGTCATTTGGAATTTGTGTAATTATTAGAATTTGTACAAAACACAGAATATCCCTTTTTTTAAATCCATTCATTCTACATTTGCACTCTTTTCCCTCCCACTATCCCAGGAAGTTACTTAATTATTCAGTGGCTCTTCTAGCTGTTATGCATTAAGAATTCCTATTGTTGGCACAAAATCCATCATTTAAGCCTCATCTTGAGGAGGTTGTCATCTTCTTATTTCTGATATGTCTGTGAAATACTGCATTTTTTAGCATATTTGTGTGTACCCTGGAGGGTTGTTTGCAAATACATATTGCCTGTGTTGTGCATTTATCTGTAAAATGCCGGAATTTCTTACACTTTTAATGGGTCTTGAGTAATGACTTTGTGGGTGGGATAGGGTGAAGCTCTGTCAGTTTCGAAATCTGTAAGGTGAAGAAAACTTGGTACTAGTTTTCCAGGAACTTAGATGGGCCCCCAAAGATTAAGATTTGTGCTGAAACACATTTCTCAACGTGGCCTCTCATCTTATGCATCTATCTACAAATCTGGACAGCTACTTACATGCTCATGCTCCAGCTGTGTTTGGCTGTCTTTTTTTTTTTTTTTTTTTTTAAGACAGAGTCTCTCTCTGTCACCAGGCTGGAGTGCAGTGGTGTGATCTCGGCTCACTACAGCCTCCACCTCCTGGGTTCAAGCGATTCTCCTGCCTCAGCTTCCTGAGTAGCTGGGACTACAGGCGTGCACCACCATGCCCAGCTAATTTTTGTATTTTTAGTAGAGATGGGGTTTCACAATGTTGGCAGGATGGTCTCGATCTCTTGACCTTGTGATCTGCCCGCCTTGGCCTCCCAAAGTGCTGGGATTACAGGCGTGAGCCACCATGCCCAGCCAGAGCTGTCTTATTGATAGACAGACTTTTTTTTTTTTTTTTTTTTTTTTGAAGACACGGGGGTCTCACTATGTTGCCCAGGCTGGTCTTGAACTCCTGGCCTCAAGTGATCCTCCTGCCTCAGCCTCCCAAAAGGCTGGAATTATAAGCATGAGCCACTATGCCAGGCTGATGCTCCAACTTTTATAAAAATGTAGCTTCTTTATTTTCCAAGTCCCAGAAAAAACCAACCAACCAAAAGAAATCTTTGAAAATCATGCTCCACAGCATGCAGATTTGAGGAGGGGAACTGGATCCGGCAGGCATGATTTTTCCACTTGCCTCCAGCCTCATCTTTCTCCTCCTCTGGGTGACTCTGCCTGAGTTTGTGGTGCCTATACTGCCTTTCTCTGCACCCGGAGCACGTGACTGTACACACCTGCACACATCTGTAGACATACGCTGTTTTAGTCAGGGTTCTATTAAAGGGACAGAACTACACACACACACACACACACACACACACACACACACACACACACACACACACACATTTCCCTTTATATATGTATAGTAATATAGATATATGTAGTTCTGTATATATATAAAGAACTAATAGGATATATCTATATAAAGGGGAGTTTTTCCTCATATATATATATAGAAGATATATATATATAGGAGATATAGATATAGGAGATATATATATATAGGAGATATATATATATAGGAGATATAGATATAGGAGATATATATATATAGGAGATATATATATATAGGAGATATATATATAGGAGATATATATATAGGAGATATATATATAGGAGATATATATATAGGAGATATATATATAGGAGATATATATATATAGGAGATATATATATATAGGAGATATATATATAGGAGATATATATATAGGAGATATATATATAGGAGATATATATATATATAGGAGATATATATATATATAGGAGATATATATATAGGAGATATATATATATAGGAGATATATATATATAGGAGATATATATATATAGGAGATATATATATAGGAGATATATATATATAGGAGATATATATATATAGGAGATATATATATAGGAGATATATATATATAGGAGATATATATAGGAGATATATATATATATAGGAGATATATATATATATATATAGGAGATATATATAGGAGATATATATATATATTTAAGAGTATTTTTGGCAGGGCACAGTGGCTCACGCCTGTAATCCCAGCACTTTGGGAGGCCGAGGTGGGCGGATCATGAGGTCAGGAGATCGAGACCATCCTGGCTAACATGATGAAACCCCGTGTCTACTAAAAGTACAAAAAATTAGCCAGGCGTGGTGGTAGGCGCCCTGTAGTCCCAGCTACTCGGGAGGCTGAGGCAGGAGAATGGCGTGAACCCCGGAGGTGGAGCTTGCAGTGAGCTGAGATTGCACCACTGCACTCCAGCCTGGGTGACAGAGCCAGACTCCGTCTCAAAAAAAAAAAAAAAAAAAAAAAAAAAAAATTTCATTTTGGGGCTGTTTCAGATCAGTGGCATACCTAGTGTAGTTGACATCCGGCATGGATTATTTTTACACCACCCTAGTGTACAACAAAATTATTTTCATTAATAATTAGAGCAGGAAACATATAATAATAATCACCAGAAGAGAAACTCAGTGAAAGTTTTCCCTTAGTGAATCTACAATTTTTAATTCTATCAGTTAAAAATAAATATTACTGTACAAAGAAGGAAAAAAGAAATGGACTAATAGGTTTTAGTAACATTGAGATTTTTTTTGAAAAGTGAAAAATGTAAACTTATATATTGATCTGTCCAGTAATGAGTAATAGCATTGCAGTTTCTCTTTTGAGTCTTCTGCAAATTTATCAGTGACTTTGTCAGAATTTATCTCTGCCGTATATTCGCATTCAGTAGACGGTATAGCGAGATTTGTCAATATCTTTGTTGCTTATAGTTCAATAAAGTACACTTTTATTTTTTATAATTTTAATCTTGAAAATATATATGTAATATAGAACTAATAGGATCTCTATATATTTTATATATCATATACATCTTTATGTATCATATATATCTTTATATATATTTTATATATCTTTATATATATATAAATAAAGGAGAGTTTATTAAATATTAACTTACACGATCACAAAGTCCCATAATAGGCCATCTGCAAGCTGAGGAGCAAGGAGAGCCAGAGTCCCAAAACGGAAGATCTTGGAGTCTGATATTTGAGGGGAGGAAGCATCCAGCATGGGAGAAAGATGTGGGCTGGGAGGCTAGGCCTGTCTCTCCTTTTCATGTTTTTCTGCCTGCTTTAAATTTGTTGGAAGCTGACTACATTTCGCCCACCATATTAAGAGTGGATCTGCCTTCCCCAGCTCAGAGTCAAATGTTTATCTCTTTTGGCAACACCCACACAGACACACCCAGGGTTCATACTTCGCATCCCTCAATCCAATCAAGTTGACACTTGGTATTAACCATCTCATACCCAGTTTCCTTCTCCTCCGAAAACTGGGAAGACTAACAAGAAATTAGTTGTACTTGTTGACTGATGGGTTGCAGTTTGTTTCACTCGGACATTTGCCCTTGCTTTTGGTCCCTGTTTTGTGGCCTGAGGGGATTTACTCACTTCTTAAGAGGATTTTAAGGTAGCAGGTTTTGGGGGGAAAACTGGATGGTTTTTAAATTTCTTGTTCCTGGACGCACCTGGGACTGAAGACACCTTTGACCGTCACCGCCTTACTCCAGGATCTGGTTATGGAGGGATTGGCTGCGTGTCGGACAGTTTTCTCTGTGTACTGTGCCCTTGGTTGCTGTCTGTCATTGAGCTCAGGGCAGTGGCCTAAACCAACTTACTGCCTGCCCATCTTTTTCTTTTTGCTGTGAGTACCACATGCAAATTTAATGTTTTCTGGTACAGTTTTTCTGTTTTCATTCTGTGCTCATTTTCTGCCTCCTCTGATCCTTCTACTCCCTGTCTAATATGTTGGGATGAATATTATGGCCTCACGTACTATTACTTGCCTCTGGTTCTAAAGATCATGGCAAAGAAATGAGTCGTTTGGAGTTCCTAATCAAGGTTCTAGTCTGCATATTGAACTCTGATTGACTTGGAAACCCCTTTGCCCAAACAAAAGATGAAATGTTCCATCCTGAATTCAGCATCTCTTGTTCAATGTGTTCCGTGACTGTTTGTCTTCCTCTTCACATTATTTTGGAACAAATTAGGCAGAAGAGACAATCTTTGCAGATTGAATTTAGGCAAGTTAATAATGTCATTGGGCAAAGAACATTAACCCCTGGGGCTCTTGGAATGTATCAAGTCTTCTGTGCCAAGGGCAGATGCCATCAGGGACAGAGATGAGCTCTTAAGGGACACAAGGACACAACTTAACACCAGAGCTGCGGAGCACCAGGCAGGTGGTTCTGATTTAAACTTGCAGCCCACCAAGGCACTATTGCTTCATTCTGGGACATTTTGACAACCTGTCAGCCAGGGGTAATTTTCTAAGCACCACATTTATTTTTCTGGTATACTCCCTCATGTCTGTTAATTTTGACAGCTGTCCACTGCTCCAGGACTTGACTGTACTTTCTTCTTTCCCTTAATCGCTCTCTACCAAACTATCACTCCAAAGGATAGAACATAATTACATTTTGAAATTTCAAAACCACAGCACTATTATGTGTCAACTATTGTTAACTATCTATAATAACTTTTAAGTACTAATGATGTTACATACACATTTGACATTTTTTGGACCTCAGTTTTGCTTTCTGTTAATTGTGTGCCTACGTGGGCAGTAGAGGCCTTTAAAAAAAATTCAAGAGGATATATAGTGAAGGCTTGAGAAGTTTTTACATGTCTATGAACCTATGTAACTTTCACGCACATGAAGATACAGAACACTTTCTGTATCCAGAAGGCTCGCCTGTGGCCTTCCCAGTCAATATCCTGCCCGATGTTCACACCATAGATTATACATATGTACATTATACATTCTCTCATTGCTGGCTGCTTTTCTCATATTACATCTGTGAGATTCATCTGTGTTGTTGAGTGTAACAGTAGTCCATCTTGTGCAGTATTTTGTCGTATGATTTTTCCACAATTTTCTTTTTTACTCCATTCTAGTGCTGATGGACATTTAAGAGTATTTTCATTTTGGGGCTGTTTCTTATCAGTGGCATACCTAGTGTAGTTGACATCCAGCATGGATTATTTTTACACCACCCTAGTATACAACAAATTTTGTATTTTCATTCATAATTAGAGCAGGAAACATATAATAATAATCACCAGAAGAGAAATTCAGTGAAAGTTTTCCATTAGTGGATCTACAATATTTAATTCTATCAGTTAAAAATAAATATTAAGAAGGAAAAAAAGAAATGGACTAATAGTTTTTAGTAACATTGAAATTTTTTTTGAAAAGTGAAAAGTGTAAACATATATTGATCTGTCCAGTAATGAATAACAGCGTTGCAGTTTCTCTTTTGAGTCTTCTGCAAATTTATCAGCGACTTTCTCAGAATTTATCTCTGCCATATATTCGTGTTCAGTAAGACAGTAGAGTGAGATTTGTCAATATCTTTGTTGCTTATAGTTCGACAAAGTACACTTCTTTTTTTTATAATTTTAATCTTGAAAAATTTCTTTCACATAAAGGAACAATCTCTATACAAGTAATTAGGAAACGTCTTACAGATAAAAGATAATTTTGCCTGAGTTTCATAAACATCTCATTTCACAGTAAATTCCAGGAATTGCAATTTTTTCCCGCTTCTGGGGATTAAACTAGTGAGTTTCAAATGATGTCTCCATAGCTGAAAATTTTAAGCACACATAAAAAGTCCAAGGGCCCATGTAGAATGACAGAATGGAAATAAGTTGTATTTCTTTATCATTGCAATAAACTTTGCTATCATTTTTTAATGATATTTAATGAATTTCAAATGTAGTCGGAAACTGAAGGATTCCATAGTGCCACAGGGATTGGAGAAACAAGCTGTGCTTAGGGCAAGCTTGAATGGTTCTCAACTCTTAGGAGCTTACCTGAAATGAATCTGTGACTCGATACCTGTGGGGTGGGCCGCTCTATAATGAGTTTTCTGAATTAACTTCCATGTGAAAAATAATGTTCACTAAAGCATAAATAACTAGTTACATTTGTGTCATGTAACCTAATATGCTAATTTGAATTTTATTTACTTATTTATTCATGAATGAATGAACGACGGGTTCTCACTTTGTCATCCAAGGTAGAGTGCAGTGGCGCACTTATAGCTCACTGCAGCCTTGAACTCCTGGACTCAAGATCCTCCTGCCTTAGCCTTTTGAGTAGCTGGGACCACAGGCCCCTGCCACTATACTTGGTGCTAATTTTTGCTTTTTTTTTTTTTTTTCTTTGTAGAGATAAGAGTCTTGCTGTGTTGCCCAGGCTGGTCTCAAACTCCTGGCCCTCAGGCGTGATCCTTCTCCTGCCTTTGCCTCCCAAAGCATTAGGATTACAAGGGTGAGCCGCTGTGCCTGGCCTTGAATTTTAAATTGAAATTAAAATTTAGGCTTGGCACAATGGCTCACGCCTGTAATGCGTGCACTTTGGGAGACCGATGCAGGAGGATTGCTTGAGTTCAGGAGTTTGAGACTAGCCTGGGCAACAATAGTGAGACCCCATTTCTACAAAAAAAAAAAAAAAAAAAAAAAAAAAATTAAAAAAATGGGCGGGCATGGTGGCACGTGCTTGTGGTCTCAGCTGCTTGGGAGGCTGAGGTGGGAATTATCACTTGAGCTTGAGAGGTCAAGCCTGCAGTAAGCCGTGATGGTGCCACTGCACTCCAGCCTGAGCAACAGAGCAAGAATCTGTCTCAAAATATTAAAACAAAAACAAAACTTGATGGTAGCCCTACCAAGTATTTAGAACTTACATGAATAAAATGATACTGTTTGGGGAGGAGTCTTTCATCTGTGACATTGTTTGAAATTGCTAGTATGTGGTGATCATAAAAACAAGACTAATTTTCAGACTAATTGTTTTCAGATTTTCAGTCTGTTCCTTAGTGCCTGTATCTGGGTCAGTCAGTCCCCTTACCTCCCTTTCCTTGGCTTAAGGTCCTGCTCTGAACATGTCCCTTTCAATATTCATGTACAGATATTCTGGTGGACACATGGATGCTGTTTTTTCACATCCTCCCTAACACTGGATATTACTGATTTTTTTTTTCATTTCAGACATTCTGCATGTGTTCCATAAATAACAACAATATTCCTCTTCCTTTCCAATCTTTATACCTTTTATTTTAATTAATTAATGGATTTATTTATTTTTGAGACCGGGGTCTCGCTCTGTCGCCCAGGCTGGAGTGCAGTGGTACAATCTTGGCTCACTGCAACCACCATCTCCCAGACTCAGGCGATCCTTCACCTTAACCTCCTGAGTAGCTAGGACTACCGGCTGGTGACACCACGTTTGGTTAATTTTTTTTTTTTTTTTGTATTTTTGATAGAGACAGAGTTTTACCATGTTGCCCAGGCTGGTCTCGAACTCCTGAGCTCAAGCCATCCACCTGCCTCGGCCTCCCAAAGTGCTGGGATTATAGCCATGAGCCACTGAGCCTGGCCCTTTTATTTCTTTTTTATTTCTTGTTCCGCTGGGTAGGATCTCATCACAGTGTCAAATATGGTGACAGTAGCATGTCTCTCTTTGTCTTGTTCATGAGCCTAGAGGAAAGGTTCCAGTTTGACAAATGTAGGCTTCTTTGTAGATACCATTTATCAGATTAAAGAAGTTCCAAGAAGGCCTTTTATTAAAAGGAAAATTTAGTTATGCCATAGTAAATTTAAAACATGGCTTTAATATGATTTCATGAACATGTTGTAGTGGAAAGAAAGGGCATTGCTGTCTTGTAGACCTCAGGTTGAATGTGGGTCTTACTGTCTGTGATCTGGACTTCTGAACCTGCAGAGTAACCAAGTAAGCCCACATAAGGTCATTCGAATTATGAAAGTAAAATGAGAGAATCTCTTCAGTTGTTGGCTATTTTTTTCCTGACATTAATTTGAATGAGGTCATAAAGTAAAATTTTAAAGTTGAATTTTATGTAGACTTGGTTCATTCAAATACTTGAAGATAACAACATTCCTAGTCTGAGTTGTCTCTTAAGAAAGATTTAGTAGGGGTTATGTTTCTCAGTTCCATGCCGGCAGTCTGAATTCTAATTATAAATGCCTGTTCTGTCATAATCTTCCAATGAGTGGAATTGAACTGTTCATATACATTTTATTGATTTATGTCTGTATTTAAAGCTGAGTGATTTAATCATTTTGGACGGTGGAGAGAGCCGTGGAATCGGGTCTGGCTGAAGTGAGGGTTAGCTATCATTTGTTTAACCCTCATGTGTCTGGTGCTGAGTAAGATGAGTTTTAGAGTTTATGAAGGGATTAGGTGACAGCGATGAAAATTCCAAGCCATACTTACGCTAAGAGTTATGATGGAGTCATCTTCGGAATGTGCTGATGACGGAAGTGGGGATGCGGTTGCTTGTGGGTTTTGTTTTGTTTGGGGGAGTGTGGGGAGAGACGGGTGATGGTTGTAGAGAATGGGGAACGCTTTCAGGCATGACCCTTGTGTTGATTGGGTCAGTTTAGCTGCAGGGGAAGGCGCAGGGATATTCCTGGTGTTGGGAGAGGTATCCACACTGGCAGAGGCTGGGGCAGGGTTCTGTGTGTGCAGTTCTGGACCATCAAGGGCAGGGTGGGTAGGGGCTGGACTCTGGAAGGCCATCCTTCATGGTGCTGAGGGGCTTGGGCTTTCAGTCTTGGGAATGCTTTGCCAAGATATGCCGAATCTGAGTGTTCAGATCTGTAACTGCAGGTCTATGGCAGTAGCATTGTCTCCTGTGTTAGAGGCTCTTTATAACTCTTTACTGCTGGTACCCCCAGGACTTACTGATGGCTCTTGAACCCCTGCCCTTGTTTTCCCCAGTTTTCAAATGTATTTGGTAATGGGGTGCAACCCCATTTACTAATGAAGTCCTGGTTTAAAATGAAGCATGCGTAATAATAGTTCAGCTTAATAAATGTTTTGGAAAAAGAGCCTTGTTTACAGACATTCACTCTTCCCTCGATTTAAAAAAATATTTTTTTTCATTCTCATATTGTCAAGAGAGTGCTCTGAAAAGTTACAGTGTAACAGTAATTGAATATTCTATTTATTTTTGCCTTTGAATACTAAGATATATAAGTCAAGGGTGGACTATTCCTTGTCATAAAGCTGAAAGTTTAATTTCAAACTGACATCTGCTGCCAGTTCTGTGTTTCAGTATTTTATTTATATTTAAAATTCCACCTTCCCTATATTTGTAATATCATTTTTTTGTGGTAATTGTGTCTTTGTGTTCTTCCTTTCAGTAGGTGTTATTTATTAGGCTCACTTTTATTCTGCGGGCAACTTCAGAGATCCCTTGTTCCTCAGAACATGCTAGAATTCCTTCTCTTCTTCAGTGTCCTAAGTAGATGATATGAATGTGCATAATTAACTACGTTCTGCAGTTCTCAGCTCAGGAATACTTTTCAGCTCTTACAGATAGACACTTAGGCGTAACAGTTGTTACTTATGAGCTCATTTTAAAAGTAGATAAATGTCTGAATTTTCAAAGACAAAGGGTTTCAGAGTTCTTGATAGTTTCTTATAGAGGTGGGTTTAGAGCCTGTGAGAAAGCCACTACTTCAGAATCTTAACAAATAGTAATTGACACCCAGTGGCAAAAATCAGAATCCGCTTTTCTTTCAACAGCAGATATTTAAGGCTTAATTGCTGACTGAAAGTGCAGTTCGCCCTCCTGCTTCTGGAGACAGTGATGCCCCCAGCCCAGCTCACTGGACAATCAGCCAGGGTCAAGGTGTGGTCCCCATACCCAGAGACGTCATCTTCTCCTCTTCCGATCTCCACGTGTACCCCAGCTTACCCCAGCTTCATCTTCCCTATGCACAGAAAATTAGGATAATTCTAAGAATTGTTTTTCTTGGAAACAATGTTTTCAATATGGCAAAGTGAAAATTGTTTTTCTAAACAAGATATTGGCTGGATGTGGTGGCTTACGCCTGTGGTCCCAGCTACTTGGGAGGCTGAGATGGGAGGATCACTTGAGCCCAGGAGTTGGAGGGTGCAGCGAGCTGTTATTGTGATACTCCTACTCCAGCCTGGGTGACACAGTGAGACCTTGTCTCAAAAATAATAATAATAGTAAATAAATAAAAATTTAAAAAGTTAAAAAAGTAAGATGTTGATGCCAGCAAAACTTATTGGTGATGATTGAAAGCCAAAAATATATTATAAAACACACAAGCAGTATATCAATATTATATTATATATAAATATAAACAAAAACAAAAAAAAGCGCTAAAATTATACTAAAGGAGGAGGTGCAGTTATGCTTCTTGTAGGTCAGGTGCTCTGAGCAGCAGCTGCCATGCCGGTCCTGCCATCACCACAAATCCAAGGCGACTGACAACACCAAACCCTTCCCAACTGTTCTTAACTCTAGTATATTCTTGCTAATGCCTTTCAGTACTAATGTTTTCCCTGCTCCAGCGTAACACCCAGAATCTTTTCCTTGACCATTCTGATAGGAGCCTAGAACCTTCTGTAGTTTTCAGTGTTTCTTTGGTGAGGCAAATTCTTGGAATATCTTTGGCACGGGGGTGTAAAATTTCCACTCGCTATATTTAAGTCTACAGCTGGGAGCAATTTCTTATTGATGTACCTAAAACTAGTTAAATCCCCACTCTCCTTAGCAGTCCCTCTTGAGAGTTATTTAAGATTTAGGTAATATATTACAAATTGTGAGTGCAAATCTCTGCCACTCTCTGAGATTGCTGCACTAAGGAATCACTAGCCCTGCCCTTCCCTGTCTCATCCTCCCAGCGCCTGGAATTGGATTAGCACCTGTGGTGTGTGTTGGCATTTTCTGCAGGGCTGATATGGTCTGGCTCTATGTCCCCACCCATATCTCATCTTGAGTTGAAATCCAAATTGTCATCCCCGTGTGTTGGGGAAGGGAACTCGTGGAGGGTGATGAGATCATGAGAGAAGTTCCCCTATGCTGTTCTTGTGATAGTGTGTGAGTTCTTGCGAGATCTGGTGGTTTTATAAGGGGCTTTCCCCACTTTGCTCTGCACTAATTCTCTCTGGTGCTATCTTGTGAAGAGGTGCCTTCCGCCATGATTGTAAGCTTGCTGAGTCCTCCCTAGCCGTGTGGAATTGTGAGTCGATTAAACCTCTTTTCTTTATAAGTTACCCAGTCTCAGGTATTTCTTCATAACAGTGTGAGATCAGACTAATACAAGGGCTTTAAACATTTGTGTGTTTGTGATAGAAGGAAATTCCATATGCAGGTATGGTCAACTAAGTGAGTACATTTCCTTAAAAAAAAAAAAGTAAAAATTTGGATTTGATGGATATTGCTTACAAACTTGAGTGCTCCCAAAGTTATTTCCACAGGCATGCTGAATCTCATCTGATCTGTAGTGACTCTCACATTTAACTTGAATTAGAGCTTGGGCACAAAAGCAATAATTTGAACAAAGTTTGATTCTTAAAGAGTAATATGGTATCCACTTCCCCACTTCCATTGTTTTTCAAGAAAAAGTTGGTATGCAATACAAGGGTAATATTAAGCTTTTATCTTCATCATTTATTTATTTATTTTTATAAAGACAGGGTCTCACAATGTTGGGGAGGCTGGTCTCGAACTCCTAGGCTTAAGCAATCCTCCCACGTTGGCCTCCCAAAGTGCTGGGATTACAGGTGTGAGTCACTGCACCTGGCTTCATTTATTCAGTATTTGAGGCAGAATAGGAAAAAAGAAAACCAAGGAAATTCTAATGTATAAACTGTGACAGAGTGTTTTTTTTTAACCTAAATAATGAATTCCTTATATTTGAAATAACTAAGTGAAAATAAAATTTTATTTTGTGTCTGTTTCAATGTAAAAGCTTATTTCATTCCACTACAGCATACAGAAACTTTATTCTTTTTCCTAGAAGGTTATAGTACCAGACACCCTTCTTCCTTGAAATAGTTTAGATGGGACTGACTGAAAAGAATCACTGTAATTGGCATGTAGAGTGTCACTGGGTACTCGTTAGGATAAGAAAATGTAGTGAAATCAACTTGAAATTTAACCAAATTGATGGCATTGTGCCTTGTAAGGTGCTTTATGGAATGTAGTCACATTTTATAGTAGACTTAAGTTCTAGTTTTAAGTAAATTTTTTTTATTTTTACATTTTCAAATGACTTTTAACAAATACTCTGAATGAATACTCAGTAAATACTTAGGCCATTAATATTTTGCAATGGAAATTTCTATTGTAGTTTCAGTTCATGAATCTTTGCTCCTTACCCCATCCCACAAGAAAGACTTAAACATTCAATGAGAGGCAAATTTGACTTCTTCAAAGCCGGAATGGAAGAAGGGAGACAGAATGTCACAAACTGTAGTCTGAACTTGACATTGTGATATTCTTAGAGAATGTTTTTACTTTTAAGCCTTAAAAAGTATTCATGTTCTTGAACTGTGGAACTCCAGTCTCAAGTTTGGTTGTTTGGCAAGTAAATTAAGACTAATCATTATAACAGTCCTTTGCTACATGTCTACTGTAGCTGAGCTCTGTCCTGTGTGTTTTAGACATTACCGTATTTAGAAAGAGAATGACTCCAAGGTGCTACATGGAGAAACTAAAGAGAGTCACATGGCCAAGATGTACCACACTGGAGATGCCAAAACTTGGTTAAAAGCCCTCATCTGACTGACTTTATTTATTTTTATTTTATTTTATTTTTTTGAGACAGGGTCTCACACTTTTGCCCAGCCTGGAGTGCAGTGGTATGATGTTTGCTATAGCCTTGAGCTCTCTGGGCACAAGTGATCCTCTCACCTCACCCTCTCAAGTAGCTGAGACTACGGGCATGAGCCATCATACCTGGCTAATTTTTGTATATTTTGTAGAGTTGAGGTCTCACCATGTTGCACAGGCTGGTTGACTTATTTTGAAGCCGATTTTCTTTTTGTCGTCCTCCTCTACCTTCAGGACTTTTCAGGTAGTATAATCCTGTCGTCGTAATTCCTGGCATCACTTACTCCATTCTTGAGGTTTTCTGGTCTCTTGCATAGCCAGGTGAGAGCTGAGTTGAAAAGCTTTTTATACAGGCTTCATGGATATGTATACTGGTATAAGTGCATCACACAGTTAATAAAAATATTGGAGAAGACCATTTAGTTCACTTCTTTATAACAGCAGTGCCTGTACACACTTTCCTCAAGACTTTCTGGTAGTTGGAAATATGAGTTTAAAAGTAATAGTCATTAAATTAAGTGGAAACTGTGGGTCATTTCAAAGACATTGTTTTTACAAATTGATTATACACATACTAGGTCCTTCCAAGAGCATGCTTAGGTTGAACAGAAAGTCTTACTAACAAAACACGTGCCCTGTGCTCTGTATTGTCCTCAGGGCATATGATTGACTATTACAGTAATAAACCCTTGCTTTCTCTGAGGTGCAAAAAGAAGCTATAGTCTGAGTGCTTGGGAGAGGCATAAGTCATAATTGTAGGCTGTAATAAATGCAAATCTATGAAAAATGGGTTAGCTTCAAACAGCTGAGTCGCAGAGTCTTGCAAAACCATGCCCCATTATTCCTCTCTGGAGCCCAGATCATAGAAGAATTATCCATCTTTTTTAACAGTGGGATTTCTAAGGCTTCTCAGAAATCTCCGGTCTCTTGGTTTCCAGCAAGAGAACAATATCGAGTCTTAAATGACAGAAATGAATTCCTAAATAAGTTGAACTTTTTCAAGTTTTTACCAAATTTAAATAATAATGCTCATATGAATGGTAGCTCATGTCTTCCCTGTGCAGGTGGTACTGAACTAACATTCTAAATTTGAAATGGCAGGCTCTCTGTTCCCCTGTCTGGGTAATCTCTGATAAAACATTAATCATCTCAAGGTTCTATTCAAGTCCATTGATGGAAATTGTGAAATGTAATTTAGCTTGAGGAATTGAATTAATGTTTTCTAATAGCCCTGAGATATTCACTGATTTATAGGTTTGAATGCTGGGAGGTGCATTTGTGTTTCTCTGTGTGTGCGTGAGCTCATCCTAGTTAATCTAAATAGGTGTTTAGAAATGATGCACATTCTATATCATAAAAATATGTATTATCTCTGTGACTGGTGAATATTGGTATGGTTTATTTGTGTCTGTCATGGAACTTATACATTGCTTTATACACCTGGTATAAATTCGTGCTCAACTGAGAAATATTTGTTGAATTTTAAAAATCCTTTAAATGTATATGCATATATATGTAGACATGGAATCACAGATGTATATATTTAGTTCTAATGTTTTATTTTCAAGCAGGTGCAGAATTTATCTGATTTGATTACTTACACTATGTGCCTCTGTTGTGCAAATACTAGTTTTCTCATCCTTTGTTTTTCTCCTTACAGCTCCTTTATCACTTTGCAATATCTAGCTCTGCTCTGTAACATTTCTGCCTCAAACCCACATTGATGGCGTACTTGTGTCTTTCTCACTACCCTCTTCCTTTACAATGTTACAGCTTAACAATGGGTGCAGCATCCATTTGTCTTTCATTTCATTCCCTTCTGCATGTGTAGCGTCTGAGAAGTTTCTGGCCCAGGTAGGCATGCAGTAATGTATTGAATGAATATGGTAAGGGAAGAAGGAAAAAACATGGTTCCAAGATCCTGGGGAGGTCTAGTTGAATGGACTGTGCCTTTTTTGTGTCACCTTGGAGCAGTCATTTCATCTCTTGAGGCTTGGTTTCTTCTCTGTGAAATATGCATGATTATTATTATATAGTTTTTGAGACAGAGTATTGCTCTGTTGCCCAGGCTGGAATGCAGTGGTGTGATCTCCACTCACTGCAACCTCCAACTCCGGGTTCAAGCAATTCTCCTGCCTTAGCCTCTGGAGTAGCTGGGACTACAGGTGTGTGCCACCACGCTCGGCTAATTTTTGTATTTTTAGTAGAGACAGGGTTTCACCATGTTGGCCAGGCTGATCTCAAACTCCTGACCTCTGGTGATCTGTCTGCCTTGGCCTCCCACAGTGCTGGGATTAGAGGTGTGAGCCACCATGCCCAGCCCAGTCCTCTTTTTGATGGCAGTGTTCTGTATGGGGTGCTCTATGGAGCCTTCCAATAGAATGCTAATAGGATAGAATGCATTCTAATATTACATTCTAGGAGAAGGGAAATGTCAGTTATTCAGTCCATGTCCTCACCTGTGCCTTTGTATCAATTACCATTCACAGAGGAAAAAAATTAGTGTCCCAGGTGATTTAAAGTAGGGAGGTTTCACCTGTTCTCATAGAATTTATTACATCAGTATGTGTTACAGGCAAGTTCCAAGTGTTACGAACAAATATTGTGACATAATTCACTGGGAGTTGTGTATCATGAGTCCAGAAAAGAAAGTTGTGCCTATGTTGTGGAGGCTTGAATTAAGGATAAATAATTAAAGTTGATGGTTAGTTAGGAGCGCCTAAAGTTTGGGTCTGTGTCAGGACTGAAGGTTTAGGAAAGAAATTTTGGAATCTAGAAGTGAAGAACTTTGGAATGGTGGCGTTTACTGGAGTGTGTTCTAAATCCCTGTCTGTGTTTCAAGTCGTTGCTAATCTCCCTTGTGGCTTTCTGCTGTTACCATCCATCGTACCTTAGGCCTGCAGCTGCATAGAGGACAGGGCGTGATAATCATGATTGTGTTGGCTCATCCCAGAAGCTGGCATGTTTAGGTTTTAAGTGTAGTAACAATGAGTACAGAAACTCCTAACCTTGATCGAAACTCCCCCGGCTTAGCTTGCACCAGTTGTACCATACCCACCAACACAATGGTCATACGGAGTTTCTTTTTGCTCCTTGAGACCAGCGACTTCATTTCTGGATTAAGGCCTTGCATTCTGTTTCCCCACTGGGAATTCTCGTCCCCTGATTTTAGGTGGGCTCCTCTTTATCTTGGGTTTGTCTTCAGTCTTGATGCTCAGAAAAGTCTCCCCTGATCGACAAGTCATGCTCCATCACATCCTCCTATTTTAATTCTTACTTTACTATATGATATTACCTTATTAGTGTAATGTGAGCTCATGTGAGTAAGGTCTTTGTCTGGCTCACTGCTGTAGCCAGTGTTTAGAATGTTCGACATGTGGTAGAAACTCAGATGTTGGTTGAATGAGAGAATGAATGGGTAAAGACACCTTGGCCTCATTTCCTGTATCTGTTTTCCTTACCCAGCCCCACTTAAATGTAATAGAAAAACAGAAAGACCATATTTACTAATTATAAACACTTACTGAGAGCTGGGTAATGGAGACCCTTTGTTTGGGCACACACAGAGATAAAGTAAGATTTATTTATTATTGGCAAGCAGGTCCAGGCTCACAAATTGGTATTCCATTACCAGAGGTGGATGAACGATGTGGAGTGGGATGGGGAGGGGGTGATGGGGGGTCTGGGAACAAGCTGGTCTTCGTGACTGGGACTGGGGCCCTCTGGGTTGGGACAGAATGGTGTGCAGGTGTGTTTTCCCCTGTTACTTCCCGCCCTGTTTCCTGGTAGTCCTGCCATTGCAGACCTGTATCTGTGCCAGAAGGAGGCATTTCAAGGTGTCAATGGGGTTGGTAGTGGCTGAGGAAGGAAAGGCGGGGGAGTTAATAAATGGCCATAGTAAGGACAGAGAGAGATTTTTTCCAGCATTTGGGTGCTTTGCCTCCAGTGCCTGTCTCATGCAGCTGCTTGTGGACACAGCGTTTATGAGGTTTCTCTTGTGCATTTTAAAGAATCAGGATTTCCATAGAAGTCCTAAAAGACAAATCTAGACTCTGGGTGTGCCCACTTCCAGTTCTTCTTTTAGGAACCATTTCAGGAAGGATTCTTTATACACCAGGAAGGATGCCCTAAGTGTGATCATTGTTGGACAGGGATCCTTAGCTGACAGCGAGAAGAGAGTGGCAAGGCACCTTTGAACGTGACCTCTCCTTTGGCTAACACAAAAATCAAAAGCTGGTGTTTCCCTTGCTGTTCTTTAGCTGAATTTCCAACCACTCTGCCCACTCCCAGTTTTAAAATAATAAGTAACAATTTTACTATGAATCAATGAAAATGCAATCAACTATGGATTATACAGTATTACAGTTTTCAGTGAATGCTTATGTCTTTTCTCTGTCCTTTCCCTCCAAGGGAAAAGTTGGGAAGTAGGGGAAAACAAAAGGAGAAGGCATTCAGGCAACAATTCCTCATATATTCTGAAAAGCAATTAGATGCAAGTCACATTTGATTTGTTGCAATTTTAAGGATTCTTTGAGTGGACGTTGGTGTGGGCTGGCCGGCAGGGCATCAGGGGGACGTTGTGAGTCCTGCCCCTCCTTTAGCACTAATTTTAAATTAGATTTGAAGAGTGGTTGGTGAACAGCCTTCCACTGCCCATTTGCAGTGAAAGAGAAGAGCCTTGAGAAGGACGTCCTGCTGAGATGGTTTTTCATAGAAGGTGTCATCATATTCGTGTTAGGAAGACCCAGAGTGAGACTGGCAATTGGCATTTCATGGAAATAAGTGTATGAAATGATCCTGGATTGGTAATGTTCACCATCTTTGTATAAATACCAAAAATGGAGGTTGTGGATCACTACAGATGATGTCCATGTCATTCTCTGCTTCCTGTTAGCATGCAAGTTCTAGTGTGCGTAGCAGTAGAAATTATGAATAAATACTGTCTGTTACTGATACATATGACTTCTGTACATGGAATCACTTGAGTATTCTGATGTAAGGCCATTTGGAGAATTCTAAAAATGCAACACTTGATTAACAGCCCCCCACCCACCCACCCCAGCCCCCCAGTAAAACTGTGAATTCAGGATTAACAAGATACAATGAGTTCATGGATGTTGTCCAAAAAAGGAAGAAACTATATTTTGACATGCTTGGTTTTTTTTTTTTTTTTTTTTTTGGACATGTACTTATATTAGTTTTGCTGGGATGCCATAAGAAAGTGCCACAGACTAGGTGGCTTAAACAACAGAAATTTATTTTCTCACAGCTCTGGAGGCTGGAAGTCCAAGATCAAAGTGTCGGCAGATGGTCATTTTTATGTTCACATGGAGTTCTCCTGCTGTGTGCGTCTGTGTCCAAATTTTTTCTTCTTCTAAGGATGCCAGTCATATTGGATTAGGGCCCACTCTAATGACCTCATTTTAACTTAATTTCTTTTCTAAAGACTATTTCCAAATACAGTCATATTCTGAGGTACTGGGTGTTAGGACTTCAACGTGACATTTTGGGGGATACAGTTCAACCTATAATAGTACTACACTTTTTTAAGTGATTGTGGGGAGCTCTTGATAAATGAATTTAAGGGTACACTCTGGCTCTGTTTAACCAAGTTCTTACATTGATTTTTATAGAGCAAAATATTTCACTTCTACTCATTACTATGTAATCTCACAGGCTGGTTGAGTTTTGGACCATTTGTCATGTATCTTCCACATATCTTCTATGTCTCTCTCTCTCTATGTATACATAGTAGAAAGAGAGAGAGACAGGGTATCACTATGCTGTCCAGGCTGGACCAAATGAACCTTCTGTCTTGGCCTCCCAAAGTACTGGGATTATAGGCATGAGCCATGGAGCCTGTGCTACTTTGTATTTTAATGTAGAACTATTCTCAATAGAGCAGTACCCCTCAGACTTTGAGGTTATATTAATGTCCTACAGATCTTGATTCAGTAGGTCTTGGGTGGAACTTGAGATCATGCATTTCTAGCATGTTCTCCAGCTGATACTGATGCTGCCAGCCCTCAGACCATAGCTTGAGGAATAGAGTCAGGAGTGGCTGCACAATTTGCAGGTTCAGTGTTTCAGAACCACTCAGTGTAGCAAAGCCAAACACTAACGGGATTGCAGCAAGAGAAAGTGAGACATTTATTGCGTGGCCCCAAGCAAGGAGAATCGGGCAGCCCATGTTTAAAACCCCAACTCCCTGATGGCTTACAGGTAGGGATTTTTAAAGGCAAGGAGGCAGAGGTCACAGGTATGGTAATAAATTCATACATGGAGGTTGTACATGGTTTTGACCTATACAGGTGGGCTTTCTTGAAGCGCCGGGTGATTAAACGTGATAGGTAGATTTTAAAATTTTCAGATTTGCAGTTGGTTAAGGAAGAGAAGCTTTGTTTAAATATTTGGGGTCACCAGAAAAGAATGTTAGCTGTGGCTTGTATCACCTCAGATAGACTTTACAGCAAAGAACAAGAAGAGCTGTCAGAGGCCCGCCCTCAGTTTTCTCTCACCTGAGCTCTGCGTGCCAGCAGGTCTGTTTAGTAGGGGTCCAGGTTTCTGAAAAACAGGACATATGCTAAGATGTTATCTTACATTTCTGTTGAGAACAAAACATCTCATGACTCTAACTTTGTTGGCTACTGTTTTAAGCAACTGTTACCTTCTTATCAAATTGCTCATTTACTTCTCAGGGCTAGCAAGGTGCCTGGCATTTCCCTCATATGAACTCAAGCTTTTTCTTTACTTCCATGCCTGGAAGGGGTGGAGGTTAGGCCCGTAAGAGGGGTCCCTGCTTCATCTTAGTAATGCAGAATGAAAATGCGAGTCTATTGTTTAAAAGTGATTCAGAATTTTGAACTGGTCACCGCAGAGCAAGACACCTATTGTGGCCCCTGTGTGAGTATACGGGTGATTCCACCCACGGAGCCAGCCCTGAGCTGTGTGGGAGTGCTGATGGAAATTATCTCAGGGCACTTATCCGCAATGATTTGTAAGATGATGGCTTTTATTGGCCAGTGATGAAATCCTTATACTTCTAACTAGTCATGGTTTTACATAGTACTTGCACGAAACTCAGAGCATGGAGGAGCATTAGCATGCAGGAGACATAGCTAAAGCAAGTTGCTCCTGAGACTGTAGATATCTTGGTGTCTAAAACACAGAATATCACCACCAACACCACAGTGATTATAATATATAACTTGCCCTTCTTTTGCAAAGTTTCAAAGGAATCTAGGGTATGACACATGAATTCCTCTGCCCAATGATGATGATTCTCCTTTGTCCTTGAGGTAGCACTGTGCCTGCTTTTTAATGGTGGTATTTAACTCTGGGAGCAACATTCATTGCATTTTTCAGAGGGGAACAATCATCATCATCATAATACAAGATTATAAAACTCATGGGTCAGGCTTTGCACGGTGGCTGACACCTGTAATCCCAGCACTTTGGGAGGCCAAGGAGTTTGAGACCAGACTGGCCAAGATGGTGAAACCCCATCTCTACTAAAAATATAAAAATTAGCCAGGTGTGCTGGCAGGCGCCTGTAATCCCAGCCACACAGGAGGCTGAGACAGGAGATTGCTTGAACTCGGGAGGTGGAGGTTGTAGTGAGTCGAGATTGTGTCACTGCCCTCCAGCCTGGGTGACAGAGGGAGACTCTGTCTCAAGCAAACAAAAAAACACAATAAAAAAAATAAACATTAGCCTCAGTGGCTTATATTTTCATTCTGCTTAATTTACCATGTCTACCCATGCTGGGCATTAGGATGTCAATTTTGGGGCTGTGGTCCCAGTTGACTGGACTAGAAAAATGAGTTTGTCCCGTATCACCCCTACATGAGTGCCTTCTTTTTTTCGGAGATGGAGTTTTGCTCTTGTTGCCCAGGCTGGAGTGCAATGGCACCATCTCAGCTCACCGCAACCTCTGCCTCCTGGGTTCAAGCGATTCTCCTGCCTCAGCCTCCTGAGTAGCTGGGATTACAGGCATGTGCCACTATGCCCGGCTAATTTTTATTTTTAGTAGGGACAGGGTTTCTCTGCCCAGGCTGGAGGGCTGGTCTCAAACTCCTAACCTCAGGTGATCCAACTCGCCTCGGCCTCCCAAAGTGTTGGGATTACAGGCCTGAGCCACTGCGCCTGGCCATGAGTGCCTTAATGCTTAGAATCATCTAGCAAATATTTTTCAAATATGGCTAGAAACAAAATTTTCTTTAATCATTATGCATTTTACAGTGCCAAAGGCTGTCAGAGTATATTTTTTCCCCCTATAGTGTTCTTATGGCTCAGTGATGAATAAGGTGGATTTGATCTGTATAAAAACACAGACACTGATGTGCTCAGTCATACATCTTTAGACCTATCTCCATTTCTCTGCCCCTTCCCCTCCCTTTACATTATGAGAGCTCTGCAGGTTCCCTTATGGAAGTCACAGAAATGTTTTTTCAGTTACAAGGTATGATGAAAATGGTCTGAGGTCTATTCCTACTTATCCTACTAGATTGCCTCTTGGTGCTTATTCAAATTCTTGATCCTGAATTCCTTTAATCAAGTAATTATTTCAAAGAACATAATTAGGTTTCCATAGGGTCGTTACTTCTTTTATATTCTTGGTTCTTTTTACCTTATCCACCCGTATCTTTATTTTCAGGGATTTCCATATCCATCAGTTGGGACTGAAAACTAATCTGCATTAAAGTAGCAGTTGTTACTTGATATGACTTACTTTTTTTTTTCTCATGGATATTTGAATGTTACAGGATTTGGGAAGGTAATTTTTTTAAATTACTGATAAAAATCTTGTGGAGGATTCTGATTCTCAGGTCTGGAATAACCTGCATTTTTTGAATAAGTGGAGCATTCACATGTGGTTTAAAATTCAAAATATGTAATTGATGACACCATATCCGAGCCATTCAGTTTCCTTCTCAGGAGGCAGTGTTGTTAGTGGGTGTGTCTGTTGTGTGTGTTCTTCTAGAGATAGTTTATGTTTATATAAGCAAATGCAGATATACCTTCCTCTCATTTTACATACTTTTCAGTTTTCTAAGCCTTTAGCAAAAGTATATAAATTAATGTTATGGGATTTTACAAAAGGCAGAAGCCTTCAAGACTATAAGCAGTGCAGACAGAGTGATTTGAATGATAGGAAGTAGGTATGCTAAGTAACCTCTGAAATGACACCCGCACACCACAATTTTCACTTTCTGTGCACAGAGATGGTACTATCTGTAGATTTCCAGAGTTTTGCCAAAAAAAAAAAGAAAGAAAAAGAAAAAAAAAGAAAAATTAGAAAAAGTGGTGAGCCTTAGTACTAGAAATAGTAAAGAATTAGCAGGTGAAGTTTAGCAGATTTTTTTTAAATTAACATTGTTAGTTTAATTTCAGTTCCTAATAGATTGATGAAATAAACATTAACAAGAATGTGTAAACATCTGTAAGTTAATGGGTGCAGGACTAAAGCATTTTAAGTAGTAATCATCATACAAAAACCTGATTGCTTTCCTTGATAGCTCTATGGAATTACTTAATTTTAAAAAGGCTATAGATGTTAAATATCACGATTTTCGAGTAAGTGATTTTTTGAAATCTTATTCACCAAACTAACCGAATTGGATAAAGAAATGTCAAGTGTGTAATAAACTGTCCAAGAGTTAGTGGCAATTGAAAACATATCAAGTTGAAGAGAACCACAGGATAATGTGTATCTTTTCTTTTAATGATCTAGAAGAATTAGCTAAGCAATATATTAAATCTACAGATGATCATGAATGAGGTGTTTTCTTTTTGTTTTTTATGAGTGTTACTGAGAATGAAGCAGTAGGGTCAAACATGCAAGTTTAATAAAATGGCAAAAGATGAAAAAAAAGTCTTTGCAAAAAGCTAACTAATGTTTCTGGGGATGGATAAATCCCTAGGAACAAGAGAGGGGAAGACCTAATGAGCCTGGGAAAACCTAATGAGCCTAAAGTGTTTTATTCCATGTAACGAAAACATATCAAACAGTAATCTTGGGTGACTAGCCTATTTTTTTGTCTGCCCAGTTAGCTTAATTGACAGCCATCATTAGATGGCATTATGATTGGGCAAACCAGGAACTTCTGCAGTAATGGAAGTTTTCAAAAAAAGGTTTGTCTCTCAACTGAAAAATAATAGACAAACATCACAGAGACGCTTAAAAATTGATTGAGTCAGGTAACGTTTGTTTTCATGTGAATTATTAGGAAACTCCGCTCGATTAGTTGGACACCATGTACCTCTCTTTTTCAAGGTACTGTACACAGGAGCTTGAGAAGAGATGAAATGGGGCCAAGAAACTAGCATCTGAATGCACTTTACTAAAAGCATTTTTTCTGTTTTACATATGTTTTGGCTTAACCTTAGAGATGTTGCAATATCCTAACAAATGCCTTACAGAGAATCCATGGCCAAAGTGGAACTGAAAGTCCTAGGTCTTTCTGCCAAGTGCATAACTCTTTCCTCCTTACTACACTAGAAAGACTTTAGCATTGTAATATTCTGAGACAACATCAGTGATTCATTCCTCATTTTAGGAAGCAGTAAGGGATAGGTCTACATGGACAAAGAGGAAGGTAAGGTTTCAGTCTCTAAAGCAATAATGGTGGGTTGCCCTTTTGTTAAAGAGTCTCATGTCAACAAATTCATGTCTAGTTTAGGCTAGGAAGAAATAATAGTTGGGAAAACAATAGCTTGAAAAATCAGTAGGGCATGCCAGGCATCCTTGTATCTTCACATTTGTGTATCACGTATAATCTAAGTGATACTAAAAATTTGTTACGCTCTAATAAATGATGATTTATGTATACCAAAGGCTCTAATAAAATATCTAGAATTGGTAGCATCATAGATATGAATTAAATAGATGGAGATGAAGTAATTAAAATTAGTTCCTAATTTGCACTGATTTTTTTTAATCTTCAATTTTGTAGGAAAAAAAAATTGGAGCATTAAACTGATAGAAAATTGTAAAGAACATTCTGCTTCCGGTAGGGAAAATGGTCTGTTTTCTTTTCTTACTTTAACATAAGATCAATACTAATGTCATTTATATTGTACTTTAGTGTTTACAAAGTAGATTCACATATATTCTCTTATTTCATCTGTGCAGTAACCTCTGGAAGATAAGGTTTCCTCATTCTGTTTTTTAATGTCTGTTTCTTAACTCTGTGTAAAGGCAGATTGATTGGGCCTCATTTCCTCAATTTAGAAGGCTGGACTGATTGATGGAACATTAAAGAAGGCAGAGGTAAATAAGGGATAGTGATTCTAAAAATAAAAGTGACACTTGAAGTGGTTTGACTAGCAGTCTCACTTATTTTTCCAAAGGCAAAAATTAAAAAAAAATCAAAAAGACAAAAATTAAAACCCAGAGATACTAATAAAAGCAGGGAGCACATGTATCTTTCTGATCCTAACACTTAGAGTAGCAGCTATCTTGACAGCCTATTTTTGTGAATAGAACACTTAGATGTCCATTTTTAAGGACAACTTTGTTTTTTCTTCCTGGTGTTTTGTTGTTTTACTGGCATATATCTAAATTTGATTTAAATTTCATGGCATTAAACCAAAAACTTAGATGGTTATATCGTGTCATTTGTTATATTTATTCAGTATTTGTTGGTGCATTTTGGTAAATTTTTTACTTTATTAGTTGGGGTTATATACCACCACATTTAATCCCAGGTACTCACAATAATAACAGCTTAAACATGCTAAGAGTTTGTTTCTCTCTTATGTGAAAGAAGTCAAGCAGTTGGCAGTCCAGGTCTGGTATGTATTGACAACCCCAGTGTCAGAGAACCAGACACTTGTCTCCCCGAAGTATCATTCTTAGCAGTATCACCTCATGGTTCAGGGTAGCTGCCTGAGCTTCAGCCATCAGGCTGATATTCCAGGCAGCAGAAAGGAAGAAAGAAGAAGGGCACCTGGTTTCCCTTTTAGGATGCTTTTGTGAGGTACAATTAGCATTCTTGTCTTTAACTTCTTAAAGCTCATGCGAAAACAGCTTACTGCAAGGTGAGCACATGACTGCCTAGCTTAACACAGAATTTCCTTATGAAGGAGGACTAGAACAGTGGATGTTGGTGTAGGCACTGCTTAGTCTGTGTCACATATAGCGCATAACACATCAATAGTGAGAATGCTTCAGTTCAACCAGTTCATGGCTTTGGGGGCTGTACCAATTGGTTTATAATGGTTATGATTTTGTGACCAATTATTCTTTATGTGGAGATATATATAAGAGGAACTGCTTTATTCATTTAGACCAATAAAAGCGATACCTGAAGTGATTTGTGGACAAGTGGCTACAAGAGGATATTGGTGAGCATATTTGTTCCCATGAGTCATTTTCTAACCAGTTATCCTAACACTGGGTTTCTGTACTGTCTTTAATTTTCACATTATCTCTAAAGTCTTCAGGAGGAAATATAAGCAGTGTGGTGCTAGAATAGCTTTCTATGTGAATTCTTTTCCCCCTTATTCATTACTGGAACCAGTAATTGCCTAGAGAATGATGGGCAAAATGCCAGCTCATCATTTCTTTAAGGGTCTAAGAATTGGCTTTGGAGAATGGAAGAAAATTCCAGAAACACTGTCAAGAAAGTTATTATTTATTTCAAATGTTATTTGGAACAGCAAAGGACAATATGTTTTATAGCACAACTTTTAAGATGACTGAATTGGCAATAAATTCACATGATGAAACTTCAGCAAGTCTTTATGTTTCTGCCGGGGAATTCTTTGGTTCTTGGCGTAAATTTTTAAATAGTTAATATCAGCTTCCTATTCTTAACATTCCTTTAGTTGTAGAGCTAATGTGAAAACAGCTTGCTGTGTTGTGAAGAATGCCTTTAGTTAGCCAATAAATCAACTCATGCGTGTTTCAGTTGTCAAGCATGTTAAATAGTAGTTTTTAGACACAAGAGGGATTGCCCATAATATCGTTATTGTGAGATTCTGTTTCTCATCCACCACGAATGAAATCCCTTCTTTCCCAGACTGCCTCTCACAGCCCCTCCAGCACTGTGGTTCAACTCTACACCAAGAGATGACAAGTCCTGGGTTCTCAAAGACTTGGATTTTGGTTCTAGATTTGCAGTGTAGGAGTCAGGCAAATGGATGTGTCTCTTGAGGCATTAGTATCTTCACATTTCAGACAAGGGCTTGAGTTAAAATACTGTTTCCTTTCACTTCCAAAATTCTATAACTCTGTGCAATGGTTTTTAACAAAAATCTTTGAAAAATAACCTAAATAGGCCGGGCGCGGTGGCTCACGCCTGTAATCCCAGCACTTTGGGAGGCCGAGGTGGGTAGATCACGAGGTCAGGAGTTCAAGACCAGCCTGGCCAAGATGGTGAAACCCCAGCTCTACTAAAAATACAAAAAATTAGCCGGGCGCAGTGGCAGGTGCCTGTAGTCCCAGCTACTCAGGAGGCTGAGGAAGGAGAATCATTTGAACCTGGAGGGTGGAGGTTGCAGTGAGCCGAGATCGTGCCACTGCACTCCAGCCTGGGTGACAGAGTGAAACTCCGTCTCAAAAAAAAAAAAAAAAAAGAAAAGAAAAAGAAAAATAACCAAAATAAATTTCTAGAACAAATTTCCCAAGAATCCCAAATAAATATTAATTTATATTTAAAGATGCTGTATTTAAACAGTGCAATAATTATGAGCTTTTAAAGGAATCTAAATCAAGATATGTTTAACATTGGCTACTTACGATGAGTTCAAGTACTTAAGCTAATTTTTAGCTTGATACCTGTATTTCGTTGGGGGAAAGAAAACAATATCACTTCACACACTGATCATGTTTTATATTTTCTTTTAGAAATTAAATGATTAATGTGTTAGACCATGTAAGTCAGACAAGGAGGATTGAAGGACATACCTTATGAGTCAGCTAAAAATCTTGCCAGTTCAAATAGTACACATTTCCTTGTGTGAGCAGCTGTCATTGTTCTGAAGTTTTGGAAGTTGTGGTGAATAATACGTTGTGTCTCTAAGTGGCCCTGCTATTGTAATCTGTGGTTACTCTTTAAGTTATGGTGGAAATCTTTACGTGACCAAGCTTGATCACAGTTTCAAGCTTAAAAATTTAAATGTGGGAGATGATACCAAATTTTTGGCAAATGTTTTATGGCCCACAGCCAGGATTAGTAAAAACTATGGTTAATAGATAACTTACAGTTTTCTGTAAACATATTAAAATGCTTTTTGGGATTCAATCAAGCTTGATTTATTTGTTTATGAATGAATGAATGACAGGATCTCGCTCTGTCACCTAGCTGGACTGCAATGGTGAGATTATAGCTCATTGCAACCTGGACTTCTTAGGCTCCAGTGACCCTCCCACCTCAGCCTCCCGAGTAGCTGGGACCACAGGCACGTGCCACCATGCCTGGCTAATTTTTGTATTTACTTTTTATTTTTTTTTTCTAGAGACGGGGATTCGTCATGTTGCCTAGGCTGGTCTCGAGTGATCTACCTGCTTTGGCCTCCCAAAATGCTGGGATTGCAGGCATGAACTACTGTGCCTGGCCAAGCATGCTGTAATTGGAAAATTTAAAATGCTTTTCTGGCTGGGCACAGTGGCTCACGTTTATAATCTCAGCACTTTGGGAGGCTGAGGTTGGTGGATCACCTGAGGTCAGGAGTTTGAGACTAGCCTGACCAACATGGTGAAACCTCATCTCTACTAAAAATATAAAGAATTATCCAGGCATGGTGGTACATACCTGTAATCCCAGTTACACAGGAGGCTGAGACAGGAGAATTGCTTGAACTCAGGAGGTGGATGAACCTCAGTGAGCTGAGATTGCACCACTGCACTCCAGCCTGGGAGACAGAGTAAGACTCCATCTCAAAAACTATTTTTTTTTTTTTCTGTAGTGAAAATGGTAGCTCTAGGCTGTAATCCCAGCACTTTGGGAGGCCGAGGCAGGCGGATCACAAGGTCAGGAGTTGGAGAGTGGGTGGATCAAGAGGTCAGGAGTTCGAGACCAGCCTGACCAACATGGTGAAACCCAGTCTCAAGAATACAACAATTAGCCAGGCGTGGTGGTGCACGTCTGTAATCCCAGCTACTCAGGAGGCTGAGGCAGGAGAATTGCTTGAACCTGGGAGGCGGAGGTTGCAGTGAGCCAAAATCATGCCACTGCACTCCAGCCTGGGAGACAGTGTGAAACTCCGTGTCAAAACACACACACACACACACACACACACACACACACACACACAGAGAAAATGGTAGCTTTTATTTATTTAGTTCACGTTGTCTGACAGTGAACTAGGCTTCTTACGTATTTTTTTTCATTGATTTTAACCAAATGCCCATTCATGAGTGAGGAAACTAAGTTCATCTAGGGCACCTGGGAGGGGCAGGGGGCGTTACGGAAGGGCTCACCTGACAGCAGAGCCAGAGGTGCACATCCTCACGCAAGGTAGTGCTTAGAGGCGCTGGGGTTTATTGAAAAGGATGCTGCTACACTGGTTTAATAATTTTCTTTTTCTTTTTTTTTTTTTTGAGACCAGTCTCACTCTGTTGCCCAGGCTGGAGCGCAGTGGCGCGATCTTGGCTCACTGCAACCTCTGCCTCCTGGGTTAAAGCGATTCTCCTGCCTCAGCCTCCTGAGTAGCTGGGATTACAGGCGCACGCCACCATGCCCGTCTAAGTTTTGCATTTTTAGTAGAGATGGGGTTTCACCATGTTGGACAGGCTGGTCTTGAACTCCTGACTCTGTGATCCACCCTCCTTGGTCTCCCAAGTGCTGGGATTACAGGAATGAGCTACTGCGCGCAGCCTTATAATTTTCTCTTTGAATAAGCAGATATCTTGAAAAGGTATATGCTTAGGCTATCTAGCTCCCCTCCATCTTCCTCAACACCTCTACCTATAAGTGGTATAAATTCAACCTGAACTAATTATAAAAGAAGAAATTAAAAATTTCAGCCACATAAAAGTCTAGTTAGTATGTATAATTCAAGGACTGGTAGTTAACTCACTGTTAGACAAGTAGGTAATGTGTTCCCTCAGCGATTGAGTGTATTTGAGAAGTTGGAAACACTGAATATAGCTTGGTAAGGGCTCAGTGGCCTCTGTAGAAGGGAGCTTGGGTTTGAATTCTAGCTCCACAAAGTACTTGATGTTTGACCACCTACAGCTTCAGTTTCTTCATATGTAAAATGGGCTAATAGAACTCACCTCTGAGTTGTCAGGTTAAAATGAGCTAATGTGTGGAAATTACAACTGTGGTGCTTGGCATATACTATGTTCTCAATAAATATTAGTTGCTCTTGCTATTTTAAAACTTATTCTTTGACAATTCTGTTGCTCATTGGTATGGGAATACTTTCTTATTTAAGAAAAATGGCATGTTCTAACCCATTTATGCCTGAGGTTGCAATTTTGTGAATTTTGAAAATCAGACCTTGACAATGACTTTGAGCAGTAGGATATAAACAACGCTCGCATGCTTGGTGTTCCAGTAATGGAACACTAGGCATAAATGGGCTTAAGGATGGCAGTATGTGATGATTCAGGTAAAAAACTTAAAAAAATTTTTTTCAGCACGAAGTTTTGCTGTGTTTTGGTTGGAATATTGTAAGGAGGTATCACATTTTTAAAAAGCTTATCTTAGCCTCTAATCTCAGCACTTTGGGGAGGCTGAAGCAGCAGGATTGCTTGAGGCCAGGAGTTCATACTGAGACACTGTCTCTACAAAGGAAAAAAGAAAAAAAAAAAGAGCAACAGAAAACAAAAAAACATAGCCGCATGTAGTGAGGTGTGCTGGCATGTTCCTGTAGTCCCAGCTACTCAGGAGGCCGAGGCAGGAGGATCGCATGAGCCCAGGAGTTTGAAGCTGCAGCGAGCTCTGATTGTGCCCCTGCCCTCCAGCTTGGTTGACAGAGTGAGACCCCTGTCTGTTTAAAAAAAAAAAAAAAGTTTATTCTAGCATTGACTAATGCATTAAATAAAGAATTTCTATGCCTGGTCAGCATAAAGCCCTCATCTTAAAATTTAAAGAATCCATCTATGTACCCACGTGTGTGCCTGTGCACACGTGCACACTTCCACACATATTCTAGTAGTCATGTGGAGTTAGTGATGAAATTTTTTTTCATCCCCATTTTACAGACAGGAGATGAGCCATATGGTGCTCATTTTACGATAGTGATAGAATGATGGATTTAGACAGAAGGAAAGGTGTGTGAACAGAGACACATTATCGATTCTCATTCAAATCGGATTCATTCTGCTATGCTGTGTTGCCTTCAGCTGAGTGTCCAGCGGTTTGAAACATTTCTAAATTTTGATTTGGGGCCATCATGCAGCTCAGTGCTTGTGCTTCGGTGCAAGGTCTCTTGGGCAGAGATGCTAATTTAAGAATGTTGTCGGTTTAAATGTTCCTAAGAGGATTAAGCAAATTCTACAGCATATAAATGGACATATTTGGAAGATTTTTTTCCCCAAGCAATTTCAGAAAACACACATGCATCATTTGCTAAAACTCTGCAGGTGTATTAATGAGTTCATCTCACATGAATGGACAGTCACTGAGGGAACTTCATATGTAGGCTTGAGTTCAGGTATATGAAATGCAGGCTAAGTTTTAATTAGAATTTATTTACAGCTCGAAGCTGCTCCTTTGTTTTTCTGCCTGAAGTCAGTAATGAACCATTCCTCTTTGCCTAGTCATTAGTATTCAGAGCTCCATCAGCCTGCAGTTCAAACCCTTTCCCTTGTTTTTGTCAGAGAAGATGATGGAGCAAGGTTGCTTAGAAACACTTAGCCACACTCTCAACGGGAATTATCAATCTGTGCTGTATGTTCACCCCCACACGCAGGGGAGAAAATTGAGTTTTACTGCTGATGACGTTAATTGATTGCAAGTTGTTTTAGTGGGAGTGTGATGTTGAAAACCAGATTTCCTTTCATTTTTATGCATTAGATGCAGAGAAGCTATACAGTGACATGTTCATTCCACTGTAACTAAAAATATCATAGAGGTATCTAAATTTGGTTTTGTATGTTTTATATTCAGATCTTGACACTGGTCAGCTTACAGGATTATCTTTGGGTTGGAGACTGTTTCTGTAGTGATTTCTTTAGTTCCCAGTAAATTCACACAGTCATCTCCTTCAATAGAGTTCTGATTAGTGCAGTCAGGGGGTGACACACTAAATTAGGGGTGGGCAGAGGGGTGAAATGGAAACCAGCTGTTATCTGCTTACCTATAATTTTATATGGTCCAAAAAAAGCTTTTGTCTTTTTTTTTTCTTTTGTCCCTGTTCTTTTCAGATCATCTTCTTCAAAAATTTCTTGCCTTAACATGTAAAGAGTGCAGTGTGTTTCTATGGGTGATTTAATTTGACTTGTATTTATTTTTAAAGATTCCTTGATTTGGCTATTAACAACTTTTAAAAGGTGAAACAAACATTGCTGATGAGAGAATGCACAAGCAAGCAGACAGCCCCTCTGGAAGGTCGGGATGGCGAGAATTGGGGTGAGGAAGAGAGGCCAGAGGCAAGCGAACTGTATTATGTTGTTTAGGATTTTGTCCTCCACAGCATCTAAGTGGATGTGTATATTTAAGCATAGTGTCTTTTGTTATACTTTATCATGGATTCCCATTGAAAGTAATAGATTGAGACTTTGTGGGGGAGGGCTTACCCTGTACTTCTCTGGCAAACATCAGTGATTCTGCTGCTTATTCATTCAAGACTGCACATAACCATTGCCTGCAGAGCTTGAAGAAGCAACACACATTTCCCTGACTCGTTCTTATGAGTCAGTAGAAAAGAAAGATGGCTAAGCCTATGCCTGGTGCATCTCAGTTAGAACCTACAGAGAAGAGCTCAAATACCTGATTTTCTTTCTTTCTTTTTCTTTTTTTTTGAGACGGAGTTTCACTCTTGACACCCAGGCTGGAGTGCAATGGTGTGATCTTGGCTCACTGCAACCTCTACCTTCCAGGTTCAAGCAATTCTCCTGCCTCAGCCTCCTGAGTAGCTGGGATTACAGGCACCCGCCACCATGTCCAGCTAACTTTTGTATTTTTAATAGAGATGGGGTTTCACGATGTTGGCCAGGCTGGTCTCGAACTCCTGACCTTAGGTGATCTGCCCACCTTGGCCTCCCAAAGTGCTGGGATTACAGGCATGAGCCACCGCTCCCGGCCAAATACCCAATTTTCTACAAGTGTCACTGGAAAGTGCTGCTCCTGTAACTTAGGAGATATGAAATATGAGTTCATGTGTCAGGCCTGGGGTTTCTTATTACACAGAAGCTAACCCTATCCTAAGGGGTGTGCTCTTTATGTGCAGAAATAGGAGATAGGAGCCAAATTATTTCTGTGTCTACCAAATTTTTCCAATTTGAGGAAAATAGATAAAGCCTACTCCCTTGTGATTATGTCCCAAGAGTTTAAAATCAAATTAAAATTTGGTGTTGAAATCTCAATTTCCTTTAAATAAGATGACTTAAAAATTAATAGTCACTGGTCTTAATTATGAATAATGCATTATCATGTAATATTAAGCCTCACATAAGATATAATACGATAAAAATTCTGGGATGTTGAATCTGGTTTAAGAATTTGTGCATTCTCAGAATTTTGTTTTACTTTCATTAAGAAACAGTACATTTAAGGCCAGGCATGATGGCTTATGTTTGTAATCCCAGCACTTTGGGAGGTTGAGGCAGGAGGATTGCTTGAGCCCAGGCATGAGCTATGATTGGGCCACTGCAGTCCAGCCTGGGTGACGGAGTAGGACCCTGTCTCTTTAAGGGGGGAGCAGGGGAGGGGAGGAGAACCATTTCAGTAATCTTTTCTACTTTATGAATGTGTTCATAATAAAGACTCCTGTGGAAACTGTTCTGGATAAAATTATTAGTGCAAGTAGTGCCAGAATAGCAGATATTTCTGCATGGCTGCTTAGGAACTTAGTTTTTGCTGACAATTTTGAAAATGTTTCTTATTCCAAAGTGCTTAGAGGACCTCCAGGCTTATGATTGTTCTTTCCCAAGAGTATTTTTTGAGGGACAGGGAGAAGGAGCTCCTATATCTTGGTTCCGTGGTTCTCTGTCTAAAGGGAACACTGCCGTAAATACTTGAGTCATACTTTAATAAAGCCCATAGAAGAGTGAATTGGGCTTAACTCCCTCATTTTTCATTTGAGGAAACTAAACTGCCTGAGTGAGGCCTGAAAGCCGTTTTTGATGATTTTCAGGCGTATGCACTGGGATGGGTCACTATTTTGGAGTCATGTAACTTTGGATTTTGCATATGTCTTTGATTCCTGGTGAATGTGGAGGATTTCCATGCTCCTCTTGGTAGCAGGAGCACTGAGGAGTGAATCCTGCTATATTGCTTGTTCAGAGGCCTGGAGGACACAGGAATTATGGACAAGTGTCTAAATTTGGTGATGGTCAGATCAGAATGCTGAGAGACTAGATATGTCTGTCAGTGAAACTGTGAATTCAAGGGAGGAGTTTGGGAAGGATTGGCACAATTAAGATAATTAAAATCATTTGCTTTTGATTGTTTAAAGTAATGA